>NC_000003.12:58191818-58494848 GCF_000001405.40 Homo sapiens
ACATGAGGGCTGGGGGCACTTGGCCCGGGCTCTGGAATAGGGCAGGGCATGGGGGGGGCAGAGCCAAGGCCCCCAGGGAGGGAGAGCATGGGGTATGCAGGGCGGAGGACATCCTCCTGGAGCAGGGGTTCAGGGTGGGACCCTGGCAGAAGGTGGGGCTGGCGCAATAAGCCAGATAGCAGAGACCTTCATGGTGGCCAAGACTGAGCTCTCTCCCATGGTGATGGGAGCCGCTGAAGGATTTATGGGCAGAGGGTGGGACTGAGGGTGGGACTGAGGGTGGGCTGTGGTCAGATTAGTATTTCAGAGGATGACACTGATGCTTCCTGGGCTGGCTGAGTTGGAGGACAATTCGAAGGCAGAGAAACCAGGTGGGAGTGGCCTTTATCCCTCAACACTGTGAGACGTGATGGTGGCCTGACCTCAGAGAGGAGGGGGCAGACTCTTAAAACAGTTAATTGCCCAAATCACAGGGGCAGCTGGGGCCTTGGTGTTTCTGGTCATTGCGTGTGGAACAGGACCCCTCATGAGGACTGAAAGCTGACGCTCTTCCTCCCCCTGCAGCCTCTCGCATGACAGGGTTGAGCAGGGCCAGTGACAGTGGATGGGGCTCTGGCTCAGGGCATGAAGATCATCATTTTGGTCTACAAATGCCCCTGGTTCCCTTTTAGACAATTCAGGGGAGGTATGAGACCAAGAGAGATACAAAAGATTCTCCTTCCAATTTGGCTCAAGTCAGAATAAATTCAGGTCAAAAAATGAAAGCAGTTGGATCACTCTTGTTTCCTAAGTACAGGGAGCAGTTCATATCTGTTAGAGACATTTTATTTAGAGGCAAGAAATGGTTAATAAGATGAGACCCTTGGGTCTAGGAGCGTTTGCTCTTTGTTTTCTTCCTTAGAGTGACAGATTTTTTGCTGTTGGTGAAGGCCCTTGAAGACTGTAGTTTAAATTCAACTGGAAAGTGGTCGCTGACATCCAGGGCCTATAAGGAGAAAGGGGAGGTAGACATGGAAATTAGGAGATGCCTGGGAGATGCTTTCATTTTAGCGATGAGCAAATTTAGGACCAGGGAGGGGAGAGGAAATGCCCGAAGTCACCCCACAGAACACTTACTGGTAAGCGTCATTCCAAGACCAGCTCGATCAGAAATTTTGGAGGGGCCTCAAATCACAGAATCATAGGCATTGAGGGTCAAGGTCTAGTGCCCAATGTTGTGTCTTCAGTGGTGACCTCAAAGGGTGGCATCAACCCATCTTTTTTTTTTTTTTTTTTTGAGACAGGATCTCACTCTGTTGCCCAGCCTGGAGTGCAGTGGTGCGATCTTGGCTCACTGCAACCTCCGCTTCCTGGACTCAAGTGATCCTCCCACCTCAGCCTCCCAAGTAGCTGGGACCATAGGCATGCATCACCATGCCCAGCTAATTTTTTTGAATTTTTCATAGAGATGGAGTCTCATCATGTTGCCCAAGCTAACTCATCTTTCCAGGACAATGGCATAGAAAGACAAGATGGCAACCTTACCTCCTCTTCAGTCAGCTTGTAAGCTTTCTGGAAGTCAAAAACACTGTTTGACTTGGGAACAACAGAACTGACGATTTCTTGTCCTCTAAGCACAATCCTGGAA
Source organism: Homo sapiens (assembly GCF_000001405.40). Taxonomy (NCBI): domain Eukaryota; kingdom Metazoa; phylum Chordata; class Mammalia; order Primates; family Hominidae; genus Homo; species Homo sapiens. The sequence continues at coordinate 58,193,446 of NC_000003.12, forward strand.
CAAGGGGAGGGAAAACAGTTGTGTTAATCCAACCTGTGATTGCTGAGATCAAACCAAGGTCTGTGTTTGCTGTCTGGAATTAACCGAGCAGTCTGGCCCTTTCATGTGGCGCTCAAAGTCCAGAGCTGGTTTTAGCCTGTGACCCCAAAGGACAGTGCCTACAACTGTGAAATAGGATCAGTCCCTGCCATGGTTCTGTGGACACCAGGACACTGTCTCCCAGTGTGGGCAATGTTCTGGTGGAGTAGGAGAAGATTTTATATGACACACGCACACTATCCCACACAACAATGACTTGCGTACTGAGAACGCTGTTCCTTTTTCAATTATTTTTCACTTTCCCTGATTTGATTATGGAGAAATTCTCAGGGAGGTGCTGGTTTGTCTTTAATACCTCCCTCAGTCCCGTGTTGACAGAGAGTAGGCTGCCATCTCCGAGCATTCTGCAGGCAAGAGAATTAAGGCAGAATTTAACAAGGCGTGATTTTCACTGGACTTAATTTTTACGTTACCTTCAATTTATGGCAAATGCTGCTGCTTTCTTACTCATGCTAGTATCATGAAATTTCTTTTAAAAATTTATTTCAGCAAGAAATTAAGCGATTTAATGGAAAATATCGAGAAAAATCACAGCATATGTGCTTTGCAATAATGACAAAAAGTAAGAATGAGGTAGTCAAATGAGTTTTGGAAACAAACTAACATATCCCAAGTTGGGTGATGCAGTTGTGGTCTACGTGGTCCTGAGTGACTTCCCGAGGAATGGCAAGGTGAGTCAAACTGCCATTTCATGAGTGACCAGTGGGCCTTCCCCATTCTAATCAACAGTTTTGGTATCTGCATTTGCTAACATCACCAGCACAACTAACTTTTTTTTTTTTTTTTTTTTTTTTGAGACACAGTCATGCTCTGTCACCCAGGTTGGAGTGCAGTGCGCCATCTCAGCTCACTGCAACCTCCACCTTCCGGGTTGAAGCGATTCTCCTGCCTCAGCCTCCCAAGTAGCTGGAATTATAGGTGTGTGCCACCACGCCTGGCTAATTTTTGTATTTTTAGTAGAGACGGGGTTTATCCCTGTTGGCCAGGCTGGTCTTGAACTCGTGACCTTAGGTGATCCGCCCACCTCAACCTCCCAAAGTGCTGGGATTACCGGTGTAAGCCACCGCTCCAGGGCTACGGCTTTTTTTTTTCTTTTTTTGAGACGGAGTCTCTCTGTGTCACCCAGGCTAGAGTGCAGTGGCGCAATCTCGGCTCACTGCAAGCTCTGCCTCCTGGGTTCATGCCATTCTCCTGCCTCAGCCTCCCGAGTAGCTGGGACTACAGGTGCCCGGCACCACGCCTGGCTAATTTTTTTTGTATTTTTTAGTAGAGACGGGGTTTCACTGTGTTAGCCAGGATGGTCTCGATCTCCTGACCTCGTGATCCACCGGCCGCAGCCTCCCAAAGTGCTGGGATTACAGGTGTGAGCCACCACGCCCGGCCCGGGCTACGGCTTTTAATTCAACCCAAATGTAAATTCTTCGCATCAAGTTAGACATTTGTGAAAGCTTTCTTTAAGACTCAGAAAGCAAAGAATGACATGTTAAAGGCTCTTCCATTTCTGACTTCTTCTAGGGATGTGCAGGACCAGGCCAGTGTTCATGTGACGTTTTCAGTCCAGGGCACCAGCCAGATCCTGGGCATCTTTGCATGTTCCCCCAGCACTCAGCACATGAGAGGTGTTTGATAAATATGTGAACATGGAACAAAGACTGGAACTGAGACCATCTTGTCTAATTACATTTTTAAAACATCATTTTTATGGCTTTTCATTTTCTCCGTTTATTTTATTTAATTTTACTTTTTATTTTATTGTATTGAGACAGGTCTCACTATGTTGTCCAGGCTGGAGTGCCGTGGCTATTCACAGGCATGTGATCATGTTGCTCTAAAGCCTTGAACTCCTGGGCTCAAGTGATCCTCCTGCCTCAGCCTCCCAAGTAGCTGGGATTACAGCATATGCCACCACAACTGGCCTATGACTTTTTAAAAGCCACAAGAGGCCGGGCATGGTGGCTCACACCTGTAATCCAAGCACTTTGGGAGGCCAAAGCAGGCGGATCACCTGAGGTCACGAGTTCAAGACCAGCCTGGCCAACATGGCGAAACCCCATCTCTACTAAAATTACAAAAAAAAAAAAAAAAAAAAAAAAAAGCGGGGCATGTTTGTGTATGCCTGTAATCCCAGCTACTTGGGAGGCTGAGGCAGGAAAATCGCTTGAACCCGGGAGGCGGAGGTTGCAGTGAGCCAAGATCCTGCCACTGCACTCCAGCCTGGGCGACAGAGCAGGACTCTGTCTCAAAAAAAAGAAAAAAAAGAGGCACAAGAGTTATACATGTTGTTATGAGAAACAAAATTCAGAGCATCAAAATAAGAAATGAATCTTTAAAATGTCACATGTAATCCCACCATCCTTTGGGATACATGTGTATAAAATCAGGATCCTTTTAGTAAACATCTTTTTCTAACCTGTTCTACCCCTGACCTGATCTACTGTGGCCATGTTGCCTTCTGATTCTTCTGTATCATTTTCAATCACTTCCCACTCATTTGCCAGGGGAGAAGAATGGCGCTGGAGAAGGGACTTGACCTACCCACGGGCACACAACTGCCATGTGTAACTGAGTGAGTGGCCATCGTCCAGGCTTTGCTGGAAGTCCTTCAAAATAGGGGGTCTGGGCACTTAGACCCCTGTAACTCCCCGCCTTGGGTTCCCACTTTGCAGAGTGATAACTTCTGCAAAGGAAACACCAGCCTCAAAAGCTCCAAGAGGAACAGGCCGGGCATGGTGGCTCACGCCTGTAATCCCAGCACTTTGGGAGGCCGAGGCGGGCGGATCACGAGGTCAAGAAATCAAGACCATCCTGGGTAACATGGTGAAACCCTGTCTCTACTAAAAATACAAAAAAAAAAAAAAATTAGCCAGGCGTGGTGGCGGGCGCCTGTAGTCCCAGCTACTCGGGAGGCTGAGGCAGGAGAATGGCGTGAACCCGGGAGGCGGAGCTTGCAGTGAGCCGAGATCGCACCACTGCACTCCAGCCTGGGCAACAGAGCGAGACTCTGTCTAAAAAAAAAAAAAAAAAAAAAAAAAACTCCGAGAGGAAGTGAAAACGAGTGGCCTGGTGGCTCTCATGCAGATGGCCATCTCACACTTCCTCGTGGCAGGCTGAGCTCTGGGAACTGTGGCCACCACCTGGGACCAGGCTCCTAGGGGTTTCCCCACCTGTGGTCTCTGTGATGGAAGATCACTAACATTCACACGCCTCAGGCACTCCCCCCTCTGTCCCCATTGAAGGAGCAAAGATGAAAGCTGTTTGAAAATCCCTGAAGGGACTTTAAAAAGCACGAGGGAATGCTAGGACTTAAATGTATGCATTGCATTTAGGAATATGTAGCTAAAGCTTTAAAAATATAAATACCGTTGCACTAATTGGTCTCATTTTTAGGGTTGCTTCCTGAGGAAATCATAAATACTTGCACAAAATGCACAGAGGATATTGATTTTAGCAGTATTTATAACAGCAAACCCTTGGTAATAACCCAATGCCTAATGATGGGGATTGGGCGCATCAATTGCGGTAAGTCTTTGTGATGGAACAATGATCAGCCCATGAATGTAATGAGCACTTGCCGTATGCCAGGCATTGTGCTAGCAGCCTGACATGTTATTTCATTTACTCCACATCGGATCTTCATGAGTGAGGCACTAGGATAACTTCCATTTTACAGGGGAGGAAATGAAAGACACAGAGAGCTTGTCTCTTGGTCACAGACATATGAAGTGATAATGTCAGGATTTAAATCCAGGCCTATCTGATAGCGAAGCCAGTGCTTACCTCTGCTAAGCTACAGTGCCCAGGGCCACCGCATAGGGTCCTGTGGTTCATACGCTACATGTGGTACCCAGTAGAGGGGCCTGACATTTAATTGACTCAGCTCTGCAAGCAGTGTGCTTTTCTTATTTTTATTTTTATTTTTTATTTTTGAGACAAAGTCTCACTCTGTTACCCAGGCTGGAGTGCAGTGGTGCGATCCTGGCTCACTGCAGCCTCCACCTTCTGGGCTCAAGCGATCCTCCCACCTCAGCCTCCTGAGTAGCTGGGAGTATAGGTGTGTGCCACCATGCCTGGCTAATTTTTGTATTTTTTGTAGAGACGGGGTTTCATCATGTTGCCCAGGCTGGTCTCAAACTCCTGTACTCAAGCGATCCATCCATCGAGGCCTCCCAAAGTGCTAGGACTACTGGCGTGAGCCACAGTGCCCAGCCACCTTGCGTCTTTCCTAGTGCACACCAAGCACTGTGGTGAGCCAGCAGCACCCTGCAGGGCCTCCTACCTGTCATATGCACAGTTGGTGCTCTTCTTCACCGTGGTGTCCTCTTGGTCCCCGATCAGCCAAACAAACCTGGGGTCAGTCCTCAAGCGGATGTTCTTCCAGGCCTTCTTGGGGACGTAGCTGCAGCCGGCATTGAAGTCACCCATGAAAATGAAATTCTAAAAGACAAGATTTGGAACTGTCACCTGGTGGGTGCTGCTGCAGAATGCTTTCACACTGGACTCTAGCAAAGACTCTGCGTCCCAGGCCCAGTAAACAACAGGGTCTGTTATGGGCTGAATCTTGTCTACCCCCTGCTCCCGCCCCGGCCAAATTCCTATGTTGAAGTTCTAACCCCCAGCACCTTAGAATGCGACTGTATTTGGAGATAGAACCTTTCAAGAGGGAATTAAGGTAAAATGAGGTCATATGGATGGGCTCTAATCCAATATGACTGGCGTTCTTGTAAAAAGGGGAAATTAGGACACAGAAAAGTGGAGCAAAGACCATGTAAAGACACTGGAAGAAGATGGCCGTCTACAAACCAAGGAGAGAGGCCCCCAAAAGACACCAGCCCTGCTGGCACACCTTGTTCTGGGACTCCAGCCTCCAGAACGGTGACGAACTCACTTTCTATTGTTTAAACTTCCCAGTCTTCAGTATGGTACTTTGTTATGGCAGCTCTAGCAAATGAATATAAGGTCTTTAAAAATTTCTTTTTGTTGTTTAAAATTGAGTCACAGTTTTGATGAGTCGATGACAGGCGAGTGCGTACCAGGGAGGATGTTCTTAACAGGAAGGAGAATGTTTGCTGTTCTTAGTCGCCACATTTCCATAATTCAGCATGCAGAGTCAGGTGTGGATAAAAAAAATTTCAGTGAATCTATTCCCTCACATCTTTTGTCCCTGGCTCAAACTACTGTAGGGTGTAAATATACGAATGAATCAACGCCTTTTGCTTTCAAGCAGGAAAAGTGAATTTGGGTGGTGTATTGACAACCCTGGCATCACTCTTTCTCTCCTATTGTTTTGAAGTTGGAAACTTATTTCTGTGAAAATTCAGTCCCTTGAGGAGGTGGGAGGCATCTTCAGGGGAGGGGACCATTGAGTGAGCTGTCCACCCCCACCCAAGGCCACCAAGAGAAACTTCCTATCTTGGAAATATTTTTCCCTGCAAGGCTCTTGGAACAGAATTTTCAACATTCCACAATCCAGAGGAAGTGCCAGATTTCCTTGTTTGTGCTATTGTTTGGTGGGGCATTGCTGACTTCAGAGTTTTCTTCAAGAACATTTTATTTTGACCTTGGTGATCACAATTTTCCCCATGATTGATGGGTTCAGTTGAGGACAGAGTGTCATCCTTAACCTCAGTGATCACCAGCTTCTGCTAATATAGACATGATTTGCTGAACATTCACTATGTGCCAGGCCTAGCACTAGGTGTTTTTAAATTTACACCTGGCAGCAATAAACAATAGGAGGTACAAGAGCCCACTAACTTCTATAGAAACAGGATTGAGAGATTAAGTGACCTGCTCTAGGCCACAGGACTGGGAGGTTCAAATGGTGAAGTCAAGAATCACATCCCAGCCAGGCGCCGTGGCTCACGCCTGTAATCCCAGCACTTTGGGAAGCCGAGGCGGGTGGATCACCTGAGGTCAGGCATTCAAGACCAGCCTGGCCAACATGGTGAAACCCCATTTCTATTAAAAATATAAAAATTAGCCAGGCGTGGTGGCACATGCCTGTAATCCCAGCTACTCGGGAGGCAGGAGAATCACTTGAACCCGGGAGGTGGAGGTTGCAGTGAGCCGAGATTGCACCATTGCACTCCAGCCTGGGGACAAGAGCGAGATTTCATCTCAAGAAAAAAAAAAAAAAAGAATCACATCCCAGTCTGCTTCACTGAAGCAGTTTCCCCTCTTGTTCACTTTTAGGCCACTGATGCCTCCCCACAGCCCAACACTCAATAGATGCTCAATACATTCTTGTTTAATAAGTGAATGATTTCATAATTTTTGGAAAGAATGAATCTTTCTTTTGACCTATTTATTAATAAGCAATGAAATACACCCCTGGTCTTTTCCATGCCCCAGCTCTGATGGACTATGTTCACACTTTATTTGATTCATTTTGCATTTGAGCAGCAGAACTCAAGAGGAGGAAGGGGGATCACAGGAGTCACATTCCGAAACGAGAAAAGAGAAATACAGAAGAAGAACCCTTGGGTGCACTTCCATATTTACCAAGAGCTTTCACAGCCCCTCACAGCCACAAGTGGTCTCTTCCAAAAGTGGAAAGAACTGAGCCTATAGGGATGGCAAATATGTGCCCCCTTCTGTGAAAACAGCACCCCAAGTTCCTTTGGGAGACCACCCATCCCTCCTCCACCTCAAACTGAGTTTGGGGTGGAGCTGGGGTGGACACAGATTTAGTCAATCAGAGTAGCTCAACACCCTGATCACAATGATTGGTTCAGGGATGGACACCTGACCCAGTCAGAGCCAATGAGACTCAGTCCCACACTATTTGTTGCCTTGTGGGAAAGAAAATTTATTTTGGTCTGGAGGCTGCTGGTGGCTGTCCTGCCATCCCAGGGATGGAACCAACCTGAGAATGGAGCCACACAGAGGAAAGGGCAACCAGGAGATAGAAAGGAAGAGACAAATCAAGCTCTGATTACCTTGTCTGAGCCCTGGATCCAGCTATGCCTGAAGTACTCCTGGACATTTCAGTTACACAAACCAATCAATTGCTCCTTTTTTTCATGAGCCATGTTAAGATTCTGTCCCTTGCAACTGAAACAATCCTGACTGCTCTATGCCTTACACTTCTCAATTGCAAAGTGGGAATGAGAAAGGTACTGTAGCTACCTCAAGGGATTATTGGGAGGATTAAATAAACTTGTCCATGTCAAGTCTCAGCACAGTGCCTGGCACTAGCTATTCACTCAGTAAATGTTGGCATCTGTTATTAATGGGAAAGTGTGGCAATTCCCAAGGCCCACATGCAGGGTACCCAGGCAGATTTAGCAAAAGGGATACTTAGGGCTGAAGAAAGGCCTTAAAGAATGCTGTAAGTGGTGGTAGCCTGCACATGCCCTTCCTCCTCCCCCTCCCTGGAGAGGTACTCATCCCACTCAGGGACCAGAGCCTGCCCCTGCTAGATGGGAATTCGTCTGACACAGCAGTCCTCACCTCCGCCTTCCAGCGGTGTTTCACGTCCGTGTAGACCTCAACCAACTCATCGATCTCCTTAACGGATGTCTCTGGGGTGGTGTGCAGGGGGATAATCACGAAGTCTTTGACAGCTGAGAAACAGGAAAGAGGCGGGGGTCACACACTTCCCCTGTCAAGGTCTCATAAACACTGCTGGAGGGAAACCAGCTGTCCCCTCCAGAAGGCACAGGCTGCATTATCTGGGTCCCCAGTTCCCAGAGGGTCCAGCCAGTGGCCGAGATTTTAATGATCTTGGGGTCATTAGGCTGCCTATTTTTAGTACACGAAAGACTCATTTCTCCCAGTTGCCCTTCATGGCTAAGAGAAAGCTGGTAGACTGTTGTAGAAAGTAAAAAAGTTTCCTCTTCAAAGTTTCCCTTCTTATTAAAGAATAAATCATAAGTGTTAGAAATAATAGTTTCCTTTAAAGACTAACTTCCTTCAAGTCTCCTTGCTTTGTGCTAATAACTCTTTGTTAAGCTCTATCCTATGTAGCTGTTAGACATGCTCACAGGCACATAGTACATTCTATGTCCTTGTACCTTAACCAAGATATTTGTGCTGGACATTCCAGCTCGCAGGCACATTCCAGCTCACAGCCTTTGCCCCTTCCCTATTTGGCATAAGCAACTTCCTCTTTTCCTTTGTTCTCCCTTGCCTTTACCTATTTAAGAAAGGTTTAAATTATTAGCCAGTCGGGTTAGCTTAGATTGTGTGGTCTGGCTCCAGCCAATAGAGAGACAGGACACAGTAGCAGGGACAAGCTGAGTAAAGGATAAAAATTGCTTCCCTCCTTTATTCAGGTGTGCTCTCGCCATTGTTCCATCTGCAAGGAGCACCCTTTCTGCAGAAAGTAAAATTGGCTTGCTGAGAAAACTTTTTATCTGAATGTTGATTTTTCCTTGCAGTACCAGGGAACAAGCATTCTGTTTCTAAATAAACATTTTACTTATAACAACTGTGTTCCATGCTGGCATTGTGAGTGCTTTTATTTTCCCCTTTTTGTGTGTGTGGCAAATCTGTATTTTCTTTTGTTTCTGATGTATTTTATCCCTCTTCTTTCTTTTTTTAATTGACAGGAAAAATTGCATATATTTATGGTTGTATTTTCTTCTTTTTTTTAAAGGTTTCCTTTTTTTTTTTTTGAGACGGAGTTTCGTTCTTGTTGCCCAGGCTGGAGTGCAATGGCACAATTTCGGCTCACTGCAACCTCTGCCTCCCAGGTTCAAGTGATTCTCCTGCCTCAGCCTCCCAAGTAACTGGGATTACAGGCATGCACCATCATGCCTGGCTAGCTTTGTTTTTTTTTTTTTTTTTTTTTTTTTGGTAGAGACAGGATTTCTCCATGTTGGTCAGGCTGCTCTCAAACTCCCAACCTCAGGTGATCCACCCATCTCAGCCTCCCAAAGTGCTGGGATTACAGGTGTGAGCCACCACACCCAGCTGGGAGTTACAAAAAGAGTATAAACTGACCCATCTCAGCCTCCCAAAGTGCTGGGATTACAGGCATGAGCCACCGAGCCCAGTCGCACATTTTCTAGTTAAAAAAAAATTGGCCAGGCGTGTTGGCTTACTTCTGTAATCCCACCACTTTGGGAGGCTGAGGCTGATGGATCACCTGAGGTCGGGAGTTCCAGATCAGCCTGACCATCATGGAGAAAACCTGTCTCTACTAAAAATACAAAATTAGCTGGGGGTGGTGGCGCATGCCTGTAATCCCAGCTACTTGGGAGACTGAGGCAGGAGAATCGTTTGAACTTGGGAGGCAGAGGTTGTGGTGAGCCTAGATCACGCCACTGCACTCCAGCCTGGGCAAGAAGAGTGAAACTCTGTCTAAAAAAAAAAAAATGAGGCTTGTCAGTTTATACTCCTTTGTAATTAAGAACAAAAGTTCCAAAAAGCTATTTAAAAATTAGCATGGTCTTCACGAAAGACTTTTGTGAAGTGTCTGAAAACCTTCCCCCACCGTTGGAGGACTGAGAGCCTGAGTGTGGCAATGTGCGCGAGCCTCAGAAGCCGTTCCTGGCCCACCTGCTAACAGCAGCTGTCGCCTTCTGAGCAGCTCCTCCTGGGACTTCCCCTCATTCTCAGCCTGGATTCCCACTCTTACCTCAACAGACACGGGCTGTGGGGCGGTCACTGCTCAAGTCACACAGAGAGGAGCCAGAACTCAGCCCAGCAGGCTGCATCCAGGGCCCCACGTGTCCTCATTGCCAGCTCTCCTCCTCAGGCCTCCACTGCACTCCTCCATCCTCTTTTTGGTCCCCCTAAATATTCCAGCTTCCTTCCCACTTCTGAGCTTTTGTGCTCACTGTGCCCTCCATGTGGAATGCCCTTTCTCCAGCCCTCTGTATGGCTGACTTCTTCAGGTCACAGCCCAATGTCACCTCCTCTGTCTTGTCCAGTGCCCTCAACAGAGCCTGGTACATAGTAGGTACTGAAAAAATATTTGATTCTTGACTCCATCGAGCATTGCATAACACTGCATGTTAACCACTGGCTGGGCACAGTGGCTTACACCTGTAATCCCAGCACTTTGGGAAGCCAAGGCAGGCAGATGGCTTGAGCTCAGGGGTTCAAGAACAGCCTAGGCAACATAGCGAGACCTATCTCGCTATTTAAAAATTTTAAAATTAGCTGAGTGTGGTGGTGCATGCCTATAGTCTGAGCTACTTGCGAGGCTGAGGTGCGAAGATTGCTTGAGCCCAGGAGGTGGAGGTTGCAGTGAGCCAAGATCATGCCACTGCATTCCAGACTGGATGACAGAGCAAGGCCCTATCTCAAAAACAGAAGAAAAAAAAAAGAACATGAGCTCCTGAGGTGGTGGCCTGGGTTACAACCCTGGCCTGTCCATTTCAGTAGCTGGGTGACTCCATGCCTTTTTAAACCTCAGTTTCCTGAAATGTAAAGTGGAGATAATCCTACTCCCTACCTTGTAGTCATTGCAAGGATTACAGGAGGCTGGCACTTAATCAGGGGCCAGTACAAGTACTGTTGTTAGAGTTCAGGGAGCAATCCATTTGGATTTCCTCACCCGCTGCGGCCTGTGGAGGAGTCTGCGATGCAGTGACTGGAGGGAGAGTGAGCCTCTAGGCTAGGGGTTCACCTAAGCCATTGCTTAGGATTTTTTTTTTTTTTTTGAGACAAGAGTCTCACTCTATCGCCCAAGCTGGAGTGCAGTGGTACGATCTCGGCTCACTGCAACCTCTGCCTCCCTGGTTCAAGTGATTCTCCTACCTCAGCCTCCCGAGTAGCTGGGATTACAGGTGCGCACCACCATGCCCAGCTAATTTTTGTATTTTTAGTAGAGACGGGGTTTCACCATGTTGGCCAGTCTGGTCTCAAGTTCCTGACCTCAGGTGATCCACCTGCCTCAGCCTCCCAAAGTGCTGGGATTACAGCCATGCGCCACCGCACCCAGCCAGGATTTTTAAAAAGGAAGGAAGAGTTGTACTTGACAGGTACCAAGGAATTGCAGAAAACAATTTCCATGAGCCTAAACTCTCCAAAGAGAGTGGACTACCATTGCTTCCAGAAAGTGGGTTCTGGGCTGGGGAAGTCTTGAGTCATGGCATTCTGAGAAGCAAGCCTGGTGCCATCACACTGAACTGCATCGTCTACATTGAAGTATTAGAAGCAATGCACTGTCACATCCAGCCTAATGCCTCCTTAATGGGCTCATGCTCAAGGCTGCTGCGCATTCATGGGCCGTTGGGGAGGTCCCAGACAGAAAGGCCTGTGTGGGTCTTACCAGTGTGGGGAGATTGGAACCAGACCACAAAGGGCTCCCTGGAAAACACATCTGCGTCTCCATCCTGATAGTCATGGTAGTGATAACTCCTCTTCACAGACACCAGCTTTTCCCTATAAGAAGGAAAAGGAAGTCCTCCCAGCTGAGTCAGCCCTTTTCTTACTACTTTCATGAAGCAGAGATGTAGGTTCCCATGGCTTTCTCAGAAGCCAGAGCAGGCTCAAGCACAGGATCGTTTTCCTGAGAACAAGGCTAAGTCAACTCTTCTCAACAGCCAGGGAGCTGTTGCGAATCTGGGAGCTGAAGATCTGAGCCATACTAGTTATCTGTGGCACCCAAAAGTTAATGTTCAGACTTAAGAAATTACTAGCAGGAAGAGGAAAAGAATACGAAGTTCAGGAATCAGCTGTGCTGAGAACCTCAGCTTTCCAGCCCTGGGCCAGGACTTGACTATGAGGAGTAAAGAACACCTGGCCTGCCAACCATGGAGCCAACCAACAAATTAGGTGTTTGGAGACCCCTTGTGTTTTCAGCTTGAAGAGTCAATACTTTGCATAGGCCCCTAGTTTTGACAGCAATTATTTTGATGAACACTGAGAATTGGTTAGAAATCAAAATTTGGTTTTGAAGAAAAGACATGCATTTTGATTCAATTCACGATTTATTGGTGGCCATGTTCCAGGGAGCATAGGTGATACTTACTTGTAGAGAAAGGCATATTGTTCTTTATATGTGTTTCTTCCAAGCCGAGAGCTAATCACATAGTTGTACGTTATGCCTCTCCTTGAATTTCTAGAAAACAAAGATTTAACACTGCATCTTGAAGAGTAAACATTCCCCTACTGTACATGTTCCTTTCTTTCCAATCTGCCTCCATACGCCCAATGGCATCATGTGGAAGGGCCACTGTTCATCATAACCTTTGAGTCCAATGAGAGGAGCCACCATTGATTGGCTGGAATGTGGCATCTGCCACGATCTTTACAGCCATTATTTCTTGCCTTATGAGGAGAGTGTTATCATTACCCCCTTTCTATGGTTTGCAAGCCCAAAGCTGGGATTTGAACCTAGATCCAACTCACCCCAAAACCCGCATGCTTTGGCCTGTACCTGTGGGAGGCCACTGAGACCCTAGAAGACAATCTTGGCCAGAATCAGCCCCTGACCCCGCTCATGCCCATGGCTGCAGCTGCAGCTCATGCTTTCTGGTGGAATAAATGTCATCAGGCCACCTGTCCGTGTCCACGAACCACTCCTGAGCATTTATGATAAGCAGGAATATTCTCTCCTCTGAAAGCCATCAGGCATTTTTTTACAAGCTTTGGGACCACGATTTCAATTCACTGTTGTTTATATCCTGGGTGCTGGGGATACAGCCATGAAGTCCCATTGACCTTGCCCCTCACCTGCACCAGGGAAAGCGGACTCTTTCTGTGTGTTTACCAAACCTGCTGATAACTCCACTCTGGGCAGAGCCTAACATAATTTCACTCTATCTGCTCACAAAAAGATCTAGGGCATGTCTAAAGCTGCAGCATATTCTCAGATTCAGTTGGAAAAAAAGCAGAAGGGGTATTTAGGGGCCAACTTAGACCTTACAGAAATTCCTGGGACTTCAGATGCAGTATGCTAAGGCAGACTTAGCCCCTGGGGCCCCAGGAGTGTGAACAGTAGGTTCTGCCGGGCTTCCACTTTGGGGAGACTGGCCCTATTTTGAACATAGCCTGCCAAGTCCTGAGTTAGCAAACTGCTTGTGGTGACTCAGTTGCAAAGTGACTAAGGCCCATCCTGGCTTGTGGGGGATAAAGAGACAAACAGGCTTGGCTCTGCTTGGAGTCCGCGACAGTCTAGATAGGTTGGGGTGTGCCAAGACCACTGGTGGTGAAAAGACTCGCCCCAGACTGACTGTGGAGGAGATGACTGGAGCCTACCTGTCCCCTCAGTCCCCCACAAACCTGTCCCCTCAGTCTCCCATAAACCTGACTGGGGACACTCCAAGGAAGGCTGAGATGACAAAGAATAGAGCACTGGCTATGAGATCAGATGTGACGCAAGTTCAAAGGTAGGCTTGGCCACTTCCTGGCTGGGTAACTCAGGCAGGTCCCCCACTCAGTTCCCTTACTATAAGGGAAGCCCTTAGGCAGACTGACATGGATTCTTGCCTGTCCCTACAATTGTCCTACACATGCCTTCCCTATGATGGATAAGCCCAGAGCCTGGGGGATGATGGCACCAGGATCTACCATCTCATCTTGCTCCTGCCCAAGACCCAGACATGGCTTTTGTTCAAAAGTCCCTATTAAGTGTTTCTTGCTGAGATGGCCAGGTGCAGCGGCTCACACCTGTAATCCCAGCACTTTGGGAGGCTGAGAGGGGCAGATCACTTGAGGTCAGGAATTTAAGGCCAGCCTGGGCAACATAGCAAAACCCCGACTCCACTAAAAATACAAAAATTAGCTAGGCATAGTGGGTGTGTGACTGTAATCCCAGCTACTTGGGAGGCTGAGGCAGGAGAATCACTTGAACCCAGGAGGCAAAGGTTGCAGTGAGCCGAGATCTTGCTGCTGCATACCAGCCTGGGCAACAGAGTCTCAGATTTAAAAAGTACTAAAATAAGAAGCAAGTGCCCCTCACTCCTTCACTAACCCCTTTCACCACAGCTCTCTGATCACACCCCCCCCCCCCCCACCAGAAGTAACCACTATTAATAGTTTGGAGAGCATCCTTCCAGTCTTTCATCTCTATGCACATGGAAACACAAACACACCCTTATTCATGTAACATGATGACTCAAATGGGCTATTTTACCTGCAATTCTCAACTTGCTTTTTTTCAATATATTGTGGCCATTATTCCGTGCTGGAATATTTAGCTCTAACTTATTCTGTAGCAAGCATGATTTTTTTTTTAAGAGATAGGGTCTTGCTCTGTGGCCCAGGCTGGAGTGCAGTGGTGTGATCATGGCTCACTATAGCCTAAACCTCATGGGCTCAAGCGATCCTCCCACCTCAGCCTCCCAGGTAGGTGAGACTATAGGCACGTGCCACCACACCTGGCCACCAGCATGACTTTTAACAGCTGCATAATATTCCTGTGTGTGAGCATGTTGTAATTTTATTATCTTTCTTCTACTATTGGTTTCTAATCTTTTCTCTTTTCTCCAACATTTTCTTCATAACTGTACTTTTTAGCTCAGCCTCATCTGCTTTTTTCATTTCTTTCTGTGTCCAGACCCCTCATCTATTTCCCCTATTCTATTTTATCACAGTAAAATCAACTGGTTGAAAGTTCTCAGGACCGTGGCTAAGGGAGCTGGACTCCTGGGCAACACTGGCTGTGTGAACTGGTGGTCAAGTGCGGGATCTCACATTACTTTCAGTTCCCAGGGGTTTTCAGATGCCCTTGCACTTGACCTTGAGCCCTAGAGGGCCCACCCTTCCCCATGTTACCTGTTCAGCTTCTCCATCAGTATGGGGCAGATCCTGTTGTTGCTGTCCTTGATTTCCATCACGAGTATGATGTCACAGCGTTTGATGACCTGCAAGAAAGAGAATTCCCAGGGGTTTGAGGTCATTTACCACAGATAAATAAAACCTTTTATTGGACACTTACTGTTTTTAAGTATTGCACTGAGTGCTTATTAAAATAATTTCTTCTCTGAACTAAATGAAGGACTCCCTGAGGTAGGTAGGTGCTTTTGTTATGTACATTTTAAAGAGGAGCGTGAGACTCAGAGAAAGTTGAGTAAATTACACTCCCAATCACCCTACTAGAAAATGGCGGAGGCAGAATTTGAACCTATGTAATTCAAGCCCAGAGCCCCTTGCTCATGACCTCCCCACAATATCCTGCCTCTTGGCTTTGCTTGAATAATTACAATAATAATAATAAATATTTATTAAGCCCTTAGTAAGCAAAGATAACAGACTGGATTAGAAATAAAGAGGTATAATTATAATGATAATAATTATAAAAGCTGACATTTACTGCAAACCTACTCCGAGCCTTACAACAACCCTGTGGGGTAACTATGCTTATTAGCCCATTAAACATAGGCAGAAACCAAGCTCAGAGTGGTTGAGTGACTAGCTTAAAGTCATACAGCCAGGATAGGTGGTAGAGTCAGGATTTGAACTTAGGTCTGCGTGACTACAAAGCCCACCATGTTGAACTGTTAAAATACAGTCCCAGCCGGGCACGGTGGCTTACGCCTGTAATACCAGCACTTTGGGAGGCCAAGATGGGCAGATCACCTGAGGTCAGGAGTTCGAGACCAGCCTGGCCAACATGGTGAAACCCGCCTCTACTAAAAATACAAAAATTAGCACCTATAGGAGGTGCTTGGTCAATGGGCGCTAGGGATAATCCTATTCTGAATGCCTGGCATTCTCGGGTGACTGTGAGTGCCCTGTAGGGTAGCTCTTGCAGTGTTTTGGGGATGGCCTCTTGGTAGGATGGGGAGGGTGAGGCAGCCTTGACAAGGACTTCGGACATGCTCTGCAGGACACAGCTGCTCAGGGGAGATGCAGAGTTCAAGCCCCCATGATGGACTCACCAAGGAACAAAAAGACAGCCGGGTTTCATCAGTGAGGAAGGAGATGGGAACTCAGTGGCTACCCAGGCTCCACGGGCCATGTGTGAAGTGGGGAAAATCATTGCCTTGCATGTCAGGGTTTCCCATTGAACAATCTTGTCATGGCTCCCACAGGCTTGGCATTGCTATCCTGGCTAAACAACACCATCTAGAAGGCCTTGGTTACCTCCCAAAGGGCAGGGCCACCTGGGTCTGAGAGGCTCGTCCAAGGAAGAACAGAGCCTGCCAGTCCTCACTCCAATCCTCCTTCCCAGTGACAGCAACAGCAGCGGCTCTGGCTCATGAATACCCACCTTGCTGCAGGCTCTGCTGGGTGCCTCAGGCACCCTGAGTTCTCTTCACCAGCCAGTGCTACAGGTGGTATTTGGATGTGGTCGCCATTTTACTAGGGGAGCTGGTGGTTCAGGGAGGGGCAGGGCCTCCCAAGCTCACAAGTCTGGTAGGTGGAATCTGGACCCAGGGCTCCTGGCCCCCCTACCACACCATGGTGTCTCAGGTTTCCTAAGGTAATAAGTACCTTTCCAGAGTCCTGGGAAAGGGTTAAGTTGCCAGCATCAAAAATTAATTAACCTGTAGGATAAAGGGAGTCAATTGACTCCAGAGAAAGCAAGCAGTGTCCCCGGACATTGGGTATATCACCCAAGGAAAGCGTAAGCGAAAGTGGAAGGAGTGGGGAAGTAGAGGAGAGGGAGAGAGGAAGGAAGGAGGAGAAGAAGAAAGAAAGACAAAGAGAGGGAGGGATGATGAGGATGGGAGAGAGAAGGAAGGAAGGAAAAAAGTAAGGAAGGGAAAGGAAGAAAGAAACAAAGAAAAAGAGAAAGGAAGAAGAAAGAAAAGACAGAAAGAAGAAAGAAAAAGGAAGAAAGAAAAAGGAAGAAAGAAAAAGAAAGAAAGAAAGAGAGAAAGAAAGAAAAGAAAGAAAGAAGAAAAGGAAAGAGAGAGAAAGGAGCTGGGCTTTGCTGGTGAAAAGGAGTAGCTGTATAAGGTTACTTCATCTTTCTTTGTTCATCACCTCTACATGGGGAGTAATAGTCCCTCTTCATAAAGATTATGAAGTGAAACCATGTGCTTATAGTGCCTGATACAGGCATTCAATAAATAGCAATAAAAATCATAATGGCTAACCCTTATCTGGAACGTATAATGAGCCAGATACTACATTAAGAGCTTTCCATTTGCCAACTCCTGTAGTCCCCCCAGCAACCCTGGAGGGAACCATTGTTATCACCCCTGTTTTAAGATGACGGCAGGAGGTACAGAGAGTTGAAGTGGTTATTGTTCCAAGCCAGCTTCTACATTCCCCCTAAGGGCCAACTTTAAGTTCCTTGAGTCTCTTAAAGTCTGCAGACAGGAGAGAGGGTGTGAGGGGTGTCTGGGATCCTCCTCCCAGGAAAGGGGCTCACCTTCACAATGACATCCATGGCATTCTTGTCTTCCTGCTTGCTTTCCCCAAAGGACCTGACGTTGAAGGAGCAGATCCTCATGGCCAGGGCGCTGTGGATGGAGAGGAGGAGAAGCAGCAGTGGGGCCAGCTCCCGTGACATCCTGGCGCTGCTCTGGCTTCAAGACTCTGTGAGAAGACAGCAGTGCTTGGAGTGCTGGATTCTGGCCACTTCCGCAGGCTCCACTGACTTATAAAGCCTGCAGATAACAGGAATTACTGGATTTCTCCTTGCAACTTTCAGTTCTCTGAGGAACTGAAGATCATGGGTTTTAATCCCCAAGGAAATACAGATACATTGGGCTAGCCTTTAAGGAGCCCTTATGTTCGTCACCCTGGTGCAGAAATTGGCATGCCTCATTTAGGCGCCATCCTCCACAAAGTCACTCATATCCCAACCGGGAGCCAGCTCTGACATCTAGTCATCGGTCTTGCGGTTGCATGCCATGTGCCTTTTCCTGACAGTGGATGAACTCGGAAGTGGTCCACCCTAGAGGGCACCTGGGGTGACGGAACCTTCTGCTGGGGGACAATGAGGCAGGAGGCATGGGAAATTCTGCTCGGTTTTCTCTAAATCACTGGGATTTGGCGGCCTGCTGTCCTCAGACACACCCAGACTGTGACTCTAATTGCCCTGGTGGTGTAAAGTAAGGTCAAGAGTAGTTTGAATTACTTAATTTTTTTAGGCAGCTTTACCGTACAAATACTAGGAGTGTGTTGCCAGAGAAAGCAATTGGGGATCTGATGGAATGGATGAGGAAAATGTCCCTGGACTCTGCGAGCAAATAGCCCGTGAAACCCATGGAGAGACCCGTGATTGAAGCTGATATTAATTTAATATTGGCGAGAGTTGTGTGACCCTGGGAGAGAAAGGTCTTGTAAGAACTGTAGGATATCAACTCAAGCAAAATGACTTTTAGAGATATGGGCAGGAAACTATGAAGATCTGTAAAGCAAAAAAAAATTAAAAAAAAAAGCAAAATCCAATCAAGGTATATTAATGGACTTTGGCAAAGACAATTCTGTGAAAAGGGTAGGGAATAAGAATAACTCCAAGCCAGCATCGGGATCTGTGGACCAACCCCTCTTGTGGTGATGGGTCTGTGGCCACAGCCACAGGGAAAATTATACATATATCCCCAACATACATCCAGGCAGCATACTGGCCAAGCATGCCAGGAATTCTATAAGATAACCCCAAATAGTACATGGAAGGAAATGGTTTCCTGAGTTCGTGCTGCAATGAATCTCCCTGTTGTCTGCAACCTAAGACCTCAGGCCTGGTTGAATCTCTGGTAAAGGTGGCTCTGGGCCGGGCGCAGTGGCTCACTCCTGTAGCCCCAGCACTTTGGGAGGCTGAGGTGGGTGGATCACTTGAGGTCAGGAGTTCAAGGCCAGCCTGGCCAACATGGTGAAACCCTGTCTCTACTAAAAATACAAAAATTAGCCAGGCGTGGTGGTGGGCGCCTATAATCCCAGCTACTTGGGAGGCTGAGGCAGGAGAATGGCTTGAACTTGGGAGGCAGAGGCTGCAGTGAGCCAAGATTGCACCACTGCACTCCAGCCTGGGCAACAGAGTGAGATTCCATCTCAATAAAATACAAAAACAAAAAAAAAGGAGCTCTAGGGAATGGTTAATTGTCTTTCTTGGTGAATGGGCATCTTCCAACCAGAAAAAAGATTTAGAATTAAAGTGTAGAAATGTTTAAGAGACTCAGAGCCATGGTATACTCTTTTTGTGTGTTTTAAGATGGAATATGCGGTATTTCATGGACTTAATGAGAGCTGCTGGGCCAACTATATAGAAAATCTTGTAACTCTCTTATAAAATGTGCACTTGGTAGGGTTTGATTCAGGTTCATGACTTTACGTTGAAACCTTTGTCTGAATACAGTTCTGGAACATTTATAAACACTTTAGGTTATCATCAATGTTTTGTTTGTTTACTTTATTAGAATTCAAATGATTTAGTATTTTTTAAAAGTAGCTTTTTTGTTAGTTCAGACAATTGAAGAACTTTTAAAAGAAAATAGGGCATATTAAATAAAGTATAAAATGTTTATAAATTGGCCACAAACCCCTTATAAGTAATTATTTAGGTTTGTTGGGTTTAGGATTGGCAGATTTAACAAATAAAAATATAGAACAGTAGGTAGATTTGAATTTGGGGTAGTTCGTATTCAATTGGGCAACTTTTATTTTATCTGGAAATTCTAGCTGGATTTATAAAAAGAATGAGAACTTTTGTAAGCTGAACTTAAAAGCATGGCATTTTCTTTTTTTTTTTCTTTTAACAAAGTTTTTATTTTTAATTTTTGCAGGTACATAGTAGGCATATATATTTATGGAGGCATGGCATTTTCTAAGATAGTAATCATTCCATCAAAGTC
Organism: Homo sapiens; assembly: GCF_000001405.40. Lineage (NCBI taxonomy): Eukaryota > Metazoa > Chordata > Mammalia > Primates > Hominidae > Homo > Homo sapiens. Next base: position 58,213,194 of record NC_000003.12, read on the forward strand.
CTAGAAAAGTTCTTAGTTCCTAGCATTAAAAACGAGCTAATGTGTAGAATAAAGAAAGTCAAGTAATCTGCTTTTTTTTAATTTCCAGCTTTGACAATTTGACTATGAACTTGAAAAAATAAAGTAAACCTCTAAATAGTGGTTTCTGCATAGAAACTGCCCTTGAGGACTTAAAAAAGAGTCACATGAACAGATTAAGAGATGGACCCCATTCTCGAATTAGCACATCCATTGAATGAAATTGGACCTTTTAAAAAATGCCTGGATTCTGGAAGGAAAATTCTAACGGCCAAATTTAACTGAATCCAACTAGGTTCAGGTGCTGCATTAGGGCTTTCTGTGTTTCATCTCATCCCATACCTGCCAAGCCCTTCCTACGGCTACTTTATTTTAGAGATGAGCAAAGTGAGGCTTGTGCCCAAGGAAACAGAGCTAGCATGTGGCAAAGCTGAGATTCAATCTCAGAGTGCTGACTCCAGATTAATCTTCTCACCCACTGAACCAGGCATACCAAAACCTTAATATGGAACACTCCAGGGTGCAGGGAGGGATGCAGGGAGGAGATGAAAGGAGGACTTCCACTTTTTACTCTATATACTTGTATATTGTTTGATTTTTTTTTTTTTTTGCAAAAACATGTACTTCTTTAGTAATTACAGAAAAAGAAAAAAGTGCTAAAATCTTTTCATTCTTTTAAGCAGGTTAAACAATGCCCATGCAAACACGTTTTCTGTCTTTGTGTGCAACTTGGTCAAAGGAAGCTTTCCCCTACCTCCAAGAGTCATTGACCCCACCTCCAGAAGGTTCACTCCAACCCCTCCATGTAATACTGGAGGACCCAGGGAAGGCAGAAACCCTGTCTCATCCTTCAGTTGGCTTCTCTTGCTGGGAATTGGGAATTTTGAGGCACTTGCCTAACGCCTGCTGACAGCCCCGGGGTCTCCATCTTCGGGATGAAGTTTCCTGCTCCATATACTTGCAAACACCAGTCTCTAAGATGCACCTGGAAGAAAAGATAAATATGCATCATTCTTTCTTGGAGATTTAGAATGCACATTAGCATATTAAATGTTCTGAAAAGTCCTGTAATTATAAAAAGCCGCTTAACTGTGTTGAAACAGGGTGTCCAAAATTTATTGTCTGTGGAGTCCTTTTCTTCATAGAATTCCTTGGACTATCTTGAGCAACATCCACTCTTGGGAATACTGTCCTTGATTGTGCAGTGACAATCAGATCCCCTCAAAGTCTCAAGCTCTTGTCCTGGTCAGTAAGTCCCTGCTGAAGAGCTCCATGCATGTCACATGAGTGGGCTGAAACGAGGATCAGGAGTTCAGTCACATGGCCCCCATACAGCCATCCACTATGGGCCCTGATGGGACAAGAGTCAGTGGAGAGTGATATGTTGCGCAAAGGCTACCTTGGAATTTGAGAAAAGCAAGATATGGAGATTTCAGGAGGAGCAAAAGTGTCATAGGCTGAGTCACCCAAAAGCAGCAAGAAGAAACAAGAAGTCTGTGGGAAAGTCTCCACTCCTGGCAGAAGACAAGCCTCGTGACCCAAACAGGTGTTTCCAGTGACTGATGCTGGTCTTTGTCCAAAAATGAATGAGCATTAACAATAATTTTGTAACATATGCAAAATGCTCCATCGTCATGTTTCACAACCAGCTTAGAGTTTGCGGGGAGGAAGGTGCATTAGTTAAAGTTGTGTAACTATGACAAACCTCTCACCTTTGCAGGGTTGTTTCCAGATGATGACACACTCTGGGTTTCAGCCTCACACACTATCTTCCACACAGGGCTGTGCCTGGACCTCAAGAGTCACTTTCTGAAGGGCAGGCCTGCTCTGATTAAAATCTTTCCAGGGCTTTTATTGGTCAAAGAGCAAACTTCTTAATGTAGCCTCTACCTGCTCACATTTCCCAGGTCATAACACTCTACTCCCCTCTTCCTCCCCTACTGGTCTGCCCTTGCACTGCCTGGCTTTCGGTTCCCCCCTCAGGGCCTTGGCACAGCTGTTCTCTCCGCCTACAGGGCTCTTCCTTCCTCCAGCCTCAGGGCTCAGCTTAAATGTCACACCCTCAGAGAAGCCCTCCTGGCCTCCTGACCCCATCAGGGTCTTCCCTCGTCTTCTCTCTCATGGTGCCCAGGTTTTTCACATCATGGCATGCATTGTAACATCTTATTATCTCTGAGCTTGTGTGTTTCCTTGTCTAAAGTTGTCTCTCCACCAGGCTGCCACATAGGGGCAGGGGGCACCTCCGTGTGTCTGTGCTGCCTGGAACAGGATTGTCATGTAGCAGCAGATGCTCATAAATCATTGCTGAATGCGACGTATGATACTCTAATGGACTCCAGAGACCAAGTTCTTTTTTTTTTTTTTTTTTTTTTTTTGAGACAGGGTCTCGTTCTGTCACCCAGGCTGGAGTGCAGTGGCACAATTTCAGCTCACTGCAGCCTCAATCCCCCAGGCTCAAGTAATCTAATCTTCCTACCTCAGCTTCCCAAGTAGGTGGGACCACAGGTGCATGTCACCATGCCTGGCTAATTTTTGTGTTTTTTTTGTAGAGACAGGATTCCACCATGTTGCTCCGGCTGGTCTTGAATTCCAGGGCCCAGGCGATCCTCCTACCTTGGCCTCCCAAAGTGTTGGGATTACAGGTGTGAGCCACCACGTTTGACCTAGAGACGGGGTTCTTGATCACAGTGTGGGTGTGGTACCAAGGGAACTCAGCTTCCCTGGAAGCCACGGGAACCCCCAGCCATAGAGACAAAATGTAATAATAACAAAAACCACAACAGTATCTACCTTTCATGGAGCACTAAGTGCTAAGTGCTCATGTAACTTTCTGACTCGGGAGCATAGCATAGAGCAGGCTTCTCAGCCTTGGCACGATTGACATTTGGGGCCAGATAGTACTTTGTTGTGGGGACCATCCTGTGCATTATTGGACACTTAGCAGCATCCCCTGCCTCTACCCACTAGATGCCAATCACATCCCCCAGTTGTGACAACCAAAAATTTCGACAGATGTTGCCAAATATCTCCGGGGGCTTGGGGGTCATCTCACGTCGGGAATGCTGATGACGTTAAAGCATATACACTTTTACTTACTGGCTGTTCAGCCCTGGACAAATAACCAAACTTCTCTGTGCCCTTTTCCTCACCTTTAACATGGGGTAATAGTATCTCTTACATGGTAGGGCTGTGAAAATTTAGAGAGGTTATAACTAAAGGGCAGACTCAGCACGGTGCCTGGCCCTCAGGGGTACTCAGTTGGGGTGATACTCTGTTTTCAGAATAAACTGCAAAGGAGCAATTGCTATCCTCATTTTACAGATGAAGAAATTGAGACTCGGAGATAAAGAAGTTGGTCTCCAGTTGCTGGCTGTGAAGTGACATCAAAAGCAGGCATTTGACTGGGTGCAGTGGCTCACATCTGTAACCCGAGCACCCTGGGAGGCCGAGGCAGGAGCCCACGAGTTCGAGACCAGCCTGAGCAACATAGCGAGAACTTGTCTCTACTAAAGATAAAAAAGTTAGCCAGGCATGGTGGTGTATACCTCTGGCCCCAGCTACCCTGGAGGCTGAGGTGGGAGGTTGGGAGGATCACTTAAGCCCAGGATTTAGAGGCTGCAGTGAGTTATGATTGCACCACTGCATTCCAGTCTTCTAGGCTGGGTGACAGAGTAAAACTCTGCCTCAAAAAAAAAAAAAAAAAAAGCAGGTATTTACGTCCTCAGGATTAATTCCTTTTGTCAGTCCTTTCTTTATAGGTACAAAAGGGCCTAATTGCAAACTCTGAGCTGGTGGCGATACGACTAATGGATTAGATCTGTCAAGACAGGACTAGGGCAAGGCGAATGAGACACTAGCCTTAGGCACAAAATTTAAGGAGTTACCAAATAACTCAGTAATCAAGCTAAATAACATTCAATGCAATATTTTGAAAAATCAAAAATTAATGAAGAAAAATCCATGATGAACAAAGTAACAAAGTAAAGACACGATCTGCCCCTGAACTTGTACTTGACCCTGTCTCATTAACCTCACCCTAATCTTGCCCTTGGAATTTGCAGATTTGTGAAACCACACCCAGTGGGCACAGCTGGCGGCCAAAGCCTGTCGGTGCCTATTCAAAGGATGACATGGGCGAAAACATCGCCCTCTTCTGTCTGGCAATGAGCACTGCTCCTCTTCTGGGGAGCCAGGTTAATCTTTGCCCCTGAAGGCAGCATCTCAGTGCTAGAAGTCTTTTCCCAGACCACAGTGCTTTTCTCCTTGATCCCTTCATGAGACATGTGGGTAAAAAGGTTGCAGGCAGTTCAAACGATGCCATTGGAGACCCCGCCTCATCCCTTGCCACTGGCCGCTGCACTGCCCTGGATCCATAGCCTTTTTCAGTACCACCCATGCCAACGCGCCAGGACTTGTCACCACGTGGGTGGCAGATCTGAAGCAGCCTGTAACTATCAAGTTGGCCTTTCCAGGCTGACCACAAGGGTGCATGGTGAGGACACAGGACCGAGAGGCAAAGGGCTTCTCACAGCGCCTGACGTGGGAACCAGCAGGGAGCTGGCTGCTGGCCGAACTACCGTTTCTTATTCTTCCTTTAATGGTTTTTGTCACTTCCTAGCTTCCTCTTATTTATATATACTTTACTTTTTATTTTGAAATAATTTCAAATGTGCATAAAAGTTGCAGAAATAGCACAAAGAACTCTTAAATACCCTCAACCCACATTTACCAAGGAACGTTTTGCCACATTTGTTTTGTCACTACTTTTCAATATTTACATATTAATTTTTTTATAAGATGGAGTCTCTCTCTGTTGCCCAGGCTGGAGTGCAGTGACGTGATCTCGGCTCACTGCAATCTCCACCTCCTGGGTTCAAGCGATTCTCCTGCCTCAGCCTCCCAAGTAGCTGGGATTACAGGTGCACGCCACCATGTCTGGCTAATTTTTGTATTTTTAGAAGAGATGGGGTTTCACCATGCTGGCCAGGTTGACTCTGAGACACAGGAAGCCGATCATAATTTAACAGCTTTTTTTTTTTTTTTTTTGAGATGGAGTCTCACTCTGTCGCCCGGGCTGGAGTGCAGTGGTGTGATCTCAGCTGACTGCAACCTCCGCCTCCCAGGTTCAAGCAGTTCTCCTATCTCAGCCTCCTGAGTAGCTGGAATTACAGGCACACACCATCACGCCCAGATAATTTTTGTATTTTTAGTAGAGACAGGGTTTCGTTATGTTGGTCAGACTGGCCTTGAATTCCTGACCTCAGGTGATCCCCCTGTCTTGGCCTCCCAAAGTGCTGGGATTACAGGCATAAGCTACCGTGCCTGGCCTTAACAGCTCTTAATAACAGTAGCTAACATTTATTGAGAGCTTGCTATTTGACACTCCTTTCTGCATTTGATTTGGGGGTATTTTCCCTTTGGAACATACTGTGTAGTGTGCTTATGTTGGATTAAAATTGTAGCGATACAGGCATGCCTTATTTTATTGTGCTTTGCTTTGTTGCACTTTGCAAATATCGCATTTTTTACAAATAGAAGGTTTGTGGCAACCCTGCATCGAGCTAGTCTACTGGCATCATTTTCCAACAGCATGGGCTTACTTCACGTCCCTTTGTCATATTTTGGTAATTCTTGCAATATTTCAAACTTTTTCATTATCATTATGTCTTCTGTGGTGATTAGTGATCTTTGTTGTTACTATTGTAGTCATTTAGGAGGCACTGCGGAACCATGCCATATAAATAGATAAATGTGTGTTGTGATCACCAACCAGTCACTCCCCCATCTCTCTTCCTCTCCTCAGGCCTTCCTCTTCCTTGAAACATAACAATATTGAAATTAGGCCAATTAATAACCCTACAATGGCCTCTAAGTGTTTGAGTGAAAGAAAGAGTTGCACATCTCTCAGTTTAAATCAAAAGCTAGAAATGACTAAGCTTAGTAAGAAAGGCATTTAGAAAGCCAAGACAGGCCAAAATCTAGGCCTCTTGGGCCAAACAGCCAAGTTGTGAATGCAAAGGAAAAGTTCTTGAAGGAAATTGAAAGTGCTACTCCAATGAACACATGAATGATGAGAAAGAAGAACAGCCTATTGCTGATGTGGAGAAAGTTTGAATGGTCTGGATGGAAGATCAAACCAGCCACAACATTCCTTTAAGCCAAAGCCTATTCCAGAGCAAGATCCTCCCCAACTGTCTTCAATTCTGCAAAGGCTGAGGGAGGTGAGGAAGCTGCAGAAGGAAAGTTGGAATCAGCAGAGTTCGGTTCATGAGGTTTCAGGAAAGAAACCATCTCCATAACATAAAAGTGCAAAGTGAAGTAGCAAATGCTGATAGAGAAGCTGCAGCAAGATATGCAGAAGATCTAGCTAGGGTAGGTAACTGATAAAGGTGGCTGCTACATCAAACGACAGATATTCAGCGTAGACAAAACAGCTTTCTATTAGAAGAAGATGACATCTAGGACTTTTTTAGTTAGAGAGGAGAAGTCAATGCCTGGCTTCAAAGCTTCAAAGGACAGGCTGGCTCTCTTGTTAGGGGCGAGTGGAGCTGGTGACCTTAAGTTGAAGCCAGTGCTCACTGACCTTTCTGAAAATCCTAGGGTTCTTTTTTATTTTATTATTATTTTTGAGACAGAGTTTCACTCTGTCACCCAGGCTGGAGCGCAGTGGTGCGATCTTGGCTCACTGCAATCTCTGCCTTCCAGGTTCAAGTGATTCTCGTGCCTCAGCCTCCCAAGTAGCTGGGACTACAGGTGCACGCCATCACCCCTGGCTAATTTTTGTATTTTTAGTAGAGACGGGGTTTTACCATGTTGGCCAGGCCAGGATGGTCTCGAACCCCTGACCTCAAGTGATCCATCTGCCTTGGCCTCCCAAAGTGCTGAGATTACAGGCATGAGCCACTGCACCCTGCCCAATCCTAGGGTTTTTGAGAATTATGCTAAATCTACGCTGTCTGTGCTCTACAAATGGAACAAAGCCTGGATGACAGTACATCTCTTTACAGTGCAGTTTACTGAATATTTCAAGCCCACTCTTGAGACCTGCTGCTCAGAAAAAAGGATTCCTTTCAAAATATTACTGCTCACTGGTAATGCACCTGGTCACCCAAGAGCTCTGATGGAGAGGTTCAAGGAGATGAATGTTGTTTTCATGCCTGCTAATACAACATTCACTCTGTAGCCCACAGATCAAGAAATTATTTTGACTTTGAAGTCTTATTAAGAAGTACATTTTGTAAGGCTAAAGCTGCCTTAGACAGTGATTCCTCTGATGGATCTGAGCCATCAATTGAAACTCTTCTAGAGAGGATTCAGCATTTCTAGATGCCATTAAGAACATTTGTGATTCATGGGAGGAAGTAAAATATTTACATTAGTAGGAGTTTGGAAGGAGTTAATTCCAGCCTTCATGGATTACTTTGAGGGATTGAAGACTTCAGTGGGAAAAGTCACTACAGATGTGATGTAAATAGTAAAAGAACTAGAAGTGGAGTCTGAAGATGTGACTGAATTGCTGCAACCTCCTGATAAAACTTGAACAGATAAGGAGTTGCTTCTTGCAGATGAGCAAAGACAGTGGTTTCTTTAGATGAAATCTACTCCTGGTAAAGATGCTGTAACATTTTTGAAATGACAACAAAGGATTTAGAATATCACATAAACTTAGTTGATAATGCAGGGTTGGAGAGGATTGACTCCAATTTCAAAAGAAGTTCTACTGTGGGCAAGATGCCATCAAACAGCATCACGTGCTGTAGAGAAATCTTTTGTGAAAGAGTCAATCGATGTGGCAAATTTCGTTGTTGTCTTCTTTGAAGAAACTGCCACTGCCACTCCAACTACCACTCTGATCCATCAGCAACCATCAATGTCGAGGCAAGCCCCCTCCATCAGCAAAAAGATTATGACTCGTTGAAGCCTGAGACGATCATTAGCATTTTTTAGCAATAAAGTATTTTTAATCAAGATAGGTACATTGTATTTTAGACATAATGCTCTTGCACACTTAATAAACTACAGTATAGTGTAGACATAACTTTTTTTCTTTAATATAGTCTTGCTCTGTTGCCCAGGCTGGAGTGCAGTGGCATGCTCATAGCTCACTGCAGCCTTCACTCCCTGGGCTCAAGCGAGCCTCCCGCCTCAGCCTCTCTAGTAGCAGGGAGTACAAGCATGCATCACCATGCCTGACTAATTTTTGTATTTTTTGTAGAGGCAGTGTTTTGCCATGTTGCCTAGGCTGGTCTCAAACTCCTGGGCTCAAGCGATCCTCCCTCCTTGGCCTCCCAAAGGTGTGAGCCACTGTGTCTAGCCAACATAACTTTTATATGCACTCAGAAACCAAAAACCTTGTGATACTCACTTTATTGCAGTGGTATGGAGCTGAGGCTGCAATATCTCCAAGGTGTGTCTGTAACAGTGGCTGTGGGTTCTGACCTGTGGTAGACCCATATTACACATCTTTACATGGACTCGGTCCTTTAAACCTCACAACTACCTGACTACTATTATTCTCTTCATTTTACTGATGAGGAAACTGAGCTTCAGAGAGGGCAAGTCACCTCTCCAGGTCTCACATCACATCTGGTAAGAGGCGTGGCCAGGACTGTTTGACACCAGAGTGTGACCACCTGGTCAGTCTCCTATAGCATTTCTTCTCTGGCACATAACAGTGACAAGGCCCTGCCACTATTCCAGCTCAGAACACTGAGAACAATCCATGTCCCTGACCCCAGATTCCCAGCAAATGGAAATGCTTTCTCTCCATATTCTGAAAGCTTCTGTGTGTCCCATACATACATAAGGAGCCTGAGGGCTTGGGGGACACCCTGGCTGTGAGCAGAGGGCCCCAGAAAATCATCTGTTGTTCTTTGGGAGAAGGCTTCCCTCCTGAATCATCATGCATTAGGCATGATCTATAAATTTATCTATAAATCTATCTAAAACCACACCAGTTCTAAAGACAAGGTTTGCAGTGCAGGTAGGAGCACGTGTAAATCCTTAACTACACAGTGACTCATGAATGATTTTCCAGGCAGGAATTGTTGGGAGCCAAAAAGGCCAAAGGGATTGTGACCAGCTCAGCATTCCACTGGACGCTATATGATCAAACAGCAAACTGTTTATCATGAATGCAGGATGTGAGCAAACTCACACTGCACCTGCCACTGAAAGGTTTGCTGAGGGCCAACACTCCCTGGGGGCCGGGCTCCTTGAAGTTATCTACTGAAAAATCTAGCACCTATCATACAAAGGATGCAGTCTTGCAAGCCTGCTGTGAACCAAATGGCCGACTGACAATTACCCAACAACCACCACCCCCTTTTCTCGTTATCTCTTTTACCAATAAATACGGAAGGCTGTGTAAAGCTCAGGGCCCTTGTCTACTAGAGGCAAGGTGTCCCTGACCCCTTCTTCCAAATATACTCTTATGTCTTTGTCTTTTATTTCCGCATTCCCCCTCTTTGTTCAGTCCACCAGGTCCGTGCAGGCTACAAGGAATCCCATTCCCAGGAAGGGATCTCCCCCTCCAGGGGCAGAGCCTACTCCAATTTCATTCCAGAACCAGATTTAGATGCAGGCCAAGGTCATTCCTATCATAAGACCTTAAAAAATCAGCCCTGGGCCAGGCGTGGTGGCTCACTCCTGTAATCCCAGCACTTTGGGAAGCCAAGGCAGGTGGATCACTTGAGATCAGGAGTTCGAGACCAGCCTGGCCAACATAGTGAAACCCTGTCTCTACTAAAAATACAAAAATCAGCCAGCCATGGTGGCACGTGCCTGTAGTCCCAGCTACTTAGGAGGCTGAGGCAGGAGTATCACTTGAACCTGGGAGGCAGAGGTTGCAGTGAGCTAAGATCTCACCACTGCACTCCAGCCTGGGCAACAAGAGCGAGACTCCATCTCAAAAAAAAAAAATTCAGCCCAGGAGATTTTTTGAAACAGCTCTTGGCCTGGGACTTGAGATCATTCTGAGCTGTGGATGTTTTTGTTTTCATAGAGACGGTATCTCCCTATGTTACCCAGGCTGGTCTCAAATTTCTGGGCTCAAGTGATCCTTCTGCCTTGGCCTCCCAAAGTGCTCAGATTACAGGCGTGAGCCATGGCACCTAACCTGCGCTGTGGGTTTTTGGATTTGTTGTTCACTCATTTAACAATTTACCCTTCTAAGTGTAGAGGGGGATACAAAGATGAACAAGACAGCTCCTGCCCTTGAGGGCCCAGAGTTGAATAATTAGTTGGACTTACCTTTGGTTTCACTGAGTTTTCTGTGCCTCTGAGCTATCATTCTATATCCAGTGGCCACAAAACTTGTCATGATTTTGAATTACCAATGTAAATCTTGGACTCAAACCATCTTGAGCTCCATTGGCCGCCAGTTTATCTGGACTATTATGATGTCTCTGGCTGAAGTGTTGGGGAGGGCAACTGACCATACTGGTTCCCTCAAACCTTAGTGGGGTTCCCAGGATGCTGAGCTTCCAATGCTAAATCAGAACAAGTCCTGAGCAAACCAGGATGAATTGGTCATCCCAGTGTTGGGAACAGGGGCAGCAGGAGGGGAACAGGTGGGTGGGGAGGAATTATAATAGCTAACACTTATTTTGCTTAATAATGTAATAATACTTAGAACAAATGTATGAGGTAAGTACTATCATAGCCCTATTTTATAGAGGTAAAACCGGGACCCGGAGAGAGGGAACAGCTTGTCACAAGTGTTCATTCTGTAAATGGCAGAGGCAGGCCTGACAGCCAATCCTGCGTTCCCATCCATTGCTCTGCACTGCCTTAGAGGCCCATGTGTAAAAATGCAGTGCAGATCAAGTCTTGAAACTGTGTTTGAAATTAATTCTCAGAGATTGGAAGTAGAAGTCTGTGGAAGCTTTGTTTCCATGGAGACCCAATCATACCCAACCACACTGTGTTCAAATGTAGTCACAACAGTGGGGAGCAGCCATCACTGAAGTGAGGTGCATTTCTCTTTTTTTTTTTTTTTTTCTAGATGGAGTCTCACGCTCTTGCCCAGGCTGGAGTGCAGTGGCATGATCTTGGCTCACTGGAACTTCCACCTCCTGGGGCTCAAGCCACCCTCCCACCTCAGCCTCCGGAGTAGATGGGATTATAGGCTCACGCCACCATGCCTGGCTAATTTTTTTGTATTTTTAGTAGAGACGGGGTTTTGCCATGCTGGCCAGGCTAGTCTCAAACTCCTGACCTCAAGTGATTTGCCCACCTCAGCCTCCCAAAGTGTTTGGATTACAGGCATAAGACACCATGCCCAGCCAAAGTGAGGCACATTTTTTAAGGAAGAGACTTGCAGTAGAAATTTCCTAAGCTTCCCCAACATGCGTTCTATCATTCGTGACTTCAGTGGAGCCTCCATGGCCGACTGCAAAATCTAAGTCTTGGGCAAAGTCCCAGGAGATGCTCATCAGGTCCCATGTGATATACTGAATTTTGGAGATGATTTCCTACCTACCAGTTGCTAGCTATGTGACTTGGGCAAGTTACCTAACCTCTAAGCTGTTTCCTCGTGGTTAAATGGTGTAGGTAATAACACATTCAACGGCTGTGGTGAAGATGAAGACAAACGGGATGATGCAAAAAAAAGCCAGGTCCAGAGCAGGGAATGAAGAAACGTATGCTAGCTGCTCACTGGCATCGGCCCAGCCTATGTCTTTAAATGAGAACAATCCCTTTGAGAACTAACAGGAAGGCGGGGTCTGTTCTCCACCGCCACCTTCTCCTTCTAGCTTTGCCTGCCCCATCTCTCCCTACTCTGTTCCAACCTGCATCCCACTTCTGACTTTTGGGTCTGTTCCCAACCATTTTTGTGCCCCTGGAAAGAGATAAGAAAACTTGGTTCCTCCTATTCCTGCCCCCACTGGGTACCCCATACTCCCAGTCCACAGAATCCCAACCTAGACACTAGGTCACTGCCTGACGGGTAACCAGACTTTTATCCATCCATACACATGGATAACCCAGCTCCCCACTTGACCTCAGCAGCTCAGAGAAGAGAAGAGATGGGAACAGATGAGGATGCATTGTCCTTCTGATAGACTAGGTGAGTGAGAAAGCATCATGATTAAATGGCACAATGTGGCATGAATCTTTGAAAGTTTCATTCAGATGTTCAAGTTCAAGGGGCTAAATGGTGGGGTACATAAAGGCCCCAGGAGAAACCAGGGAAAGTCAACAGGGAGAGGTCTTGGTGCAATGACATGGGTGATACAGATGCTGAAATGAAGCCTGTGAGACATTCAGCAAGAAGCCTTGGAGAAATGTGTGTTTTCTTAGCAAGAAAAACTCGACCCTACGTTCCCACACACGTGCAAACACCCGCTGGCAGCTGTCACCCATCGATTCCCTACCTGCATTTAGGGTCTTCATAATCTCTTTCACAACTGACCTTCAATTATTCAAAGGTAGTTTTCAGGCCCTCTGAGGACTGGGTGAGCTCAAAAAATGCTTGGTGTATAAACAGCAATGATGCTGAGAGCTAGCACGATGCACGATGCCTCTGTGCCAGGTGTAGTGCTAACTTTTAAAGGCATTGTTCAGCTCGATCTTCTCTGAAGTCCTGTGAGGTTGGTATTATTATCAATTCCTCATCATCATCCTCTGTTTATAGATGAAGAAACTGAGGTTTATTTTATTTTATTTTTGAAACACTGTTTTCCTCTTGTTGCCCAGGCTGGAGTCCAGTGGTACAATCTTGGCTCACTACAACCTCTGCTTCCTGGGTTCAAGTGATCCTCCTGCCTCAGCCTCCCAAGTAGCTGGGACTACAGGCACCTGCCACCACACCTGGCTAATTTTGTATTTTTAGTAGAGAAGGGGTTTCATCATGTTGACCAGGCTGGTCTCAAATTCCTGACCTCAGGCGATCCACCTGCCTCGGCCTTCCAAAGTGCTGGGATTACAGGTGTGAGCCACCGCTCCCAGCCAAAACTGAGGTTTAGGTAGTCAGATATCTAATAAGCAGCAGAACAGGACTTTACAATTTAGCACCATCTTCACCTGAGATATGTTCAAGTGACTGGAACGTGTGGAGCTAGTGTCTCTGCCTCTGTCCTGCCACTTGTTGTTTTATGGCCAGCCCAGTGGCCATTACTCCCAAGGTGGCACTCAATCCCCATTTCCTTGGTGTGCTGTATCTCCCCTAATCTTAACCCATGTGGTTCATGTGAAGTAGGGAAGAATTTCTTAAGACATAAAAAACACCAAACATAGAGGATAATTTGACTAAATTATCAACCTTTCCAAATTCCTATGTTTTAGGAGTGTCTCTTGAAACAGTGTCTCTTGGGTTTTTTAAATGCAATTTGACAATTACTGACTAACTGATGAGTTTAGTTAGTTTACATTCACTTTGATTATTGATATATCTGGACTTATTTTTACTATCTTTTGTCTTACTTTTTTGTACACTTCTTTGGGGTTGATTGGTATTTGTTTGTTTCTTATTGGTTTTTGTCATTTCCCGTTTCTACTGATTTGAAAGTTATATATCTTATTTATATTATTTTAGCAACTACCATTGACTTTTTTTTTTTTTTTTTCCTGAGACAGAGTCTTGCTCCATTGTCCAGGCTGGAGTGCAGTGGCACAATCTCGGCTCAACTGCAACCTCCGCCTCCCGGGTTCAAGTGATTCTCCTGCCTCAGCCTCTGGAGTAACTGGGATTACAGACACGTGCCACCACACCTGGCTAATTTTGTATTTTTGGTAGAGACGGGGTTTCACCATGTAGACCAGACTGAGCTCAAGTGATCCACCCACCTCAGCTTCCCAAAGTGCTGGGATTATAAGTGTGAGCCACTGCGCCCGGCCCCCATAACGACCATTGACATTTTGCCACATATATTTGACAAAGACCAAAGTTAAATCTCCATCCCCTTCCCACACAAATGCAAAGTTGCTCAGAACACTTTAACTCCAATCACCTCTTTCCTAATTTACTTTTGCCCAGTGTTTTAATTCTGTTCTTTAATTCTGTCCTAAACTCACAAATTACATATTACTGTTCTCATTTTTATTTTTTTGTACTGACAATTTTGTTTAGATTTATTATACTTACCAATTTTTTTCACTCCTTCCATCTCTTCTTAATGGGATAATTTTTCTTTTTTCTGAAGTACATCTTAGAAGTGCAAGCTGGGTGTGGAGGCACAGGGCTGTAGTACCAGCTCCTGGAGAGGCTGAGGCAGGAGGATGGCTCCTTGAGCCCAGGAGTTCGAGGCTGCAGTGAGCTATGATGGTACAACTGCACTCTAGCTGGGAACCTATTACTGTAAGGGACCTGTCTCTTAGGAAAAAAAAAGTTAGTCAAATTATCTTAGTTTTTATTTGTATTTCACCCTCATTATTAAAATGCTGGGTATCCAATTCTCAGGTCTTTGAAGATACTGTTTCACTATCTTTTGGTTTCTATTGTTGCCATTGGGAAATCTGGCGACAATCTAATTTCTTCTTTCGTGAGTAATCTGCCAAAAAAAAAAAAAACCTCTAGCTGCTTATAAGATTATTTCTTTGTTTTTAGTGTTCTGCAGTTTCACTACAATGTTTCTTATTATTTACCCTCCTTTAGATAGATTGTGCTTCCTGGCTGGGTGAAGCAGCTCACACCTGTAATTCTAGCACTTTGGGAGGCCAAGGCAGGCAGATCGCTTGAGCCCAGGAGTTGGGAGACCAGCCTGGGCAACATGGCGAGACCCAGTCTTTACAAAAAAAATAGCTGGGAGTGGTGGTGTACGCCTGTAGTCCCAGCTACTTGGGAGACTGAGATGGGAGGATTGCTTGAGCTTGGGAGGTCAAGGCTGCAGTTAGCCATGATTGCACCACTGCACTCCAACCTGGGTGACAGAGAGAGAGACCCTGTCGCAAATAAATAAATAAATAAATAAATAAATAAATAAATAAATAAATAAAGATATGTTGTCCAACAAAGTTCTGATATCCAGAATCTACAAGGAACTCAAACAAATTAGCAAGAAAAAACAAACAATCCCATCAAAAAGTGAGCTAAGGACATGAATACACAATTATCAAAAGAAGATATACAAATGGCCAACAAAAACGAAAAAATGCTCAACATCACTAATGATCAGGGAAATGCAAATCGAAACCACAGTGTCATACCACCTTACTCCTGCAAGAATGACCATAATAAAAAAAATAAAAAAATAATAGATGTTGGCGTGGATGCAGTGAAAAGGGAACACCTCTACACTGCTGGTGGGAATGTAAACTAGTACAACCACTATGGAAAACAGTGTGGAGATTCCTTAAAGAACTAAACGTAGAACTACCATTTGATCCAGCAGTCCCACTACTGGGTATCTACCCAGAGGAAAAGAAGTCATTATACGAAAAAGATACTTGCACACGCATGTTTATAGCAGCACGATTCGCAATTGCAAAAATGTGTAACCAGCCCAAATGCCCATCAGTCAATGAGTGGATAAAGAAAGTGTGATATAAACACACACATACACCATGGGGTGCTACTCAGTCATAAAAAGGAACAAAATAATGGCATTCACAGCAACCTGGATGGAATTGGAGACCATTATTCTAAGTGAAGTAATTCAGGAATGGAAAACCAAACATCGTATGTTCTCACTCATAAGTGGGAGCTAAGCTATGAGGATCCAAAGACATAAGAATGATACAATGGACTTTGGGGCCTCGGGGAAAGGGTGGGAAGGGGGTGAGGGATAAAAGACTGTACACATTGGGTGCAGTGTACACTGCTTGGGTGATGGGTGCACCAAAATCTCTGAAACCACCACTGAAGAACTTATTTATGTAACCAAACACCACCTGTTCCCCAAAAACCTATGGAAATGTTAAAAAAAAAGATATGTTGTACTTCCTAAATCTGTGGAGTCACGTTCTATTTCCTGCCCTAGAAATTCTCAGCCATTTCCACCTCAAATATGGCCTCGCCTTCCTTCTCTCCATCTTTCACACTAATTAAATAAATATTAAACCTTCTCAGACTATCCTTCATATTCCATAACGTCTTTTTCATATTTAGTCATGTCATCACTCTGTGCTGAATTCTGGAGAATGTCTTCAGATCTGGCTACCAAATCAATTGTCTCATTAGCTGTGTCTTACCTGTTGTTTCACCCATCCTTTGGGTAAGGATGGATCAAAGAAAGAATGAATATCTTTCACGTTCTTTGATATCTATTCCTTCAACTACAAAATAGATATTTTATTTTTAAAATTTCTATTTGTTCCTTTAAAAACATGTCTAATCATTTAAGAAATATACTGCTGTTTACTAATTTTTGTGATTCCACCTTTTATTTGTGCTAACATTACATACATAGTTTATAATCTAATAATTCTATATGCAAATATAATTATAAAATTATATATATTTGCATTATAAAATTCTAAATATTTGCACGTATTTCTTTATGCAAGTTAAAGAAATTAATGCAAATTAAATAAATACATAGAAATATATCTTTATATACAAAGAAACTTGGGGACTGTAAATTTGTTGTTTGCCCTTACTGCTGACCTTCTTCCTCTCTCTCTCTCTCTTTCTGTCTCATTGTGACTCATTTCTTTGTGTGTGATGGTGATATTGGTTTTGACTTTATTGTTAAGAATATATTTGTATTTAAGCATAACATACATATAGAAAATTGCACGTAAGTATATAGTTTGAGAAATTTGCACAAGTGAATACACTTGCATAACTACCACCCCAGATAAAGATATAGAATAATTACTGGCACCTCAGATATCTGCCTCAAGCCCCCTTCCAGTCATTTCCCCCCAAAGGCAACCACTTCTAATTTTTAACATCTTAGAGTAGTTGTTCTGTTTTTGAACTTTATCGAGTGAGCTCATACAGTATCTGCTTCTTTGTGTCTGGCTTCTTTCAATAAGCTCGTATGTGTTGAATTATGATCTATGAGAATCTTGGGTGGTTTACAGAGAACATCCTTCTTTGAACATGCTTGTAGTGAAGTCACACCAGCATCTGGCACTGCCATAGCTCATTTGAGGGTCCCGGCTAAACATGGAGCTTTCAGGTTCAGCTCCTCAAAGTTACAGCTGGCCAAGTTTAGTCTCCCAATATTGTTTATGGGTACGATATACACATTTGTTCTCAGGACAACACTGCATTTCACATTTATTTGTTGCTTACTGCCCCCTACTCTTATTTTGATACATGTCAGCCCAACATATGAAAAAGTCTGTTTTATCCAGAATAGAGATGAGTTGAGAAGGCTGCATCTGGTCTACCATATGCTGAGATACGATTTGGATTTTTTTTTTTTTTTTTTGAGATGGAGTCTTGCTCTGTCGCCAGGCTGGAGTGCAGTGGCATGATCTTGGCTCACTGCAACCTCTGACTCCCTGGTTCAAGGGATTCTCCCACCTCAGCCTCCAGAGTAGCTGGGATTTTAGGCACATGCCACCACGTCTAGCTAATTTTTTGTATTTTTAGTAGAGACAGGGTTTTACCATGTTGGCCAGGATGGTCTCGATATCCTGACCTCATGATCCGCCCACCTCAGCCTCCCAAAGTGCTGGGATTACAGGCATGAGCCACTGTGTCCAGCCTCCAATTTGGATTTTAAAAGCTTAAAGGTGGGATGGTGAAATTTCACCATAATGTTTTTGGCGTATTCCAAATTATTGAAGCAGTTTTGAATCTCAATTTTCTTCCTAGCTTTGTTTAATTTAAAATTTAATGAGAAGTCTGAATTTGTGTTCATCTCAATTAAAAAAAAATTTCAAGGAGAGAGAACTACAGCATTTTATTAGAAAATTGCTTCCAGGCAGGACATGGTGGCTCAGGGCTGTAATCCCAGTACTTTGGGAAGCTGAGGGAGGAGGATGGCTTGAGGCCAGCAGCTCAAGACCAGCCTGGGCAACATAATGAGATGAAAGAAAGAGAGAAAGAGAGAGAAAGAGAGGAAGGAAGGAAGGAAGGAAGGAAGGAAGGAAGGAAGGAAGGAAGGAAGGAAAAAAAATTGCTTTCAGTCTCATTTTGTCAGATTAAACAAAATTGGGCCACTGTTGTTTAACCTTCTATGACTTCACCAAACTGATATTTCGAAGTCTAAATTACTTCATCTTCTCCATAAACAGATTATAAAATGCTTTGTCCAAAGCCTACTACAGTCAAGATTCTGTATGCAATTTCCTGCAACAGTCTCCAGGTCTATTTATGCTAGTAACTGTGAAATATTATTCCTTTGGTGTGATCATTCACAGGGAACCCAAATGAGCTCTTGTACTTAACCTCTTTTGTTTTAGTTTAATAATCAGGTGCAGAACTTTGCTAAAAATCAACACCATACCTCTTGGTCTCGAGATCTGTTTATCAGTCTTTCTCCTTTATTTGAAATGGGACTCTCACTCGTTAAAATCTTCTAGCATAATTTATCAAAGATCACTGAATATGTTTCTTAAGATCAGATCTAAATATCCTTTTAGTATCTTGGGCAGTAATTTCTCTTGATCTGGTAATTTGAACTAATTTAAATTTTTGTGTGCTCTTTCTCCATCTTTTCTTCCTATCCTGAGCTCAGTTTCCCTCTTTGTGATATTTTCACCTGATCAAATCTTTTTCCATGATCAAGATGATGTAATATAGGAAACCGGTAGTTTGGCTTTCCCTCTGCCATCTGTTAACATTCCATATGCTCCGTTCCTTTTGCATTCATCATTTTTATCCTAATTTGGTTTTACATTAACCTTTTCCTGTCTTTAGCAGTGGAGTCCCAATCATTCTGGGTGTTAGTATCCCTCACCTCTTATTAAAGGTCCAGGTTAATCTTTTGGAAAATTTCCATCACCTTCTGTCTTAGTCCATTTTATGTTGCTATAAAGGAATACCTGAGATTGAGTAATTATTAAGAAATAAGGTTAGGCTGGGCACGGTGGCTCACGTCTGTAATCCCAACACTTTGGGAGTCTGAGGCAGGAGGATCACCTGCGGTCAGAAGTTCGAGACCAGCCTGGCCAACATGGTAAAACCCTGTCTCTACTAAAAACACAAAAATTAGCTGGGTGTGGTGGCATGTGCCTGTAATCCCAGCTACTCGGGAGGCTGAGACAGGAGCATTGCTTGAACCCAGGAGGCATAGGTTGCATTGAGCCAAGATTGTGCCACTGCACTCCAGCCTGGGCAACAGAGCAAGATGCTGTCAAAAAGAAAGAAGGAAAGAAAGAGAGAGAGAGAAAGAAAGAGAGAGAGAGAGAAAGAAAGAAAGAAAGAAAGAGAAAGAAAGAAAGAAAGAAAGAAAGAAAGAAAGAAAGAAAGAAAGAAAGAAAAAGAAAAGAAAGAAAGAGGGAAAGAAAGAAATGTAGGTTTATTTGGCTCATAATTCTGCTGGCTGGAAGGATCAAGACTGGCCATGTGATGAGGGCCTCAGTATGCTTCCTCTCATAGTGGACATAGAAGCAGAGCATGCAAGTGTAGAGATCACACGGTAGAAGAGGAAGCAAGAGAGAGTAGGGAGTTGCCAGGCTCTTTTTATATACCAACCAGCTCTCACGGGAAATAATAGCTTACTCACTACCCCATCCTGTCAAAGGGCATTCATCTATTCATGAGGGATCTGTCCCCATGCCCCAAGCACCTTCCATTAGGCTCCACTTCCAACAATGGAGATCAAATTTCTACATGAGATTTGGTGAGGTTCAACAAACCATATTCAAACTACAGCATCTTCCCACTTCTTTTCAGGTGCTTGGCAAGCCTGAGCTTATCAGAGTGCTGCAGGTGCAGTGACACTGATCTCTCAAAGTCCTCCCTTTCCTTCCCATCCAGGACACTCTCTGGCCTAGTGCTATGCTCAACTGGCATTTTCAGTGAATGAATCAATATAGTAGGAATTACAGTCTTAGAACTTCCTGATTAGTGAGTCCTTTCTATGATTATATACTACATATGACATGTGTTGACATATGTTGACTTGTTGTCTTGTGATATGTTCTTATTACTTAACTCTTGCACTGATGTTCTTTTTTTCAGGTGTATATAATTTAGACTGTTCTCCTTAAAGGAAGGGGTAAAATTGTATCTACCATAGCTTGGGTCCTATGCATAAGTAAATGCTTGTAAACATTTAATTCACAAATAAATGAATAAGCAATATTTTAAGGCATTTGGAAAGAAATATTTTTAGCCTAAAAAAGTTATTACTTCATAAAATGCTCAGTACAAGCTTTTTAAGGTGAGATTTTGTTGTATTCTTCTTATTTAATTCCATTACTTGTCATGGCAGCAGGTGGCTGAATGGTTAGAATATAGATTTTGTGCTCAGACATACAAAACTTTGTTTGAATTCTGGCAGTATCGTTGACTAGCTGTGTGACCTTGGTGATATGGTTTGGATGCTTGTCCCCTCCAAATCTCATGTTGAAACGTGATTCCCAGTATGGGGGTGGGCCTAATGGGGGTGTTTGGGTCATGAAGGCAGGTCCCTCATGAATAGATTAATGCCCTTTGGTAGGTAGGGGTGGTGGGTGAGTTCTCATTCTATTATTTCCCAGAAGAGCTGGTTGTTACTAAGAGTCTGGCAGGTGACTGGATCACAGGAGCAGACGCCTCATGAACGGCTTAGCATCATCCCCTTGGTGATGAGTGAGTTCTCAGTCTGGCAGTTCACATGTGATCTGATTGTTTAAAAGAGCGTGGCACCTCCTTTCTTACTCTCTTTTGCCCTCACTGTCTCTTGCTCCTGCTCCCTCTTGCTCCCACTGTCTTGCCTGGTGACACACTGGCTCCCCTTTACCTTCCACTGTGATTGTAAGCTTCCTGAGGCCCTCATGAGAGGCAGATGCTGGCACTATGTACAGCCTGCAGAACTGTGAGCCAATTAAACCTCTTTCCTTAATAAATTACCCAGTCTTGGTTATTTCTTTACAGCAATGCAAAAACAGACTAAGAGGCCAACATGGGGAAATCTTGTCTCTACTAAAAATACAAAAATTAGCTGGGTGTGGTGGCAAATGCCTGTAATCCCAGCTACTCAGGAGGCTGAGGCAGGAGAATTGCTTGAACCTGGGGAAGTGGAAGTTGCAGTAAGCCGTGATCGTGCCGCTGCACTCCAGCCTGGGCGACAGAGTGAGTGAGACTCTCTCAAAACACACACACACACAGACTAAGATATTTGGATAGGTGATTTAACACATTTGGGTAGATTTGAGGCTCAGAAACTCTCTGAGCCTCAAAATGTTCCTCATTTGTAAAATAGGGCTAATAACAGAGTGGTTGGGAGGAATCCATGAGATAATGCTTGTAAAGCACTGAGCACAAGGTGAGGAACACAGGAAAAGCTCAACACATGGTAGCTAATTAACATTTGCCTGTTCTGTGCTACTCATCATGCTTTTCCCTGGGGAGATGGAAGTGGAAAAGGAATTCACAACTCCGTGGAGTTGAGAGTTGCCTAAATAAATAAACATATCGTCATGTATAATGTGCTACAGGGGTGTGGACGATGGAAAAATTAATTTTGCCTGGATAGTCAGGTAAGGCTGCTGGGAGGCAGTGATACTGGAGTTCCAGATTGGGCAGAGGCCTCAGGGATTGGCTCAGAGTTGTCACACAGCAAATGCTTGGGGAATAGATGGTACGAATGACTCATAAGCTCAGGGGTGCTGCCCAGCTGGTGTCTGTGTACACATGGTATCTTGTGTTTTTTGCTTTTCTCCTGCACACATTTCCATGTGCTGACATGGCTTTTGTGTGATTCCCTCACAGCTTGTGTGTGATTCCCTGATTAAATAGCTTCTAATATTTTATTATTATAAATAGACTCTAAGTCCTTGAGGGCAAGAAGTGTGTCTCTGTTCATCCAGACAGTACCTAGTATGTAGTAGGTTCTCAGTAATGTTTGCTACATAAATGAATGAGTGAACTCCTTTGACCGCTGGCCCTGCCATAAGCTGGCTGTGGGATCTTGAGTGAGTCCATTAACCCCTCTGTACCTCGGTGTGTCTGTAAAGTGGGTTAGTATAACTCACAGGTGAGCATATTTCACTATGTGTTGTGAGGACTAAGTGATTTGATGCCCTGCGGCTGAAGGTAGTAAGTGCGCATTAAATAATGGCATCCTTCAGCTCTGATAGCTGTGCTGCTGCATCCAGGAGACATGTACAGGCTTCATGGCAGAGTGAATCCTGGAGTGTTCTGCTGCAACTGCTGGCAGAGGAAAGGTTTCAAAACTCTTTCTTAATGCTAGGGTGAGACCTGTCCACTGATAAGGAGTTTCTATTTGGGATGACTAAAGGTGCCATCTGGAAAGTACCAGGCCCCTGGGACTGCTCCCTGGTCTCCCACCTAGGTGGGATTCCTCAGTGACAGCACTCAGGGGTATCACCGGCTCAGGGAGGGGCCGGAGGTGAGTTCCCTTATCTCCTCTTGCCTCCTTCACTGTAAAACTGGAGCTAATAAGGTTTCTCTCCTGTCAGCCATCCAGTGGAGATAAGTCACCCAGAATGTGACTCCCACATGGGGCTCAAAAAGGTGTTTCTAAATATAAAACTCTGAGGGAAAAAAACCCTCGGGATATAGAAATTCCAGGCCCTTGGAGACGCCCAGGGTCACAGGCTGTGAGTTAAATAAAAAACCCACCAAACTGATGAACTACCCATTTTTAAGGTTTTGGAGAGGGAAAATTAAAAGACTAAGGAGCAATTGTTTTAAACTTTATACCAGGTGTATTGATGGCTTCTAGGCTGGGGCCTTCCAGGAAGTCATTCATCAATTTCATTGTCTATTTATTCACCCCCTGGACTCCTGTTTTGGTGAATGTTCCTGAGTCCAAGATGCTAATCCAATAGGTGGCCAGTAGTGACTGAAGGACATTTAATCCCCACATTTTGTGCTATCTCTGTGGACCTGCTCTGGGGATGTTGGTGGACTGCTGGCTTGGAAAGGTTCTGCTTCAGCCGTAAGGAGAGATAAAGCCAGAGAGGTGGGACTGAGCAACCCGCTGTTTGGTGAATAAATTGCCACTGAAACTCGGGGGCCATTCCCTGAAGTGAATCACATGCAGCCATTGAAGTCTAAGTGATAAGGCAGCCAACAATTTAAAGGAAAATGCTCCAGCCCAAGCCAGGGGGACTGTCCCAAACTCCGGATGAATTCCAGCTGCCCTGCAGAGCAGGGTTTACAGGCATGGGGATCACTAGTGGCTTCAGAGATGCCCCTTTGCCACTTCTCCGGGACTTCTTGACTGTGTCCTATTCTTAAAACCCAGGACCTGCACCACTCAGCCAGGCTCCACCAGCGTGGAGGCCTTGGCAGGCTGAGGCCCAAAGGCTGCCTTTGTGGGGGATTTAAACGGCCAAGAGAGTCTTGCTGAGCCCTGGCCCCTTGACGTCTGGAGTGGCAGGCCAAGCACTCAGTGCAGCAGGAAGATCTGGGTGCCACTAAGGCCCCTAACAGGTGTAGTAAATATCTGTTAAATGAACGAATACATGTTTTGATGAAAGAAGCCCACAGTGCAGTGTGAGCCCAAAGGGGTCTTACTGAAGGCTTCCTGGAGGAAGTGGCAGCTAAACTGAGACATGGAAAACACGGAAGAGTAGCCAGGCCAAGCTGGGGTTTAACTGTCCCTAAAAGAAAGAAACGACCATAGCAGGGGTTTAACCAGAGGTGGCCGAAGGCCTTTCCAGGTGCCCATTTCTCCCGTATAGCTTTGGAGTCAGACGATCCTCGGTTGGAATTCCCAGTTCAGTCCTTACAGTCTGACGTCCCGCACAACCCGACGCCGGCAACTGTCTCCAAACACCCGAGAGCCAGGGCGGGAGCATGAGCGCCTACGGTGTTCCTTGGGGTGGAGCCCTCGCAGTGTCCAGAGGATTTGGGGGCTCCTGCGCCCCCATTTCTCCCATTTCCTGGACTATCCAGGGCAAGCCCCTCACCTCCCTGAGCCTCGGTGTCTTCTGAGAAAAGAAGTCGACCCCAGTGCCTACCTCATAGGATTACGTGAGACAACCGATGTCAAGCAGTGTTGCTTTGCTGCCTGAGAACCCCTGCCTGTCCCTTTCTCTCTGATGCCCTTCGGGGCAGAGATCCAGAGATCCTGCCTGAGTCACTTTGGCGGGTTTAATGCCCAGCCGCGCCAGGCACACAGTAGGTGCTCAGTAAGTGAAACAGTGCCGGGAAGAATTCGGGCCGGGGATGTGGAACTGTGTGTGGCTCTGCGGGCTCAGAGGCCCTCCCCGCGCCCCGCCACCGTGTGCGTTCCGGGGCGGGGCGGGGCGGGGGCGGGGGCGGGGGCGGGGGCGGGACCGGGCGCTCGGGCTCCGCCCCCGGTACCTCTGTAGGCGATCCTGCTCTCGCCGTGGCTTTCGGGTGCTAGGAGACAGTTGCCGGCGTTGGGTTGTGCGAGACGCTAACTGTACCCTCCGGGTTTAACGCTGTGAGGCAGCGCGCGGAGGAACTGGGGATAAGCGCCCCGGAGCCCCCAAACAGAGCGCGGCCGCTGGGGGACAGCGCGCGGCGCCGGGTCGGGGCGGGGCGGCTTTTCTGTCGGAGGACGCGAACCGGCACGCTGCGCCTTTAAGGAGTCCAGCTGGGCTGGGCGCCGGAGCTGGGAGCGGCGCGGGTAGGAGCCCGGCGGCAGGTCCCAGCCCGGGGCTAGAGACCGAGGGCCGGGGTCCGGGCCCGGCGGCGGGACCCAGGCGGTTGAGGCTGGTCAGGTGAGCGGAGGCGGGCGGGCGGGCGGTGGTGCGCTCCTAGGGGGATGGGGCGCCCTGATGGCCCCGTGACCTCTCCCCCAGTGTCTCCCTGCAGCGGCGCATCGAGTGGAAAGAGTCGGCGATCTGCACTTGCCTTTCCACTCCGCTCCCCGCGCGGGCGCTGCCCCCACCTCCCGCTGCCTGGATAGGTTTGAGATGCCCGAAACCCGGCGCCCCATTTCCTGGGTCCAGCCAGCCTCTTGAAGCCGGGGGACAGAGTGAGGACGGGTCGGGACCTGCACCCTCTTTCTACTTCGCCTCCCCACCCCCTGCGCCCGCAGCAGCCCTTAGGCGCCCCTCGCAGTGCCGAGAGGATTTTGGGGTCCTGCAGCCCTGTTTCCCCCATTTCCTGGAGAAGGACTGCAGCTCGCCCACCCAGATAGCATCTTGCTCCGTGTCACGCGCCGCCTCCGCGCCGTCCCCAAGATCTCGCTCCGCTACTCCCCTCCCCCAGCAGCCTTTCAGCTTCCCTTTCCCCAGCCTGCCCCGGCTCCCGTGCCCTTGCGCCCCTTCCGTGTCGAAACACTTGAATCAGGATGCTGTCCAGCCAGGTACCCGCCGGCAACTTGCGGTCCCCCGCCTACAGCGACACAGGTTTCACGGCTGCCTTAGAAATGCGGATTGTGTAACGCCGGCTGCAGGGCAGTGCACGTGCAGGGTTTGCGCCCCTGAGCCCACAGCGAGGCCAGGTGACAGAGTGAGGCATGGGGGAGTGGGGGAAGAGGAGGATGCCAGAGGGTCTAGATACTGTGCATGCAGAGAATATGTATTTTGAGCCCTTTGTATGCCCCAGGAGCTGGGTGGTTAGGAAGAGGAAATAAAGTGGGGGTCTTACTCCAGCTGGGACCTGGAGGCCCTCATTTATCTCGCCGCCCCCCTCCCCGCTGCTCCCGCCTGCTCAGAAATCCCTAGTGGCTCCACCTGGCTAAGAGTTTAAAGTAGTTTATAATGAATAATAGCTGACATAGAATAAGCAAATCTTGTGTGCCAGGCCCTGTCCTAAGCCCCTTAAAAGAATTACCTGCCATACTTTCCCCAACAGCCCCTTGAGGTAGGTACCACCGCTGTGCCCATTCCTGAGAGCAGGAATATGAGGCTTCCAGAGGTGGTACCTTCCCAAGACACGAAGTGAGTCTGGCCTCAGAACCACCCCCTTCCCCCAACCGCCCCCCCAACCCGACCTCGAACCACTAGACTTTTTACCCAATTTCAACAAATTCTTATCAAGAACATTGTTATAATATAGGAAATTAGAAATAACAGAAATTAATCACCTGTGTTTCTAGCACTAATTTGTTTTTCTCAGACCAGCAAGGGCCTCTCAGCTTCTGGTAATAGTACCCACTTTAAAGGGTAGTGGCAATATTTAGATAAAATAATGCACAGGGCCCAGCATGTTTTAAGCACTCAGAAAGCAGCAGCTGTTATTATGAAGAGTGGTAGTTGACCACTACCTTGAATTACTGGAAAAAAATAATTAATAAATGGCTCACACTGACTCTACAGAAATTAACCATTTTGTGTGCTCAGAAAGGCCTATGAGACTTTCTCTATTTTCATCTTTTTATTATTTTTATTATTTTGCCTTTTCGACACATTCTGTGGCTTTCGTCAACTCCAAATTATCCATTGTCTTTGTAGTTAGAGACAGAAGTGCCCTTCTGGTTTTTTTAGCTTTTAAAATGTGTGACCTTTGATTCTGTGAGCATCTGCAAACCTAGAGTAAAAGATGGGAATGCAGTTTGTGCAACTGGGAAGTAATTCTGAAACTTGATATGAGAAAAAAATTGTCCTTAGAGGTGATCCTGGTTTGCAGTATGCGTTGGGTGAGGTCTATCCTGGGGGCGAGAAGTTAGACTCAAAGATTATCTTTGGGTTTGGAGGGAAGAAAGGCAAGCATGAATGTTTTGTCTCGGTGTGGTGGGCTCACACCTCAAAGTGGCCAGCACTTTGAGAGGCCAAGGCAAGAGGATCACCTGAACCCAGGAGTTCAAGACTAGCCTGGGCAACATGGTGAAACCCCATCTCTACCAAAAAAAAAAAAAAATTAGCTGGGAGTGGTGTTGCGTACCTGTAGTCCCGGCTACTTGGGAGGCTGGGGTGGGAGGATTGCTTGAGCCTGGGAGGTCAAGGCTGCAGTGAGCTGAGATTGCTCCACTGCACTCCAGCCTAGGTGAAAAAGTAAGACCCAGTCTCAAAAAATAAAATAAATAAATAAAGAATGAGTGTTTATCCTAGTAGGCTAGCTAAGATTGGAAATCAGCTTCACTATGTCATATTCTTTAAAAAAATTTTTTTTTTTAGAGATGAAGTCTCACTGTGTTTCCTACTCAGGCTGACCTGGAACTCTTGGGCTCAAGTGATTCTCCCACCTCAGCCTCCCAAGTAGCTAGAACTACAGGTGTGCACCACCACACCTGGCATGCTATGTCATACTTTTTATGAAACTCCTGGTTATTTTGGTGATTAGATCAATTATTACCGTGATGAGTGTTCAAAAGAAAAGAGGCAAGACATCCCCATCAAAGCTAAATATTTGGAAGATGCCAGGAAGCTAGTTCTGCAAGTTGAAAAAAAATTCTTTAAAAATTTCTCCTATTTGAGTCTTAAAAAAATTTTTTTTTTAAGGGACAGGGTCTCACTCTGTTACCCATGCTGGAGTGCAGTGGAGCAATCTTAGCTCACTGTAACTTTGAACTCCTGGGCTCAAGCAATCCTGCTACCTCAGCCTCCTAAGTAACTGGGGCTACAGGTGTGCACCACCAAACCTGGGTAATTTTTTTTTTTTTTTTTGAGACGGAGTCTTGCTCTGTCGCCCAGGCTGGAGTGCAGTAGCGCGATCTCGGCTCACCGCAACCTCCGCCTCCCGGGTTCAAGCAATTCTCCTGCCTCAGCCTCCAGAGTAGCTGGGATTACAGGCATGCACAAGCACGCCTGGCTAATTTTGTATTTTTAGTAGAGACGGGGTTTCTCCATGTTGGTCAGGCTGGTCTCGAACTCCCGACCTCAGGTGATCTGCCCGCCTCTACCTCCCAAAGTGCTGGGATTGCAGATGTGAGCCACCGCGCCCGGCCAAACCTGGATAATTTTGAAATTTTGTTGTTGTTGTTGGTTGTCACAACTTGTAGGTAACATCAAGTGGGTAGAGGCCAGGGATGCTGCTAAACGTCCTACGATGCACAGGACGGTGCCACAACAAAGAATTATATGGCCTCCAGTGTCACTTGTGCCACAGTTGAGAAACTGAAACTGGATATGATTTTCACAACATTAAAGTCCTTTCTGACCTTGCATGTAGTTGCCTCTTCCAAGAAGATCAAAGTATTCTCCTAAACCGGACCCTCAGAAACCCTCTGGATCCTATTTGACGCTTCCCAATCCTAGAGGCCACTTGGGGTGTTGCTGCCTGTGGCTGGATGGGTTTGGGGTCTGTCATGAGCTTCTGTGCGGCTCTCTGGTGCTGTACCAAGGAAACTGCTGATTCAGGGGAGCAGGACAGCACTCAGGAGGTGTGGGCAGAGGTTCTTACACTGCTGCAGGTTGGGATCCTCTTCTTTTTAAGTAATATATTAACAGCAGCCTTTGCTCTTAGGCATTTTTCCAGAAGCTGTGGCTGTTTGGCTGTTGGCATTGGGTGTTTGCCTTGTGATATACCCAGAAAAGGATTCATACGTTACATATGATGAAGTCTGGGGATGGGACTGGATTCTGAGAGTATAAAGATGGCAATGCAGACCCTGCCCAGAGACTACTCAGGCATCTCAATAGGCCTGAGCAGTGGCCATGCAGGGTGGTGGAGGTATGGCAGGGCTGCCTAACTCTGCCTGTGAAGTCAGGCAAGATCCCAGCAGTGCAGAGTGAATGCTTAGTATCTGCCTGTCACTGCTTTGAACAGTTTCCTTGCATCATCCCATTTCATCCCCACACTGAGGTAGAATTCTAAGAGGTTAGGTCACTTGCTACAGTCACATGGCAAGCATGTGACCAGAGCAGAGTCACAGTGGTCAATGGCAGAGCAGAGATTTGAACCCAGGTTGTTGAGCTGCAAAACTGAACTGTCAGGAGCATTTACAGAGAGCGGCAGTGCTTTAATAGCTAAGACTTTTAGGATGGGCTGGAGCTCGCCAGGCGAGAGGGAGAATAGGCGTGCCGGGGAGAGAGGAGCAGGTGTGTCAAAGTCCCGGAGGTGTGGGAGAGCACGGCATGTCTGGGGGTTGCAGATCATTATTGGAAGGGATGGAGGGCAGGCAATAGGCAGGTGATAGAAGAAGATGACCCTTGAGAGATGGGCAGCACCAAATCCTAAGTGGCCTTCAACATCATGCTGAGAGCCACTGCCAACCACCAGTGAATTAGCAGAGAGGAAGAGAAAGCTGTGTGACATTGAGCAGCTTGCTTAATTTCTCTAGGACCCAGCTGCCCATCCAAACTAAAACCTCTAAAACTATACTGCTCTGACGAATGTTTCTTTCATTTGTGGCCATATGAGCAGAGTGAAGGAATGCCTGCATTGACACTGGTGGGGCAGCCCTGTTGATTCATGACTTCTCCCCCTAAGGCTGTGTGATGGGTGCAGGGAGTGGTTTCTTCTCAGTCAGCAGTTGGTTTTGTTTCAGCTTTCCAGCTTATCATTTGGCATTGACCAAGTGTCTGCCAAGGGCAAGGCACAGTGTATGCTAAGTACTGTGACAGAGGCAAAGATGTGGTCAGACTTGTTTTTGAGGAGCTTGCAGCCTAGTGGAGGGTCCAGCCAGTGTTCTTTTTATTGTTATTATTATTATTATACTTTAAGTTCTAGGGTACATGTGCACAACGTGCAGGTTTGTTACATATGTATACATGTGCCATGTTGGTTTGCTGCACCCGTTAACTCGTCATTTACGTTAGGTATTTCTCCTAATGCTATCCCTCCCCCATCCCCCTGCCCCACGACAGGCCCCGGTGTGTAATGTTCCCCACCCTGTGTCCAAGTGTTTTCATTGTTCAATTCCCACCTATGAGTGAGACTGTGCGGTGTTTGGTTTTCTGTCCTTGGAATAGTTTGCTCAGAATGATGGTTTCCAGCTTCATCCATGTCCCTACAAAGGACATGAACTCATCCTTTTTTATGGCTGCATAGTATTCCATGGTGTATATGTGCCACATTTTCTTAATCCAGTCTATCATTGATGGACGTTTGGGTTGGTTCCAAGTCTTTGCTATTGTGAATAGTGCTGCAATAAACATATGTGTTCATGTGTCTTTATAGTAGCATTATTTATAATCCTTTGGGTGTATGCCCAGTAATGAGATTGCTGGGTCAAATAGTATTTCTAGTTCTCAATCCTTGAGGAATCACTGCACTGTCTTCCACAATGGTTGAACTAGTTTACAGTCCCGCCCAGCCAGTGTTCTTATCACGAGATACAAATCTCAAGTGTCTTGAGAGAGAAGTGTTCATACCAAATACTGTGGGGCATGGAGGATGAAATAGAGATTACTGGGGGATTGAGGAAAGTCTAAGTGAAGGAGATAACTTCTAGCTCCACCAGAAAGATTTTTTAAAGGAGAACTGGGGGTAGACAGAGGACGTCTTATAGGTAGAGAGTGGAGAAAATAGAGAAAAAAACAGAAAGCCAGTGCAGGTATAGTCATGAGAAAGTCAGATTATTAAGTGTATCTAGTATCTGATTCTCCGCAGTTTCCAGATTGTGGATGGGAAGCAGAAGTTTTCTTTTTTTTTTGAGACAGAGTCTCACTCTGTTGCCCAGGCTGGAGCGCAGTGGCACGAACTTGGCTCACTGCAGCCTCTGCCTCCTGAGTTCAAGGCATTCTTGTGCCTCAGCCTCCTTTGTAGCTGGGACGACAGGT
Organism: Homo sapiens; assembly: GCF_000001405.40. Taxonomy (NCBI): domain Eukaryota; kingdom Metazoa; phylum Chordata; class Mammalia; order Primates; family Hominidae; genus Homo; species Homo sapiens. Next base: position 58,243,806 of record NC_000003.12, read on the forward strand.
GTGTGCCACCACGCCTGCCTAATTTTTTTGTGTTTTTAGTTAGAGACAGGGTTTCACCATGTTGTCCAGGCTGGTCTCAAACCTCAAGTGATCCACCTGCCTTGGCCTCCCAAAGTGCTGAGATTACAGGTGTGAGCCACTGTGCCTGGCTGGGAAGCAGAAGTTTTCATAACAGGAAAATATTCATTAATGGACTTGCCATGTGCAAAGTTAAGTCCTACTTCATCATCTATCCCTCTGTTTTCAACCCTGGTGGTCAGCCAGGCTCCAGGAGCATCCATATTTTGGCTCTGCGTCTCTGCCTGGTCGTCAGATGTTTTGCAAATATGACATAAACAATGGAAAGTAAAATTGCAACTCTTAAGAGAGGCAATATCTCTTGAAATCAAAGCCAGTGATGTTAAGGAACTGCTTGGATGATGTGTCAAAGCAATAATAGGATCTGGCAATGTGAGATCTGCCAACAATTGATAAAGAGAAGGGATGAACACTCCTTTAGGGGAGAGACTTGAAAATCAAACAATTGAGAGGCCCTTGAGAAATCAGTGAGGCCATAAGATATTTTTGCAAAAATGGCTTCTTTATGATAGCACAGTGATGACCAAATGTTAATTGGAAGGACTTATCATACCGTAAAAGAGTCTACACAAAATGAAGTCTTTGTTCTAAGAATTCGCACAGGGCTGAGCATGGTGGCTCGTGCCTGCCCACCACTTTGGGAGGGCAAAGCAGGAGGATTGCTTGAGGCCAGGGGTTCGAGAACAGCCTGGGTAACATAGAGAGACCCCATCTCTGCAAAAAATGAAAAATTAGCTGGGCGTGGTGGTGCATGCCTGTGGTCCCAGCTGCTCAGGAGGCTGAGGTGGAAGGATCACTTGGGCCCAGGAGGTCGAGGCTGCAGTGCGCCACTACAGTCTAGCCTGGGCAACAGAGCAAGACCCTGTCTCAAATTAAAAAAAAAAGCAAAAAAAAGCACAGAAATGTAATTGTAACCTAAATTTTGCTTGGTATTTACTATTGCTTTTAAAATAGATAGATTCGATTTTTGTTTTATTTAGATAAAGTACTAAACAAAACTGTATTTTACTTTTAACTATGAAATTCTGAGTGTGGCTTTACCATATATCCTTTTTTCTGGTGTTTATCTTCCTGGGCTACTGAGGTCTCTGGGAAGGAGATTCTGGCTAGAAAGAAGATGTGGATCAGTGCACAAGGACCCTGAATGCTAGACTTTGTGCTGGGAGTGAGAAGTCTTGTCCTGCCAAAGCCTGCCAGTGTTTATTAACAGGGCTCATTTTTTTGTTTAACATCAACTTTGTTCCTGCAGTTGGAAAGTACTGTAGACCAACTTCACCTCCTTTTTTTTTGTTTTGTTTTGAGACGGAGTCTCGCTCTGTCACCCAGGCTGGAGTGCAATGGCTCGATCTCAGCTCATTGCAAACTCTGCCTCCCAGGTTCAAGCGATTCTCCTGCCTCAGCCTCCTGAGTAGCTGAGATTACTGAGATGCCTGCCACCATACCTGGCTAATTTTGTATTTTTAGTAGAGACAGGATTTCACCATGTTGGCCAGGCTGGTCTCGAACTCCTGACCTCAGGTAATCCGCCCACCTGGGCCTCCCAAAGTGCTGGGATTACAGCCCTGAGCCACTGCATCTGGCCACTTCACCTCATTTAGAAAGGCAAAACCCCAGGCTGAGCACAGTGGCTCATGCCTGTAATCCCAGCACTTTGGAAGGCCGAGGCAGGCAGATCATTTGAGGCCAGGAGTTCAAGTCCAGCCTGGCCAACATGGCAAAACCCTGTCTCTACTAAAAATACAAAAATTAGCCGGGTATGATGGTGCACACCTGTAGTCCCAGCTACTTGGGGAGACTGAGGCACAAGAATTGCTTGAACCCCAGAGGCAGAGGTTGCAGTGAACTGAGATCGTGCCACTGCACTCTAGCCTGGGCAACAGAGGGAGACCCTGTCTCAAAAAAAAGAAAGAAAGAAGGAAGGAGAGAGAAGAAAGAAAGAAAGAAAAAGAAAGAAAGAACAAAAAAAGAAAGGCAAAACTGTCTTTGATCTCCCTGCTTTTCCTCTTATTTAAAAGTGCAAGTTTGGCCAACAGGAGAATGTTTTGGGTGCTGAGGTTCTATTTTTTCCATCTGCTATATAGCACACCAATAGAGGGCTATTTTAATTCCTTTCAGCCATGTGGCAAATAGTCACTTACATGATGCTCTTTCTAGCACTTCACCTTTGAGGGGTGACCTGGCTGATGACAGTTACATGTACTCATGCTAATTCAGTGAGAAACGTTCAAATCAAAGCCTGTTGTGGGCTCCACTAGAGCCTGAAGACTTTGGGCTCCTTAAACGTAAAGGGTCAAGTGGCTTTTGGCTCCTGTTTTATCCAGCAGGAGACTGGCTTGTATTTCTGTAGGGCTGTCTTGTTTTAAACATGATTTCAAGCAGGCGGTTATTCCAGACTATCACCACAGCCCCCATCCTGACAAAAGAGGCTGATGTTGCCAGGTCAGTGTATGTGTGACATGTTTCATCACCTTGCTTCTTGGCCAGCATGATTTGTTAAAAGCTGTACCACAGGATACACAACCCCCCTGCCTTCCAGCTGAGCCTCGGACTGATCTGCCTGCCTGTCCCTCCTCTGCCTGTCACTTCTCTAGAGAATCAGGTAGCACGGCTTTCTGGTTCTCTCTGATCCTCCACCCACAGGACCAGCCTGGCTGGGCTGAATTCTCTTTCCCACAGTGCTGCCCAGGTGGCCAAAGCAGGGAGGGGACTGTGGGCTGGGCTGGTTCTTTAATGAGAACCCCCATGAGGAACCAGTTGTCAGAGTTTTGGTGCAAAGCAGGAGAGAGTGAACCATCTAATCAGTACCTCTCCCAGAATCACGAAGGAGATAAGAATTTGTGGTTTATGGATGGTCATGTGTTTCCAGGATAGAACAATAAGAACGTTTATCATTTGAAAAATTTAAATTCCTATCTTCTACCTTAGAGTACTGGACTTTGAGTCTTAAGGACTAAAGTTCCTGCCATGCAGGCATAACCTTTGGACAGTCATGTGGGCAGTAGTCCGCCAGTCATTGAATGTTAATAGAGTGGGCTGCTAGGCTGCATAGTGTGGAGATGGAGGGAGTTTCATCCTCCATCCTTCCAGCATTCACATTTGTATTTCTTTCCTCATAATGAAAAACAGTTAATATTTGGTTGCCGTCTCTAATGGGCCTTTTTTTTTTTTTTTGAGACAGAGCCTTACTCTGTCACCCAGGCTGCAGTGCAGTGCACTGCAACCTCCGCCTCCTGGGTTAAAGGGATTCTAGCTAGGACTACAGGCATGCACCACCACGCCTGGCTAATTTTTGTATTTTTAGTAGAGGTGGGGTCTTGCTATGTTGCCCAGGCTTGTCTCTAACTCCTGGGCTCAAAGTGATCCTCCTGCTTCAGCCTCCCAAGGTGCTGGGATTACAGGTGTGAGCCACGGTGCCTGGCCTCTTGAACTAGTGTAGAGTCCGGGACTGGCCAGTAGAACTTTTGTGATAAGGGAAATGTTCTATATTTCTGCTGTCCAATATGATAACCACAAACTAGTGGCTGTTGAGCATTTGACTTGTGGCTAGTGCAGCTGAAGATTCGAATTTTAAATTTTATTTAATTTCAATTTAATTTTAAGCAGCCACATGTGACTAGTGGCTACCATATTGGACAATACAGATGGACTACTTTATTTGAGGAGTTTGTATTGTAGTTATTTTTTGTTTTTTTGTTTTTTGTTTGTTTGTTTTTGAGAGAGTCTCGCTCTGTCACCCAGGCTGGAGTACAATGGCACAGTCTCGGCTCATTGCAACCTCCACCTCGCGGTCAAGCAATCCTTGTGCCTCAGCCTCCTGAGTTGCAGGGACTACAGGCGCACACCACCACGCCTGGCTAATTTTTGTATTTTTAGTGGAGTCAGGGTTTCACCGTGTTGGCCAGGCTGGTCTCGAACTACTGGCCTCAAGTGGTCTGCCCGCCTCGGCTTCCCAAATCCTGGGATTACAGGCGTGAGCCACAGTGCCCAGCCTATATTGTAATTTTTCGTTAAATATGCACATAGTAGCACTTCAAAAGGGACAAAAGGTATCAGTGAAAAGTCTCCCTCTCATCTCTGTCCCCAGCCCTGCAGTTTCCCTTCCCAGTGCTAACCATAATCATGGCCAATTTCTTTTGTGTCCATTCAGAAGGATTTCCCACGTACATAAGCATAACAAATATATTTTCTCTCTCACTCTCTGTTTTTCAGTGTTAGGGTATTACTCTTATCCACTGTCTTCTGTTCCATGCTTTTTTGAGTTAATGTACCTTGGAGGTCATTACCCATAGGGACAAATAGGACTGTCTCATTATTTAAATGGTTTATATTTAATTTCTATTTGTATTTAGTGGCTATATATGTTTCTTTGCAAAGCTGTATCATCATTTACTTAACTATAAGTTCACTATATGTAAGCGTGTAAATTATTTCCAATCTTTTGCCATTATGAATACTATTGTAATACTCTTACGCAAACGTTTTCACACATAATCAGGCATAAACATAGATAAATTCCTAGAAGAAAAGATCATAGCCAGGCATGGTGGCTCACGCCTGTAATCCCAGCACTTTGGAAGGCCGAGGCAGGCTGATCACCTGAGGTTGGGAGTTCGAAGACCAGCCTGACCAACATGGAGAAACCCCGTCTCTACTAAAAATACAAAATTAGCCGGGCATGGTGGCACATGCCTGTAATCCTAGCTACTCGGGAGGCTGAGGCAGGAGAATCGCTTGAACCCGGGAGGCGGAGGTTGCGGTGAGCTGAGATCGCGGCATTGCACTCCAGCCTGGGCAACAAGAGCGAAACTCTATCTCAAAGAAAAAAAAAGAGAGAGATGATCATTAGGTCAAGGATATGTGCATTTTACGTAGCCACAGATTTTGCCAAATTGCAATCTGTAGAGTTTGCTGATGAGAATGCAAATTGGTACATTATATGAGAGCATCTATTTTTCCATAGCCTCAGCAGCACAGTCTGTATTAAACTTCTTGTTCTTTGCCAGTACAATAAAGGAAGATCACCATCACCCTGTAGATTTAATTTGCATATCTCTTATTATAAATGAGATTGAGCATCTTTTTATATGTTTAAGAGTCATTTGTATTTCCCTCCTGGTAAATTATCTGTTCAGATCATTTGCTCATTTTTCTATTAGGTTTTGTTGTTATTGGTCTTGATTTGTAGGAACCCTTTATACATTAAGGAAATTACTATGTTGTCTCTATTATGTATTTACAAATTTTAATCTTATTTATGGTATCTCTTTCCATGTGGAGATTTAAAAACTTTTTTATGCAACTAATACTCTTTGTTATGGCCTCTGGATGTTAGACATTACTTAGAAAGCCCTTTCCTATGGAGATACTTTTAAAATAGAATTCTCATGTTTCCTCCTAGAACTTAGATGGTTTTATTTTTTATATTTAATTCTTTGATTCATCTGAAACAATTCAGGGGTTTTTCTGGTTTCATTTCCTTTGCTCATCTCATTCTCTTGCTGCTGAGCAGTTTGTAGCGCCTCCCTGCTTCTGCCCAACCCAGTTTTGGAGCGGTGCAGCCCCCCTGACAGTACCAGTGCCATCACTCTGGTAACAATATTATCCTCACTTGCCCATTGGTTGCTGCCTTGCTTCCATTCCTTTCTGAACACACTGTTTAGGTAAGCCCTAACCCCGATGGAGGAGAGCTTTAACTATCGTTCCATGCTTGACTACTTACCAGATTTCTTCTTTGACCTCTGTCAATTCTTCCTAGTCCTGGCTCATTATCTGAGACGCCCTGCCCTTTGTGCACGTTTGCCTTATTGCCTCACTGGGGGAGGTGACCTGAACAAGAGGCATAGTATAAAGCCACAAGCTGTTTGTACTTTGCCTGTGCTGAGGAAAAGAGTGCTCCACCTTCACTGAAGCCAGCAATTTGGCCGGCTGTTAGCACTTCATTCATATTCCCTAGTATGAGTTAATTCTTTGTCATTTTATTTCTTGTGATTCCAGAATCTCATTTTCAGCTTCTGCCAGAGCCAGTAGCAGTTGGGAAAGAAGGCTGTGCTCTTTGAAGAGTGAGTATGGATTTTAACCACCATAGATTTCCCCCAAAAGGCAGCCTTTAATTAAACTGGGACTGCTGTTGTAAGCCCTGCTTCCAAGCCCTCTGCAGGCCAAAGTGTGCTGCATGATTTTTCTGATCAGTAGGTCTAGTGGGAAGGGATTTGGCACCTGAAGGTTTTCAAAGCTCTGACGCACACCCTAAAAGCCCCCTGCAAATAGTTCTGAAAGACTATGTGGGGGAACCTGGCTCTGAATTTGAAGGGAGTCTGGAAGGCATGGGTTCATGGGCCCCAGTGCTTTCCTGAAAAGGGGACACTTGAACAGGCTCTGAAGGCAGGGAAGAGTTCATCAGGCAGCCAGACGTGGGAGTGCTCTACACCAAGGGGTCAGCAGGAAGGAAGACAGAATGAAGCTGTATGGGGCTCGCGAGCTGGTTATTTGGAGTGCAGGCAAAGACGTGGGAGTCAGGACTGGGAAGTTGAGCTGGGACTACATGGGGCGGTCAGAGTTCACATTTTATTTGGTGGACATGAGACCAGCACAGCCTGATCCCTGGTGTGAATTGAGAAGATTTCTCTGGCAGCTGGGGTGGTGGGACTATGGGGTGTGAAAGAATAGCCTTTACAGAAACAGGAGGGAGAGGAAGGGAGGACCTGGACCCAGTGTGGTGGCTGAGGGGAGCTGCGGTCCGAATCATACAAAGTCCTACACCTGGTGAAAATTTTTCTTTTTACCTTACATTCCTAGTAAATGTTGAACCCAACTGGGATTGGGTTTTTAGGTATTAGTTTTTAGGGGTGTAAGTCCCCTAAGGCTGTGCTGTCTAATATGGTAGTTCTTATCCACATGTAGCTGTTGAGCACTTGAAGTGTGGCTGGTGTGGCTGAAGAACTGAAGTTTGAATTTTCTTTGGCTTTAATCAATTTAAGTTTAAATTGCCATATATCAGGCAGTGTAGTTTGTTTAGACTTGGACAAGTTGACTCCAGTGCTGGTGCCTCTTCACCTTTGCCTAACAGGAGTGGTGAGCAAGTAGGAGAATGAAAGATGCATTGGCATCTAGGAGGTTAGACTGATGCAATTACTGTCAGCAGAAATCAGTAAGTCGGCTAGGTGCAGAAGCTTGCGCCTGTAATCCCAGCACTTTGGGAGGCCGAGGCGGGGGGGATCACCTGAGGTCAGGAGTTCGAGACCAGCCCAGCATGGTGAAACCCTGTCTCTACTAAAAAGACAAAAATTAGCTAGGCATGGTGGCAGATGCCTGTAATCCCAGCTACTCAGGAGGCTGAGACAGGAGAAGCACTTGAACCCAGGAGGCGGAGGTTGCAGTGAGCCAAGATTGTACCACTACACTCCAGCCTGGCTGACAGAGCGAGACTCCATCTAAAAAAAAAAAAGAAAGAAAAAAAGACAGAAATCAGTAAGTCAGGCGAAGCGAGGAGAGATGTGTCTATGAGATTCTATGAAAGTGTTTTACGTTGTTTATTCTTGGATTTTACTTTATACCCTGAAGACTAAGATATTGGAACTCAAGATCCCAGTTTTCAAAATCAGTGACAACATTAAAGAAAATTGTGAGATGTGCCTTACTCCTAACCCCAGATTAAACTTCATTTCCCTGATGTAATGTTTATCTGGATCCACTGACATGTCCCCTATCCAATTAATCTTTGCCACTGTATTCAGACATAAGGGCCCCCAAATGCACAGCTTGGGTGTTGAGCAGTGGCAGAGGATCCTGAGCCTGGGATGTGAGAGTATGTTTTCCCTGGTGCCAGCATGGCCAGCTCTCCTTCCTGGCATTGCCTGCTTCACACTGTGCCGCAGTGTCTTTAACCCTGGGGTGCCTCACTTTACACGATAAATAGATAAAATGAAGTGTTTTTCTTTTTCAGTGTATTCAGTCAGGCGATAAACATGATCAAGCACCAAGTCTTTGCCAGGTGATGTTTTAGGTTCTGGGAACTCTATTAGGAAAGAAGATTCTTGTGGGAGCAAGCCAAATCCTACTCTTTAATTGCCTGGCATAATTCCAGAAATGTTTAAGTCACCAAAGTAAGAAAGAACAGACATGACTATTTGAATGTTCTCATTAAATAGATGAAGAAGCCAAGGTCTCCCAGCTGATGTGTGGAAGAGCCACGATGGAGAGGGCCAGCTGCCACACTGGTGCCCCCAGCCTGGTGCCATCCATTGCACGAGTTTGTCCCTCAGTGGCAGCCATTCAAGGATGACCATCACGATTTTTGCTATATTCATGTGTCACCTACTAAGCATTTTTCTTTAAATTGACTGCTTGTTTTTTTTTTTTTTTTTTTTTTTGGAACAGTCTCCCTCTGTCGCCTAGGCTGTCGGCTCACTGAAACCTCAGCCTCCAGGCTCAAGTAATCCTCCCACCTGAGTCTCCTGAGTAGCTGAGACTACAGGCGCATGCCACCATGCCCGGCTAATTTTTGTATTTTTTGTAAAGATGGGGCCTCTCCATGTTGCCCAGGCCGGTCTCAAACTCCTCTACTCAAGCAATCTGCCCGTCTCGGCCTCCCAAAGTGCTGGGATTACAGGCATGAGCCACCACGCCCAGCTGTGGTTTAACACCACCACACTGAGAGTTTCTCTTTGACCCAAGCAGGACTGAAAAGAACTGAAAAGAGATGACTTTCCTAGTATATATGTTGTTATCTAATGCTGTGTACCCCTGAAACATTCTTTAGTACTCTCCTGCTCACTAAAGTCATCTTGCAAACTCTCAGTTGTATGGGTGCCATGCTTTGGGAAACTCAAGTTACACTTCTTGGTTGATCTCTGATTTTTGGCCATTGGCAGTTCCTGGTTCATAATGCTTCAGTTTGTTCTGCCTCCAGCCTCTCCCTGGGGTACATAGAGTACTCTAGAAATAAACACCAGCATGGCAGGGGAGCTGTCTTTTTAAAGGAAAGCTGAAGCAAGACCTTTGTAAAATGAAGGATGTTGTAGAGATAGGAATAAATTGCCTACCCTTTATCTGTACAGAAAACTCAGAATTGTGGTTTCTTCAACTAAGGTCTGGATTTATTTGACCTTGTCAGGGAGAGTGTGCAGGGTTTTCTGTAATAAGTGCAAACCTTACTAAATTGATCATGTTCTACAAAAGCTGCTTATGGAAGACTTTATTCTGCTGTTAAATAGAAGATGGAGGCAGATGCGACCTTCGCTGAAACTGACTGGCATTGTGGCAGGCACCGACAGAGCACAGAGGGGTTTTTTTTTTTTGATGATCATGCCTTCATTTCGGGGCTATCATCTCCAGTGTCAGAGTCTATGATATATATGGCTTTGGGCATAAACTGTTCTAATTCCTAGTCCAAAGGACTCCCTGCTGCTCAGTAATCTGAATTTACAGTGGCCCCCAGCAGTTTTTAAGGACTTTGTATGATGTGGAAAAGTCTTCTCAAAGCTGACAGTTCCCATCTGTGTCAACTCATTCACAGCCCATGATGTTCAAACAGATCTGTACAGATTCCCTTCAGTCTGTGATTAACTTGCTTACTCCTTGAAGGTGATGCCTTTTAGCAGGGTAAATTGTAGCCAGTGTTAAATAGGTGACTCCTTCAGGGATTTTTGTAATTACCGAAAGAGGAAAGATGTCAGGTCTCTTACAGAGTCATTGGGAATGGTTGTTCCTAAAAGAAATGAAACAGATGGAACCCATTTTGTAAATTTGCTTTTCATTGATTCATTTGTACCTTATTTGTGTCCTGTGCCATACTTGACACTGAGGAAGAACATACATGATTGTCCCTACCCTCAAGGAGCTCTGGTTCCAGAAGGAGAAGCAGGCCAATGATTTCAGTGTGCTGGGAAAATTGTTTACAGTGACTGAGAAACTGAGAGGGCAATTGCATCAGAGACAAAGACAGTGCTTATGCCCTGGGAAGGTGGCAGCTTTCATCACTGTAGACTCAGGACTGTACTTAGGTAGAGTATGGGTATGTAATGAAAAGAACCATCTAACCCACCTATGGGTGCATCTGTCTCCTTCTCCAGGCTGTGAGGTGCTTGCTAGGCAAAACCTCTTGAAGATGGAGAGCTCATATCTTCATTGAGAAATTAGGGATGTTGAATGTAGATACCTAACAGCAAAGAGGTTACAGAGACTAAGGACAGGCCATTTGAAAAAAATAAAAAATAGACAAAGTGGAGCTTGGTGCAAAGGTAGTAGATTGGAGTTAGAAATCTGTTTTGTAATCATGACTACCAGCTGGGTGACCTTGGGCAAGTTACTTAGCCTCTCAGAGCCTCAATTTCCTCAGCCTATAAAACAGGATGAAACACTTGCCTTTCCTATGTGACAGGGTTGATGTGCTATATCAAGGGTTGGCAAATTACAGCCTACAGGTCAAATTTGGCCTACAGCCTATTTCTGTGAAGTTTTATTGGAACACAGTCATACTCATTCGTTACATGTCTTCAATGGCTGCTTTCTCATCCAGTGGCAGACTGAGTAGCTGTAATAGAGACTCTGTGTCCCACAGTGCTAAAATCGTCACCGTCTGGCACTTTACAGAAAAAGTGTGCTGACCCTTGTGCTTAGTGGTCGAGAGGTTATACTGTGCTGCATTGAACTTATTATCAAATTGAATTAAGTATCAGTCGATAGAGGCATATGGGAGAGATCACTCCATTTCCCAGGAAATGTAAGGAAGGCCATGATTTGCTAGATGTTAATGCTTTTTCTTGAAGAAATCTGTATTATGTTTGGTGAGTCCTGCACACTTAGCACAGATGGCAGGGAATCAAGGCAGAGGGCCACGCCTGGCTTACAGGTCCTTCCAGGGGTTTTCTGTGTTGGAGAGAATGACTGGACTTGAAATATATATTTATTATATATTTATATTTATATACTTTATGATATATATGTGTGTATATACATATATATGTGTATACACACACACACACACACACACACACACACACATATATATATATAAAATAGAGATGAGGTCTTGCCATGTTGCCTAGGCTGGTCTTCAATGCCTGGCCTCAAGTGATCCTTCCACCTCTGCCTCCCAAAGTGTTGAGATTACAGGCATGGGCCACGGAACCCAGCCTGAAGTATTTTTCATTCTATGCTAGAATGAACTGTATTATAAGCTCATAAGACAGGACAGGGCAGGGCCTCTGATACAGCTGGAATTCTAGTGCCCCAATGGTGTGTCAGGTCTTAGTGTTGGTGCTGGGGACACCCAGTCCTTACTCTCATGCATCCCACATTCTAGCCTTCAGATGTGTAAGTCTTTAGGAAGACATCAGAAAGTACACTGAAAACTACCTTTTTGGCTTATTCTCCCTTAACTTTGTATTATGTATTTATTTTTTGAATTGGTTACATATTTACATAACAACTTAAAAGTTTTAAAAAGTGAAAAACCAAGTTTCCTGTCTATTCCTGACACTTAGCTATCTACTTCCCCACCTTAGATCAATCACTGTTACTGGTTTCTTGTATCCATGTGTACATGTATATTTGTTCATTGATTTCTTTAAAAGTCTGTCTTTTTTTTTTTTTTTTTTAAAGGTTCTCACTCCGTTGCCTAGGCTAGAGTGCAGTGGTGCAATCATAGCTTACTACAGCTTCAAACTCCTGGGCTCAAGTGATCCTCCCACCTTGGTCTCCCAAAGTGCTGGATCACAGGCATGAGCTACCATGCCCAACCTGTCCTCCTTTTTTATTTTTATTTATTTTTTATTTTTATTTTTTGAGATAGAGTCTTGTTGCCCAGGCTAGAGTGCAATGGCACAATCTTGGCTCACTGCAACCTCTGCCTCCTGGGTTCAAGCGATTCTCCTGCCTCAGCCTCCCGAGTAGCTGGAATTACAGTCACCTGCCACCACGCTTGGCTAACTTTTGTGTTTTTAGTAGAGATGGGGTTTCATCATGTTGGCTAGGCTAGTCTCGAACTCCTGACCTTAAGTGATCCGCCCACCTCAGCCTCCCAAAGTGCTGGGATTACAGGTGTGAGCCACTGCACCTGTCTCCTTTTTTATTTTTAAATACTGCAAGCCTACAGAAAGATTGAAAGGATAATATCATGTAACCTTCACCTGGATTCCCCAGTGGTTAGCATTTTACCATATTTGCTTTATTTCTCTCTCTTTTCCTCCCACCAACACACACACACACACACACACACACACACACATACACACACTACTTTTTCTCTCCTGAACCTTTAAAAGTGAGTAGCAGATACCATTATACTTCACCCCTTACAACTTCAGCAAACATCTCCTAAAAGGGAAGATATTCTCCTACATACATACATAATCACAATTTCATCATCATACTCAAGAATTGTGTCACTGATACATTGACGTTGTCTAATACCCAGCCCTTACTCAGATTTTCACATTTGTCCCAACTATGTCCTTTATAATGTTTTTTTTTTTTACAAATCCAGGCTCCTCTGAAAAGTTCCTCATTACTTTTAGTTGTCATGTCTATTTGGTTTTTTGTAAAGCACTTGCCTGCTTTGGTTTCCTCCTGTTCTTTACCCTCACTCTGGGAACTTCACTTTTCTTGTCCCCTTTACTTCTTCGCCTTTTTTCCTTTGATACAGAGTTTTAATATCGTCATTCTCTTTGGCCCCTGCAGGAGTCAGCCAGCCTGAAAGAGCAGGATGGATCTTGATGTGGTTAACATGTTTGTGATTGCGGGCGGCACGCTGGCCATCCCAATCCTGGCATTTGTGGCTTCATTTCTTCTGTGGCCTTCAGCACTGATAAGAATCTATTATTGGTAAGCCAGTTTTATCATTGATGTTTTCAAGAGTATCATAATATTGACATCTTCTCTGCTTGTCCTTTTTGTGGTTATTGTCCAACATTTTATCAGGAAGTATTTCAGACAGAGAGAAAAGTTGAAAGGTACTCATCCTGTTTGGAATTTTGGGAATGCTCTTGAAGAATATTACCAGATCAGTTCTTTCAGGTTTGTTTGTTTGTTTGTTTTTTGGAGACAGAGTTGTGCTCTGTTGCCCAGGCTGGAGTGCAGTGGGATGATCTCAGCTCACTGCAACCTCCACCTCCTGGCTTCAATCAATTTTCCTGCTTCAGCCTCCAAGTAGCTGAGATTTTACAGGTGTATGCCACCACGCCCGGCTAATTTTTTTTGTATTTTTAGTACAGATGGGGTTTCACCATGTTGGCCAGGCTGGTCTCCAACTCCTGGCCTCAAGTGATCTTCCCATCTTGCCTCTCTAAGTGCTGGGATTACAGGCATGAGCCATCATACCCGGCCCTTTTAGGTTTCTGATAGCATCTTTCTCCACCCACATTCCCAAAGTCAGTGATTCTGTCTTCAAGCAAGAATTGTACATTTTTATGGGAACTCCTTTGGTATCTTCTTGATCATTGGTTGTTTTTGTTTGTTTGTTGGTTGGTTGGTTTTTTGGGTTTTTGTTTGGTTTTTTTTTTGAAACAGTCTCCCTCTGTCACCTAGGCTGGAGTGCAGTGGTGTCATCTCGGCTCACTGCAACCTCTGCCTCCCAGGCTCAAGCGATTCTCTTGCCTCAGCCTCCCAAGTAGCTAGGACTACAGGCACGTGCCACCATGCCTAGCTAATTTTTATATTTTTAGTAGAGACAGGCTTTTGCCGTATTGGCCAAGCTGGTCTCAAACTCCTGACCTCAAGTGATCCTCCCACCTCAGCCTCCCAAAGTGCTGGGATTACAGGTGTGAGCCACTGCGCCTGGCCTTCATCATTGGATTCTGACCCTGTGATGTCCTGACAGGTGCAGCGATGTCACTGAAAAATGAACAAGAAAGACCAGAACCATTGAGATGGCATGTTTAGGACAGAATGCTTTTAGAGTTGTTCTAGAAGTGTTCATTAGTAAAGAAGTGACAGAAAGAAAAAGAAGTTTCCAAAATATGTCATTCTTGTACCACTGTTATTATTCTTGTCCTATCTGGATACCACCTGTCCTTTTATTTTGTATTTCCTTTAGAGTGAGCCATCTTTTTAAAAAAATCCTTAAATCAAGTATTTAAAAAGTGATATGAATATCACTCCCTTAAGTGAAAAGCTTGCCATAAATAGTAAATTAATATCAAAAAGTGCCTGGCGCAGTGGCTCATTCCTGTAATCCCAGCATTTTGGGAGGCCGAGGCAGGCAGATCACCTGAGATCGGGAGTTCGAGACCAGCCCGACCAACATGGAGAAACCCAATCTCTACTAAAAATACAAAATTAGCTAGGCGTGGTGGTGCATGCCTGTAATCCCAGCTACTCGGGAGGCTGAGGCAGGAGAATCGCCTGATCCTGGGAGGTGGAGGTTGCGGTGAGCTGAGATCGCGCCATTGCACTCCAGCCTGGGCAACAAGAGCAGAACTGCATCTCAAAAAAAAATATGTATATATATCAAAAAGTAAAAATAAACACAGTGACATTAAACAGTCTTATTAAATTGTATCTCCTTTTACTTTGTTACAAAGCATGAGCAGCGTGAAAGATGTAGCAGCCCTGAGCTGAGCCTTTCTCCTTGTTGGAATCAGAAGGTTAACAGTCAAAAAGAAAGTGACTTTCTCATGATGTGCTTCATTGCCTTTTCATGCCACTGTCCAATTATCAAATGAAATTGCCCTTCCCACCCCCATGGTGTACATCCCCTGATGAAGGGAGCATCGAAATAGACCTGGTTCCTCTCTGTGCTATAGGTAAGCCCATTGAGATCTAACTGGGACTTCAGGAAGTCGGAACTCACTTCTGTACGTAGAAGAGTCCAGAGAGGGTGTTATGCCCTTTATCTGCCCTCCTTTCTGGCTCCTTTTTGCTTCACTTGAGTGTGGAATTTTCCGCCTGCCAGCCAAGCTCTAATCCTTGAAACTAATTGAATGGAAGGGAGCTTTTCATCTTTTGCTCTTGCTCTCTGGGGGCGGGAGTGGGGAGTTGTGACCCCCTCCCAAGTCACCCGGGACCCACCTTCTGCACTGAGAAAGCGAGACTCACTCTGAAGCTGAAATGCTGTTGCCCTTGCAGTGCTGGTAGCAGGAGTTCTGTGCTTTGTGGGCTAAGGCTCCTGGATGACCCCTGACATGGAGAAGGCAGAGTTGCGTGCCCCTTCTCATGGCCTCGTCAAGGCATCATGGACTGCCACACACAAAACGCCGTTTTTATTAACGACATGAAATTGAAGGAGAGAACACAATTCACTGATGTGGCTCGTAACCATGGATATGGTCACATACAGAGGTGTGATTATGTAAAGGTTAATTCCACCCACCTCATGTGGAAACTAGCCTCAATGCTGCATAGTCCCCCAACAGTTCCCTGGGCTGTCGAGGAGAAGGCTTTCAGAGTAAGGGTGTTAGGGTAATTTTGATGTTTCATTTGTAATGAGAAAAATAAGTTGATAGCAAATAATTTGCTTTTTAAATTAAGTTAAAATTCACATAACATAAAAGTCACCATTTTAAAGTGTACAATTCAAGGCTGGGCACGATGGCTCACACCTGTAATCCCAGCACTTTGGGAGGCTAAGGCAGGAGGATCACTTGAGGCCAGGAGTTCGAGACCAGCCTGGCCAACATGGCGAAACCCCGTCTCTACTAAAAATACAAAAAATTAGCCAGGCATGGTGGTACGTGCCTGTAATTCCAGCTACCTGGGAGGCTGAGGCAGAAGAATCGCTTGAACCCAGGAAGCGGAGGTTGCAGTGAGCCGAGATCGTGCCACTACACTTCAGCCTGGGTGACAGAGATGAGACTCTGTCTAAATAAATAAATAAATGAAACATAAATATAAATGTAAATAAATAAAATGTACAATTCAGTGGTTTTAATATATTCAGAGTGTTGTACAACCATTACCACTATCTAATTTCAAATATTTCCACCTCCCCAAAGGAGTCCCCATACCTAGTAGCCATCAATCCCAGTTTCTCCCTCACTTCATCTTCTGGCAACCACTCATCTACTTCCTGTCTTTTTAGATGTGCCCATTACGGACATTTCACGTAAACGGGGTTATACATGTGTGACCTTTGTGTCTGGTTTCTCTCACTTAGCATAATGTTTTCAAGGTTCGTCCATGTTGTAGCATGCATCACTCCTTCACTTTCTGTTGTGGTTAAATAATATTCCATTGTGTATATATACAGTTTGTTCATCCATTCATCTGTTGATGGACACTTGGGTTGTTTCCACCTTTTGGCTATTATGAATAATGCTGCATAGCAAATAATTCACTTTTATTAACAAATAATACCACAAAAAAACCAGAGAAGCCCCACAGTGCAGAGCATTCAGAGCCTCTTTAATTGGCAGTATGGATGCATGGGGTCTTAAAGCCTGCCCATGCCTGTCACCCAGCTCAGTGCCGTGGCTGAAAGACAAACACAATGCTCTTTATTTTGTGAACTCAGGCACACAGGCCAAGAAGAAAACCCAGCTGGTTTGGGAAGATGAAAATCCTAGAAAACCTTTCAGATCATGCCAGGTGGCATTGTGACACGGGGGATTATGATTTTAGTAATAAAACCCATGATGCCATTGCAGAGAGCTGTCAGCAATCCTGTGAGGCACTTCCTCCGCATCACTGAAATGCACAGACTGCTTCCTCCAAATAGCCTCACCACAAGTGACATTTACACAGTGGTTGTCATAGAATGAGCAGCATCACCATGAGTCACTTATATCCCTTAACCACAGCGACTCCTCCAAAGGCCTTCATTTGCTCGGCTGCCAGTGATGACCACCAGTGGGTTCACCTCGCAGACCTAGGTGGGTCAGGTTAATTTTCAGGATTGCTACACAAACAGGATCAGCAGGCAGTAGAGGTAGCTTGGCACCCAGTCCCCGTTCCCCGCTGCCCTGCCATATGAGCATAAGGGTTTGGTGAAGTCATCACATCGTGCAAGCTCCTGGAGTTCCCTCTGGGATTGTCTCAGCTCCTCAGGGAACAAGAACAGGTGTCCCCAGTAGGCCACAGCAAGTCTTCAGAGCAGCTCTCTCTGGGTCTAAGTGTCCCTGGAGCATGGCCAGCACACTTCCACAACACCGTGGACTATGGCTGCTCCTGCAGGAGGTACCAAATGCTTCAACATGAGTCAACAGAGAGCCACACCGGGGATGCTGTGGCCACTGCGGATGACATCAGGTCTGATTTTCATTGTGTAATGAAAATATCAGGACTGTTCACAAGATGAGAAAGACTGAGATTTTCTAAGATTTTTGTTTTCCCAAAGAAACTCAGTTGTGAAATCAAGGTAAGAAATAATAGTGAACAGTTCACTTATATAAATATAAGAAAGAAAAGGGGATAAGAATTGGAAAAGAAGAAATAATAATAATCTGACATTGTTTGCAGATGACACAATTGTGTACATAGAAAGTCCAAAAAAAATCTATAAATAATTTGTTGGAATTAATAAGTGAATTTGGAGCTGGGTGCTGCAGCTCATGCTTGTAATTTCAGCACTTTGGGAGGCAGAGGTGGGCGATTGCTTGAGCCCAGGAGTTTAAGACCAGCCTAGGCTGCTCACTGCAACCTCTACCTCCCAGGCTCAAGTGATCCTCCCACCTCAGCTTCTAGAGTAACTGGGGCTACAGGTGTGTGCCACCTTGCCACCTAATTTTTGCGGTTTTTGTAGAGACAGGCTCAAACTCCTGGGCTCAAGCGATCCACCCACCTTGCCCTCCCAAAGCTCTGGGATTACAGTTGTGAGCCACCATGCCCGGCCTGGTTCTTTCTTTTTATTGTGGTAAAATATACATAACTTTAAAAAATGGAAAATAAGTGTTGGTGAGGATGTGGAGAGATTGGAACCCCCTATGCACTGCTGTTGGGAATGTAAAATAGTATAGTTGCTATGCACAAATTTGTCGGCTCCCCAGAAAGTTATACATTTAACGTAACATCCAGCAATTCTACTTATGAGTGTAAATCCCAAAGAATTGCAAGCAGGGTCTCAATGTGTGCACCAATGTCCATAGCAGCATTCTTTGCAATAGCGAAAAGATAGAAATAACCTAAATGTCCAACAGACAAATGGATAAACAAAATGTGGTATATACACAATAGAATATTATTCAGCCTTAAAAAGGAATGACACTCTGATTCATGCTATTAACACAACATGGATGAACCTTGAGAACAACTGTGCTAAGTGAAACTAACCAGACACAAAAGGACAAATTTTGTATGATTCCACTTTTACCCAGAATAGACAAACTCATAGAGAAAGTAGAATAGAGGTTGCTAGGGGACTGGGGGAAATGAGGAGTTAATGTTTAATGGGTACAGAGTTTCTATTTAGGATGACAAAAAGTTCTAGAAATGGATAGTGGTGGTAGTTTTACAATGTTGTGTAATGTCATTGATCGTACACTTGTTAAAATGGTAAATGTTTATGTTATGTCTGTTTTACCACAGTATAAAAAAATCTGTAAGTACTTTTCTTCAGAAGTTCCCGTTAACTAGACAGAGACATAGGATGAGGACTCTGGGCTCCAGGAGACTTTATTAAAGAGGAACCCCGAGGAGGTCCTCTTTGGGGCTTTTCTATTTAGGTCAATAGAGCCTTCAATGACTTCTGTCCCTGAAACAGGAGCAGTTTGGCTCTTGTACTGAGATTGTAAAAGATCTTGCTCCTGAGACATTCATTCATCCCACCTTAATTCTTCTCTTTGTTTCTGTTCTGTAAGGTTCTGCTTTTGTGAATTAGAGGTAATCTATTCTCTATTATCTATTATCATTAAACCAAAGAAGATTTTTTCCATCTGGGCCATGGGTCTTTCAGAATTTTTCAGCTGGCCTGGTATCTTAGAGTCATCTTCCTACTCTTTCGTTGAGGGGATCATTTGAAAATATTAGTTCTCTGGGCTGGGCATGGTGGCTCACGCCTGTAATCCCAACACTTTGGGAGGCTGAGGGAGGCAGATCATCTGAGGTCAGGAGTTCAAGACCAGCCTAGCCAACATGGTGAAACCCTGTCTCTACTAAAAAAATACAAAAATTAGAGGCTAGGCGTTGTGGCCCACGCCTGTAATCCCAGCACTTTGGAAGGCCGAGGTGGGTAGATCACGAGGTCAGGAGTTTGAGACCAGCCTGGCCAACATGGTGAAACCCCATCTCTACTACAAATACGAAAATTAGCCAGGCGTGGTGGCACGCGCCTGTAGTCCCAGCTACTTGGGAGGCTGAAGTGGGAGAATCGTTTGAAAGCAGAAGGTGGAGGTTGCAGTGAGCCGAGATCATGCCACTGCATTCCAGCCTGGGCAACAGAGCAAGACTCCATCTAAAAAATAAAAATAAAAATAAACAAAAACAAAAATTAGCCGAGCGTGGTGGCACACACCTGTAATCCCAGCTACTCAGGAGGCTGAGGCGGGAGAATCACTTGAACCCGGGAGGTGGAGGTTGCAGTGAACTGAGATTGCGCCACTGCACTCCAGCCTAGGCAACGAGAGTGAAACTCCATCTCAAAAAAAAAAAAAAAGAAAAAATATTAGTTTTCCAGTTTCTTGTTTCTGGAGCCTAGGTAAACTTGTCCAGTGGATGTACCAATTAAATGAAAAATATCGAG
Source organism: Homo sapiens (assembly GCF_000001405.40). Classification (NCBI taxonomy): domain Eukaryota; kingdom Metazoa; phylum Chordata; class Mammalia; order Primates; family Hominidae; genus Homo; species Homo sapiens. The sequence goes on from NC_000003.12 coordinate 58,263,493, forward strand.
TAGTACCAAAGAGCTCTGTCTGATAATGAAGAAGCCCTTAATTCCTGAATCCGGCAGTCTGGCCGCCTTCCAACCCTGTGTCTCTTCATTCTGGTTCAAGTCATACTTGGCTCTCCCCGAGGCCCTTGCCTCTGCTGTCTCTACCTCCTGGCACACCTTCTCCAGCTTCCAGCTGATGTATGTTGAGTATCCAGTAGTCTGCTGAAGTTTCACCTTTTCCACCAGGTCCTTCCAGCTCTTCCATGATCTCACACTGTACTTTGTATGAGAGTTATAGAGAATTTGATGATTATAAAAACGTAACCCATTCGAGCCCCACTCCCAGTACCAAAAATAAAAAATAATAAATAATTTAAAAATAAAAAGGTAACACAAAGAAAATGTAAATTACCCATAACCCCTGGAATAATTAATTTTCTTCAATGCTTCTTTTGCTCTTCCCACCTCTCTCCCCCACCACTTCATCTGTGTATACTTAACAGTTTTTTTTAACAGAATTGGAATCAATAGTATTTAAAAAAATTGGGTCCTGTTTTTTCACTTGACATCATGTCATAAATATTTTTCCATGTTATTGAATATTCTTTGAAAACTCCATTTTAAATAATAGCAAAATAAGACATCACCTAGCTATATGGTAGTTTATCTAATATATTTCCTATTCATGGACACTAAAGTTAGTATTGATTTTTTCTAATTTAAACAACACATAACGCTGGCTGGAACACTTTAAAAATATTCTTTTTCAAAGTTTCTACTTATTTCCTTGAGACAGATTATTCTTGGAATTATACTTACTAGGTCAACAAGGGGCATGAGGTTTCAAAGATTCTTGATATTTTATGCCAGATTGCTTTCTTAGAAAGCCTGAACTTTATAACTGGTTATATAAACGCACACACACACACACACACACACACACACACACACACACACACACACACACACACACATATGCCAGGTGCAGTGGCTCAGTGGCAGGATCACTTGAGTTCGAGACCAGCCCGGGCAATACAGGGAGACCCAGTCTCTACCTAAAAAATAAAAAAATTAGCCAGGCATGGTATATGCACCTGTAATTTCAGCTATTCAGGAGGCTGAGGTGGGAGGGTCAGTTGGGCTTAGGAGGACAGGGCTGCAGTGAACCGTGATTGTGTCACTGCACTCCAGCCTGGGTGACAGAGTAAGACCCCATCTCAACAAAAAACCCCACCACTTTTCTAATTTAGAAGCTCATAAAGGGTGTTCATATTTTTTCTTTATTAATTTTTTATTTAAAAATTTGGGGGGTACATAGTAGGTATATATGGGGTACACAAGATGTTTTGATACAGGTATGCCATGTGAAATAAGCACATCATGGAGAATGGGGTATCCATCCCCTCAAGCATTTATCCTTTGAGTTACAAACAATCCAGTTACACTCTTCAAGTTATTTAAAAATTTACAACTATTATTGACTATAGTCACCGTATTGTGCTATCAATAGTAGGTCTTATTCATTCTTTCTATTTTTTTTGTACCCATTAACCATCCCCACTTCTCCCCTACCCCCAGCTACTCATCTCAGCCTCTGGTAACCATCCTTCTACTATCTATGCCCATGAGTTGCATTGTTTTGATTTTTAGATCCCATAAATAAGTGAGAGCATGTGATGTTTGTCTTTCTGTGTCTGGCTTACTTCACTTAACATAATGATCTCCAGTTCCATCCATGTTGGTGCACTATTCATATTTTTAATTACTAGTGAACTTGAACATGTTTTTTATGTTTGTTAGTCATTAATATCTTTTCTACTCTAAGGTACCTTTTCATTTATTTTGCCTAGTGTTGAATTAGGGTTTTAGCATGGTTGAGATCAATTTGTAAGCTTTTTATTTATTAAGGATATCATTCTGCAGCTGTCATATTCATTGCAAATATTTCCCCTAATTTTTCCTTTTAATTTTTGGCAAATGATGTATTTGGAAGGACAAAATCATCTTTACATAATACTAATAACTATCATGTACTGAATACTTACCATTTGCTGGGCATTGAACAAAACTTTGTACATGGATTACCTCATCATTTAATCTTTGCCATATTCTTAGTGGAATGCAGCATTTCCTCATATTATAAGATTATATAGTTAGTGTCTTATTCCATTTTGTGTTGCTACAGCAGAATGCCACAGACTAGATAATTTATAAAGAAAAGAAATTTGTTTGGCTTATTGTTCTGGAGGTTGGGAAGCCCAAGAGAATGGCACCAATATCTGGCAAGGGCCTTCCTGCTGTGTCATCCCGTGGTGGAAGGTAGAAGGACAAGAGACTATAAGAGTGAGCCAGAAGCAAGAGGGGACCAGACTCACTTTTATCAGGAATCTACTCCCTCAATAATAGCATTAATCTATTTATGAAGGCAAAACTGTCAGGGCCTAATTACCTCTTAACAGTCCCACTTCACAATGGCAATTAAATTTCAACATGAGTTTTGGAGGGGACATTCAAAGTCAGTAAGTGAATGAGCTGGGATGTGAATGGATGAACAAAGTCGTGTTATGATTTAGAATTTTGAAATACGCTTGCCTTGCTGTAAGAAGAGCTTTTAAGCTAGCCAATGCTATTATGTTCTTTACGTTTTGAGTAGGCAATGCAGTCATTAAAAAAGTTTCAAAAGAAACCAACCAGGTGCGGTTTAACCAGCTGGACGTCTGTAACCCAAGCACTTTGGGAGGCCAACGTGGATGGATCACTTGAGGCCAGGAGTTTGAGACTGGCCTGGCCAACATGGCGAAACCCTGTCTCTACTAAAAATACAAAAATTAGGCAGGCATGGTGGTGTGCACCTGTAACCCTAGATACAGGCTGAGGCACAAGAATTGCTTGAACCCGGGAGGTGGAGGTTGCAGTGAGCGGAAATTGCCCCAGCGTGGGTGACAGAGCGAGACTGTATCTAAAAAAAAAAAAAACCTGACCAAACAAACAACAAAAAAAAAAACCTTATGTATGCTCTCACATTTTTTGTATGCGGATAAAAGTAAATGAATATATATCTTCTCTCCCTCTCTGCTTATTTTACACAAAGAGTTAAGACCAGTCAGTTTAGGTTATTTGCTTTTGCAAGACTTGGCTACTTCTTTAGTGTGAAGTATCTTACAAAGTGCACCTCTGATTGAATTAATTATCTCTCATCTTGGAGGGATTCACCATGCAGAGAGTTCAATTTGTTTAGATGGTAATTTCATATTGAAATTGATTTTGGGCCAAAGTCCAGCACTGCCAAGTCTTATGTAACCAGCAGAAGCTGAGCTTTCAACCAGCTGCCATATGTTATGAGGAACAAAGCCAGAGGACCAGTGCAGATGGTTCTCAAGAAATAAGTTATCACTCTCAAAGTCTCTAGAAAGACATATTATCAAAAGGTTATCATGTGTGGCATACTTCTTAAGAAAACACCGCATTTCCCTTCCTAGAGTGATTAGTAAAATATATACCAAAATAGTTCATTTAAGGTGTTCTCTGGAATGGTTTGGCTTTGTGTTCCTTGAGGGTAAAGCTCAGGAGGACTCTAGAGACTGATGGAGGACAAGGGCTGGAGAAGTGTTTGTGTTATCACTAAGGAAGACTTATAGAGAGGACCTGTGCCCATCTTGAAGCCACTCATCTAGAGCTTACTGATTTCGTTTTGTCTTTATTTCTCACCCCTTCCAGGTACTGGCGGAGGACATTGGGCATGCAAGTCCGCTATGTTCACCATGAAGACTATCAGTTCTGTTATTCCTTCCGGGGCAGGCCTGGGCACAAACCCTCCATCCTCATGCTCCACGGATTCTCTGCCCACAAGGATATGTGGCTCAGTGTGGTCAAGGTGCAATTCTCGATTCTTCTCTCTTATAAGAAAAGGGAGTTGGGTGCTGTGGCTCATGCCTATAATCCCAGCACTTTGGGAGCCTGAGGCAGGAGGATTGCTTGAGTCCAGGAGTTCAAAACCAGCCTGGACAACATAAAGAAACCCTGTCTCTACAAAAAATTAAAAAATTAGCCAGGTGTGGTGGTGCATGCCTGTAGTCCTGGCTACTCAGGAGACTGAGGTGGGAAGATTGCTTGAGCCTGGGGGGTCAAGTCTTCAGTGAGCAATGATCATGCCACTGCACTTAGCCTGGGCAACAGAATAAGACTCTGTCTCAAAAAAAATAAAAATAAAAAAAGGAAGAAGAAGAAAAGGGTTTCCACTAGGACATGATGTCATCAACAATGGTAGAAAGCAAAGGGAACTCAGAACTGTGGTGGTTCAAGTCATATTAGAACTAATGCAGTGTGGCCTGGCACAGTGGCTCATACCTGTAATCCCAGCACTTTGGGGAGGCCAAGGCAGGCAGATCACTTGAGCCCAGGAGTTTGAGACCAGCCTGGGCAACATAGGGAGACTCCGTCTCTACAAAAAAATTAGCCAGGCATGGTGGCATGCACCTGTAGTCCCAGCTACTTTGGAGGCTGAGATGGGAGAATCACCTGAGCCTGGGAAGTCAAGGCTGCAGTGAACCAAGATCGTGCTATACCACACTCCAGCCTGAGCAACAGGAGTGAGACCCTGTCTCAAAACAAACAAACAAACTAATGCAATATGTTACTCATTCTTTTGTCAGAAAAAAATTATTGAGTTGAATATTATATATAAAACGTATGGCTTAGAAATCTTTTTACCTCATGGATATTTCTTTGGGGAGGCTTCTGACACAGCTGCATCTCAGAACTGCTGTGAGATCAGAGTTGGGCTTTGAAAAGTCATTTTTTTTGTACTCCCAAGTTTCTTCTCTTCCTTCCCCTCCATATTCTTCCTTCATTCCTTCTTTTCCTTTCCTTCCCACTCCCTCTTCTACGTCTGCTTTTTTCTTTTCCTTTGCCATTTAGAGAAACAGTCTTGATCTAGCAGCTTTCTGGAAGAGTTTTCCAAGTCACTTTTTGTCTTGGTTTACTTGGGTGTGGCAACTTGCTGCTCTTGGTAAGAGTGATCAGGTGTGAAGGTTGGGGCTGGCAGAAGTCTTGGGCAGGAAGCATCCCTGGCTCCCACATCAGGCAACACCATACCTGAGGGATCCCAAGTATCATCTACACCAGTAGGTGAAGACTCACACACCCTCTAGTTAGTTGTATTCTTATTTCCAAATTCCACTATGAGGACAGTCATTTTCATGCCTTGATGAACTTCCTGTCCCCTCCTCAGATAAATATCTTTCTTATAACTGGATGTTTGTTTGTTGGTAACTTATGTTTCTCAGTTTCCTGGTTAAAAGTGGTACATATCTAAATGGAAGAAGGTGTTTTAGGATAATAATAATTTGGAAAAGTAGACCTTAATGTAAAAAGAAACCAAACAAACCAGAATCGGGGTGATCAGATGTGGTTCTTGGGGAAAACATTGCTCCTGTTGGCTCTGGAGCTGGCTAGGATATGAGAGAACAGAACCATCCCTTCCAGATCCAAGTCAGCAGCTGCATGGCTGGAGTAAGTGTGGAAGGGGTGAGGGAAAGGAGGAGGCAGTACATGTCAACTAGTGTGAAGAAAAAGCAAGAGACTTAAGCCTGCTGCCCCGACTTTGTCCCCTTTTTACAGGCATCTCCTGAGCCTGCTTCCATCTATGTATTAGCCTTTGTGGGCCTCTGCTCCCGATGAGGCTACTGGCAATGCTTATTCAATTACTGGGGTAAAACACTGAGTGGCCAAGACCCATACATCCCCAGGGATGGCTGTCTGGGTCACTGTACATGGGGCAACCTCCCAAGAAAATGGGCAGACATGTTTTGCACACCACATACTGACTCTCTGGGTCTGTGTGTCCTCAGTTCCTTCCAAAGAACCTGCACTTGGTCTGCGTGGACATGCCAGGACATGAGGGCACCACCCGCTCCTCCCTGGATGACCTGTCCATAGATGGGCAAGTTAAGAGGATACACCAGGTAAGCAGGAGGCTCTACCAAAGATTGCCCAGACTGTCTCAGCCACCATTACATGTCTGAGTCTGGAGAGCAGGGAAGGGAGTCCTGTGCTACCTCATGACCAGTCTCCTGTACATTCTGTCTACAAGTGATGGCAAGCCAAATGGCAACCTGATGATATCTCTGGTTGGCAATGGAGGGCCAGGGCTTATTACAGACTTAAGCCTATTGCAGTTGTTTGTAACGAAATACAATCTGAGCATTTTCTCAACTCTTTGAAAAGGGGTTTAGAATTTCTTAAAACCAATTCCCTTCCTAGGGATCTCTCTTTCTGCTCACCAGTTATATGATAACAGTAATAGCCCCTCTGCCTAGCTGGGGAGGGTGTTCTTCACATTATAACGTACTTTAGCATCTATTGCTAGCACCTATTTTAGAATCTATCTCTAGCCTTCTCTGGCTAAGCTTTCAAGATCATAGGAGTTTAAGAGCCATTTCAGAATGGGGTAGCCTGTAAGTTTCAGGTTGACCTTAAATATTTTCCCCCAAATGAGGATATTTAATATCTGCCTCCTCCATTAAACTGTTTTTTAAATTCGGTCAGGAACCTTGTCTTTTTAGCTCTTTGCTGTGTTTTCAGCATCTAATCATAGTTTCCTGTACATAATAGATATCCAATGAATATTTTTTAGAATGCTGGATAGTTGGGTGGATGGCTGATTGGATGATTGGATGGATAGATGGATGGATGGTTGGATGGATGGATGGTTGAATAGACAAATGGATGGGTAGTTATATGAATGGATGGTCAGATGGACGAGAAGAGCTTTAAATTAGCACAGGAGCCCTCAAACTACAGCCCATGAGCTATGTTTAGCTTGTACCTATTTTTGTAAACTAAATTTTACTGGAAAACAGCCACACTCACTCATTTATTTAATACATATTACCTTTGACTGCTTTTGTCTGCAACAGCAGAGTTGAATAGTTGCAACAGATCATATGGCTCTCAAAGCAGAAAATGTTTACTCTCTGGACCTTTATAGAAAACTTCATCAGCCTGGACAATATGGTGAAACCTCATCTCTACAAAAAAAAAAAAAAAAAAAAATCAGCCAGATGTGGTGGTGCATGCCTGTAGTTCTAGCTACTCGGGAGGCTGAGATGGGAGGATCACCTGAGCCCCAGAGGTTAGCCATGATCACGCCACTGCACTGCAGCCTGGGTGACAGAGTGAGACCCTGTCTCAGAAAAAAAGAAAAGTTTGCTGACTCATTAATTAGCAGAATCCCTGTTGATTTTATATTTATAAATGACCTCTCAATCTCTTGTGCCAGACAGAGAAGTCCATGCATGCCACAGGGCTCATCTTATAATGGATCCAGTAGAGTTTCAGACTCTTTAAACAGTAGTCATTTTCAGTTGTCCATAGGAAGTCCAGGGGGCTTCTATGCTGTAGTCACCATTGCCATTGTCTACAGCTGTATAACCAAGCTGCTTTCTCATTTCCCTTCCTAGTTTGTAGAATGCCTGAAGCTGAACAAAAAACCTTTCCACCTGGTAGGCACCTCCATGGGTGGCCAGGTGGCTGGGGTGTATGCTGCTTACTACCCATCGGATGTCTCCAGCCTGTGTCTCGTGTGTCCTGCTGGTAAGTTATGAAGCTGAAACATCCCTCGGCAGGGATGAATCCCTGAAGAAACAAGTAGCTAGTGTCTGCTATGACCGTTTTTTGGAATCATCTTTTTGATGTATGCTTGAGAGATATGCAGTGTTTTACTGATAACTCTAACCAACCAATAGTTATATAATCATAATCATAACCAGACTGATTTTGAAAATATAGAGCCAGCCTTGTTACACCAAGAATTTGAGGTGGGGCCAGGCACAGTGGCTCATGCCTGTAAACATTTAAAATTTAAAAAAAAAAAAAAGGAATGTTTGAGGTGGTTGATTAAAATGTATATAGTGCTTTGCAGCACATACTTTGAAATATAATGTTACTATTAACATCCAACATTTATCGGGCTCTTACGAGCTAAGCTCTTTATATGAATTTAATTCTTGCAGTAGCCCTGTGAGGTAAAGGTACTATAATTATGCCCCTCTCCTTTTTTGGTAAAAACTGAGAGATCTTTATTTATTATAATAAGATCTTAAAAAAAATCCAGCTTTAGTTTCTCTACTGTTATATGTACATATGTCAACGTGAAGTGTAACATGTTCTCCGATATTACCGTTTGAAGTTGGATTTTTAAATTTGTTTTTCTTCTATAAGTCTTTAGAGTTGTATTTATAATATATAATAGATAAAAATCATATTTTTTCTCTCCTCTATCTCCCCCTCTCTCTGTTTTTTTTTTTTTTTTTTTTTTTTGAGACAGTCTGTTGCTCAGACTGGAGTGCAGTGGTGCAATCATGGCTCACTGCAGCCTTGACTTCCCAGGTTCAAGCAATTCTTGTGCCTCAGCCACCCAAGTAGCTGAGATTACAGGTGTGTGCCACCATGCCCAGCTAATTTTTTGCATTTTCAGTAGAGGTGGAGTTTCGCAATGTTGGCTAGGCAAACTTGAATCCTGTTGGCTAGGATCCTGTTGGCCTGAGTCCCTTGAACTCCTGGCCTCAAGTGATCTGCCCGCCTCCACCTCCCAAAGTGCTGGGAATAGGCGTGAGCCACCGCACCCGGCCTCTCTCTCCCTCTCCCTTTGGTGCTTTATTGGGGTATCATTTACACATAGTAAATTGTCTAAATTTAAATGTGCATCTCAATGACTTTTTACGTATGCAGTTACCATGCAGGTCAAGATATTATGCCCATTTTATAAATGGGAACGTTGAGGCACAGAGAAATTACATTAGTGCCAAAACCACAGTAGGAACAGAGCCCAGGCTGCCTGACTCCAGAACCCAAGCTGTGATGTTTGGAAGTCCTTGCATATTTACTGCCTCCTTTTTATGACTCATATCTTCTACTTCCTCTGTATGATTCAACTAGAATCCAGCCATGAATTGAACATTTAATGACTTTTACTGAAACTTAACTAAATTGACCTTTAAAATCCTTCTGCCACTCTGAAAGCTAATCATTTTCGATATGTTGAGGACATTGAAATCGAAGAGAAGACACCAAAGGGTCTTCTCCTCTCTTTTTTCAAGTAGCATATCTGAAATAATTTGATCTTATAATAATAAGTTTGAGAATTGAAGGAACAGCATCTATGGAAGGTTTTTAGATTTTAAATCACTTACAGGAAGTAAAATCTAACTGGCTTTTTCAAGTATAGGTTCATTTGCTCAGAGAAAAAATTGACATCCGAATTTCAACTGGAAATTTAAAATTAAGTTTGTATGTGAAAACTAAAAAGTAGAAATAAATTCAGGATTATATCCTACCAAGAGTTTTAAAATAAACTTTCTAAAAATTTTGAAATAATTTTTAATTTACAGAAAAATTGCAGAGATATTATAGAGCGCCCCATATAACCTATACTCAGTTTCCCCATTAATAGCTCACATTACCACAGTAAATTTTTTCACAACTAAGAAACCAACATTAGTATATTACTGTTAACTAAATTCCAGGCTTTATTTGGATTTCATTTAGTTTTTCAACTCATGTCCTTTTTCTGTTCTGGGATCCAGTCCAGGATGTACCACATGACATCTAACCTAGGTTTAGTTTTAAAGAGAGGGGAAATAGATAATGTCATCTGCTTCATGGCATCGTGAAAGCCATACATCATACCCATGTTAGATTTAAAGGGTTTGCTGGACATAGATTTGCAAAGCGTGGGTTTCTGCATCACGACCAATATTATTGATGCTACTGCCTTTCATTATAAAATCTAGCTCTTTTCTAGATTTTGCTGGGTGAGGTAGCTCACACCTGTAATCCCAACACTTTGGGAGGCTAAGAGAGGAGGATTGCTTGAGGCCAGGAGTTCAAGACCAGCCTAAGGGAGACCCCATCTCTGCAAAAATATAAAATTAAAAAAAAATCTAACATTCACACATATGTTTATTGCAGCACTATTTACGATAGCAAAGACTTGGAACTAACCCAAATGCCCACCAATGATAAACTGGATAAAGAAAATGTGGCACATATACACCATGGAATACTATGCAGCCATAAAAAAGAATGATTTCATGTCCTTTGCAAGGACATGGATGAAGCTGGAAGCATCATTCTCAGCAAACTAACACAGGAACAGAAAACCAAACACCGCATGTTCTCACTCATAAGTGCGAGTTGAACAGTGAGAAGACATGGACACAGAAAGGGGAACATCACACACTGGGGCCTGTCAGAGGGTGGAGGTCACAGGGAGGGAGAGCATTAGGACAAATGCCGAATGCATGAGGGACTTAAAACCTAGATGACGGGTTGATAGGTGCAGCAAACCACCGTGGCACATGTATACCTATGTAACAAACCTGCACGTTCTGCCCATGTATCCCAGAACTTAAAGTAAAAAAAGAAAAAAAAATCTAATTATTTGGCTAAGCTAAATGCCTAGAAATTTGCTCCATGCTGGAAGTGAAAATTAGTTTTGCCCTCTTGCATACATAGCATCAGCTTCTGTGGACTCTCGTGTCGTGCCCTGAGGTGATGGGAGATAATGAGCAATCTCAATTTTGCTCTCCTAGAGGAAGAGCAACTGTGGAGAAGGCAGCAGGGTTGCTGCCCTAAAGCAAGGGACAGCTGGGAAGACTCCCAGTCCCCCTGTGTTTTATCATTGACCCCAAATAAGAGAGTACCACGTGGGTCCAGGCCAAGGGAAGGAGTGTCATTCATGCCAGCCCTATGTTTTCTTCCGGTCATGTATTTCCTCACATTTCCTGTCAACACTCAGATATGCTTAGGCAAGTTGTCTTCTAGGCTAACCCTCCTTAAATTCTATCATACATATGAATCCCCTGGCAACTTGTAAGAAGGCAAATTCTGGTTCAAGAGGCTCAGGGAGGAGCAGCGTCTGCATTTCTTGTGGGCTTTTGATGCTCCTGGTCCATGGACTACAGTGTGAGTGACCAGTCCCTGAAATATGTGGAAGGATTTTTTTGTGTGTTTCTCAGTGTGGTTTTGATTTGAGCAAGGATGGCAGTACCAACAAAAAAGAAATCTACTCATGAAATAAACCTGAAATATATTAACTCTGGGCTGCTGTCAGAAGTTCCCTATATAAAATGGGATTGGTAAGAAGGTGGATGTATCATCAAGCCATTTGGGTTTGAATCCCACAGGCCTGCAGTACTCAACTGACAATCAATTTGTACAACGGCTCAAAGAACTGCAGGGCTCTGCCGCCGTGGAGAAGATTCCCTTGATCCCGTCTACCCCAGAAGAGATGAGTGAAATGCTTCAGCTCTGCTCCTATGTCCGCTTCAAGGTGCCCCAGCAGGTAACGTGGTTGCAGCAGCGACACAACTACCCTCCCCAGAGGCCCGGGGGCGAGTACCAGCTTCCTGCACGTATTCCCTCCTTCACCTACTCATTGACTACTTCTTGTCCTCTTCTGCATATATTCAGCAAGTGTCTCTGCAGTGCCTGCAACACGCTGGGCACTGTGCTGGTACAGTGATCAATAAAGACAAGAAGGTCCCTGGGCAGACACAGTCCAGTGGGGGAGGCAGACAATAACAAGTAAACAATGAACTACCAGTGGTCATGAGTTTTATAGCAGAAATGAAGATGGTGTAGTGATTGAATACGGGGAGGCAGGGGTGGCTTTGATAAGCCTCTTCTAGGGACAGCATATGCAGAGGTGGAAAAACATACATATTCAAGACAAAGGAAGCCAGGGTAGCTGGAGCCCCAAGAATAAGAGAATGGTGAAGATGGAGTTAGAAAGGGAGGCAGGGGCTAAATCAGAGATACTCAATTGAAAAAAAAAAAATCTCAGGACCCCTTATACTCTTTTTTTTTTTTTTTTCCAGACAGAGTCTCACTCTGTCACCTAGGCTGGAGTGCAGTAGCATGATCTCGGCTCACTGCAACCTCTGCCTCCCAGGTTCAAGCGATTCTTCTGCCTCAGCCTCCTGAGTAGCTGGGATTATAGGTGTGCGCCACCACGCCTGGCTAATTTTTCATTTTTAGTAGAGATGGGGTTTCACCATGTTGGTCAGGCTGGTCTCGAACTCCTGACCCCGTGATCCGTCCACCTCAGCCTCCCAAAGTGCTGGGATTACAGGCTTGAGCCACCTCACCTGGCTAGGACCCCTTATCCTCTTTTTTATTTTTTAAATATACTTTAAGTTCTAGGGTGCATGTGCACAGATTGCAGGTTTCATACATAAGTATGCATGTGCCATGTTGGTTTGCTGCACCCATCAACTCACCATTCACGTTAGGTATTTCTCCTAATGCTATCCTTCCCCCAGCCCCCTACCCCCTGCCTGGTGTCCAAGTGTTCTAATTGTTCAGTTCCCACCTATGAGTGAGAACATGTGGTGTTTGGTTTTCTTTCCTTGTGATAGTTTGCTGAGAATGATGGTTTCCAGCTTCATCCATGTCCCTGTAAAGGACATGAACTCATCCTTTTTATGGCTGCGTAGTATTCCATGGTCTGTATGTGTCACATTTTCTTAATCCAGTCTACCATTGATAGACATTTGGGTTGGTTCCAAGTCTTTGCTGCTGTGAATAGTGCTGCAATAAACATACGTGTACATGTGTCTTTATAGTAGCATGATTTATAATTCTTAGGGTATATACCTAGTAATGGGATTGCTGGGTCAAATGGTATTTCTAGTTCTAGATCCTTGAGGAATCGCCACACTGTCTTCCACAATGGTTGAACTACTTTACACTCCCACCAACAGTGTAAAAGCGTTCCTATTTCTCCACATCCTCTCCAGCATCTGTTGTTTCCTGACTTTTTAATGATTGCCATTCTAACTGGTGTGAGATGGTATCTTATTGTGGTTTTGATTTGCATTTCTCTGATGACCAGTGATGATGAGCAGTTTTTCATGTGTCTGTTGGCTGCATAGATGTCTTCTTTTGAGAAGTGTCTGTTCATATCCTTTGCCCACTTTTTGATGGGGTTGTTTTTTTTTCTGATAAATTTGTTTGAGTTCTTTGTGGATTCTGGATATTAGCCCTTTGTCAGATGGGTAGATTGCAAAAATTTTCTCCCATTCTGTAGGTTGCCTGTTCACTCTGATGGCAGTTTCTTTTGCTGTGCAGAAGCTCTTTAGTTTAATTAGATCCCATTCGTCTATTTTGGCTTTTGTTGCCATTGCTTTTGGTGTTTTAGTCATGAAGTCCTTGCCCATGCCTGTTTCCTGTATGGTATTGCCTAGGTTTTCTTCTAGGGTTTTTATGGTTTTAGGTCTAACATTTAAGTCTTTAATCCATCTTGAATTAATTTTTGTATAAGGTGTAAGGAAAGGATCCAGTTTCAGCTTTCTACATATGGCTAGCCAGTTTTCCCAGCACCATTTGTTAAATAGGGAATCCTTTCCCATTTCTTGTTTTTGTCAGGTTTGTCAAAGATCAGATGGTTATAGATGTGTGGTGTTATTTCTGAGGCCTCTGTTCTGTTCCATTTGTCTATATATCTGTTTTTGTACCAGTACCATGCTGTTTTGATTACTGTAGCCTTGTAGTATAGTTTGAAGTCAGGTAGCTTGGTGCTTCCAGCTTTGTTCTTTTTGCTTAGAATTGTCTTGGCAATGCAGGCTCTTTTTTGGTTCCATATGAACTTTAAAGTAGTTTTTTTCCAATTCTGTGAAGAAAGTCATTGGTAGCTTGATGGGGATGGCATTGAATCTGTAAATTACCTTGGGCGGTATGGCCATTTTCATGATATTGACTCTTACTATCCATGAGCATGGAATGTTGTTCCATTTGTTAGCGTCCTCTTTTATTTCGTTGAGCAGTGGTTTGTAGTTCTCCTTGAAGAGGTCCTTCACATCCCTTGTAAGTTGGATTCCTAGGTATTTTATTCTCTTTGTAGCAATTGTGAATGGGAGTTCACTCATGATCTGGCTCTCTGTTTGTTATTGTTGTATAGGAATGCTTGTGATTTTTGCACATTGATTTTGTATCCTGAGACTTTGCTGAAGTTGCTTATCAGCTTAAGGAGATTCGGGGCTGAGACGATGGGATTTTCTAAATATACAATCATGTCATCTGTAAATGGACAATTTGACTTCCTCTTTTCCTAACTGAATATCCTTTATTTATTTCTCTTGCCTGATTGCACTGGGCAGAACTTCCAACACTATATTGAATAGGAGTGGTGAGAGAGGGCATCCTTGTCTTGTTCCAGTTTTCAAAGGGAATGCTTCCAGTTTTTGCCCATTCAGTATGATATTGGCTGTGGGTTTGTCATAAATAGCTCTTATTATTTTGAGATATATTCCATGAATACCTAGTTTATTGAGAGTTTTTAGCATGAAGGGGTGTTGAATTTTGTCAAAGGCCTTTTCTGCAACTATTGAGATAATCATGTGGTGTTTGTCATTCGTTCTATTTATGTGATGGATTACATTTATTGATTTGTGTATGTTGAACCAGCCTTACATCTCAGGGATGAAGCCGACTTGATCGTGGTGGATAAACTTTCTGCTGCTGGATTCGGTTTGCCAGTATTTTATTGAGGATTTTCACATCGATGTTCATCTGGAATATTGGTCTAAAATTCTCTTTTTTTGTTGTGTCTCTGCCAGGCTTTGGCATCAGGATGATGCAGGCCTCATAAAATGAGTTAGGGAGGATTCCCTCTTTATTGATTGGAATCGTTTCCAAAGGAATGGTACCAGCTCCTCTTTGTACCTCTGGTAGAATTCGCCTGTAAATCTGTCTGGTCCTGGACTTTTTTTGGTTGGTAAGCCATTAATTATTGCCTCAATTTCAGAGCCTGTTATTAGTCTATTCAGAGATTCAACTTCTTCCTGGTTTAGTCTTGGGAGGGTGTATGTGTCCAGGATTTATCCATTTCTTCTAGATTTTCTAGTTAATTTGCGTAGAGGTGTTTATAGTATTCTCTGATGGTAGTTTGTATTTCTGTGGGATTGGTGGTGATATCCCCTTTATCATTTTTTATTGTGTCTATTTGATTCTTCTCTCTTTTCTTCTTTATTAGTCTTGCCAGTGGTCTGTCAATTTTGTTGATCTTTTCAAAAAACCAGCTCCTGGATTCGTTGATTTTTTGAAGGGTTTTTTGTGTCTCTATCTCTTTCAGTTCTGTTCTGATCTTAGTTATTTCTTGCCTTCTGCTGGCTTTTGAATGTGTTTGCCCTTGCTTCTCTAGTTCTTTTAATTGTGATGTTAGGGTGTCAATTTTAGATCTTTCTTGCTTTCTCTTGTGGGCATTTAGTGCTATAAATTTCCCTCTACACACTGCTTTAAATGTGTCCCAGAGATCCTGGTACATTGTATCTTTGTTCTCATTGGTTTCAAAGAACATCTTTATTTCTGCCTTCATTTCGATATTTACCCAGTAGTCATTAAGGAACAGGTTGTTCAGTTTCCATGTAGTTGTGCAATTTTGAGTGAGTTTCTTAATCCTGAGCTCTAATTTGATCGCACTGTGGTCTGAGAGACAGTTTGTTGTGATTTCTGTTCTTTTACATTTGCTGAGGAGTGCTTTACTTCCAATTATGTGGTCAATTTTAGAATAAGTGTGATGTGGTGCTAAGAAGAATGTATATTCTGTTGATTTGGGGTGGAGAGTTATGTAGATGTCTATTAGGTCTGCTTGGTGCAGAGCTGAGTTCAAGTCCTGGATATCCTTGTTAACCTTCTGTCTCATTGATCTGTCTAGTATTGACAGTGGGGTGTTAAAGTCTCCCATTATTATTGTGTGGGAGTCTAAGTCTCTTTGTAGGTCTCTAAGAGCTTGCTTTATGAATCTGGGTGCTCCTGTATTGGGTGCATATATATTTAGGATAGTTAGCTCTTGTTGAATTGATCCCTTTACCATTATGTAATGGCCTTCTTTGTCTCTTTTGATCTTTGTTGGTTTAAAGTCTGTTTTATCAGAGACTAGGATTGCAACCCTGCTTTTTTTTTGCTTTCCGTTTGCTTAGTAGATCTTCCCCCATCCCTTTATTTTGAGCCTATGTGTGTCTCTGCATGTGAGATGGGTCTCCTGAATATAGCACACTGATGGGTCTTGTCCAATTTGCCAGTCTGTGTCTTTTAATTGGGGCATTTAGCCCATTTACATTTAAGGTTAATATTGTTATGTGTGAATTTGATCCTGTCATTATGATGTTAGCTGGTTATTTTGCCCATTATTGATGCAGTTTCTTCATAGTGTCAATGATCTTTACAATTTGGCATGTTTTTGCAGTGGCTCATACCGGTTGTTCCTTTCCATGTTTAGTGCTTCCTTCAGGAGCTCTTGTAAGACAGGCCTGGTGGTGACAGAATCTCTCAGCGTTTGCTTGTCTGTAAAGGATTTTATTTCTCCCTCACTTATGAAGCTTAGTTTGGCTGGATATGAAATTCTGGGTTGAAAATTCTTTTCTTTAAGAATGTTGAATATTAGCCCGCAGTCTCTTCTGGCTTGTAGGGTTTCTGCCAAGAGATCCGCTGTTAGTCTGATGGGCTTCCCTTTGTGGGTACCTGACCTTTCTCTCTGGCTGCCCTTAACACTTTTTCCTTCATTTCAACCTTGCTGAATCTGACAATTATGTGTCTTGGGGTTGCTATTCTCGAGTAGTATCTTTATGGTGTTCTGTGTATTTCCTGAATTTGAATGTTGGCCTGCCTTGCTAGGTTGGGGAAGTTCTCCTGGATAATATCCTGAAGAGTGTTTTCCAACTTGGTTCCATTCTTCCCATCATTTCCAGGTACATCAGTCAAACATAGATTTGGTATTTTCACATAGTCCCGTATTTCTTGGAAGCTTTTTTTGTTTCTTTTTACTTTTTTTTCTCTAACCTTGTCTTCTCACTTTATTTTATTAATTTTATCTTCAATCACGGATACCCTTTCTTTCACTTCATCAAATTGGCTATTGAAGCTTGTGCATGCATCATGAAGTTCTCGTGCCATGGTTTTCAGCTCCATCGGGTCATTTAAGGTCTTCTCTACACTGTTTATTCTAGTTAGCCATTTGTCTAACCTTTTTTCAAGGTTTTTAGCTTCCTTATAATGGGTTCAAACATGCTCCTTTAGCACGGAGAAGTTTGTTATTACTGACCTTCTGAAGCCTACTTCTGTCAGCTCAGCAAAGTCATTTTCCATCCAGCTTTGTTCCGTTGCTGGCGAGGAGCTGCAATCATTTGGAGGAGAAGAGGCGCTCTGGTTTTTAGAATTTTCAGCTTTTCTGCTCTGGTTTCTCCCCATCTTTGTGGTTGTATCTACCTTTGGTCTTTTATGTTGGTGACCTACAGATGGGATTTTGGTGTAGATGTCCTTTTTGTTAATGTTGATGCTATTCCTTTCTGTTTGTTAGTTTTCCTTATAACAATCAGGTCCCTCAGCTGCAGGTCTGTTGGAGTTTGCTGGAGGTCCGCTCCAGACCCTGTTTGCCTGGGTATCACCAGCGGAGTCTGCAGAACAGCAAATATTGCTGCCTGATCCTTCCTCTGGAAGCTTTGTCTCAGAGGGGCACCCGGCCGTATGAGGTGTCAATCAGCCCCTACTGGGAGGTGTCTCCCAGTTAGGCTACACGAGGGTCAGGGACCCACTTGAGGAGGCAGTCTGTCTGTCTCAGAGCTCAAATGCTGTGCTGGGAGAACAACTGCTCTCTTCAGCGCTGTCAGACAGGGACATTTAAGTCTGCAGAAATTGCCTGCTGCCTTTTGTTCAGCTAAGCCCTGCCCACACAGGTGGAGTCTAGAGGCTGCTGGCCTTGCTGAGCTGTGGTGGGCTTTGCCGAGTTCGAGCTTCCAGGCCACTTTGTTTACCTACTTAAGCCTCAGCAATGGCAGACGCCCCTCCCCCAGCCAGGCTGCCGCCTTGCAGTTCAATCTCAGACTGCTGTGCTAGCAGGGAGCAAGGCTCTGTGGGCCTGGGACCCACCGAGCCAGGCACGGGAGAGAATCTTCTTGTCTGCCAGTTGCTAAGACCTTGGGAAAAGTGCAGTATTTGGGCAGGAGTGTCCCAGTTTTCCAGGTACAGTCTGTCATGGCTTCCCTGGCTAGGAAAGGGAAATCCCCCGACCCCTTGCACTTCCCAGGTGAGGCGATGCCTGCCCTGCTTCAGCTCGCCCTCTGTGGGCTGCACCCACTGTCCAACCAGTCCCAGTGAGATGAACCAGGTACGTTAATTGGAAATGCAGAAATCACCCGCCTTCTGCGTTGATCACGCTGGATGCCGCAGACCGGAGCTGTTCCTATTCGGCCATCTTGGAACCTATCCTCGTTATACTCTTAAAAATTGTTGAGGAACCCAAAGGGTTTTTATTTATAGGGGTTATATTTATTATTAATGTTTACCATATTAGAAATTAAAACTCAGGCCGGGTGCGGTGGTTCATGCCTGTAATCCTAGCACTTTGGGAGGCCAAGATGGGAGGATTGCTTGAGACTAGGAGTTCAAGACCAGCCTGGTCAACGTAGCGAGACCCCATCTCTATTTAAATACAAATAAAAGAAAATAAATGAAAACTCAGAAGATTCCAAAATGCAATGAATGTACAAGCACTTATTCCAGTAGCCAAGAGCAAGGACATCATCCCACATTTTATAGGCTCTGAAAAACAGTGTACTTTTGAGAGAATGTAAGTGAAGAGGCAAGTAACATTGAGTATTAGGAAAGTAGTTTGACCTCCTAGACTCCCAAGAACCACTTTGAAAAATGCTGGACTAGATCCTGTAGGACCTTATAGGTACGGAAAGGAGCCAGGAGTTTTTCTAAGTATAATAGGACCACTGAGAGATTGTAGGAGAGCACAAATGGAACAGAGGAACCCATTTGGGAACTATTGTGCCTTGGAGATGATGGTGGTGTAGACTAGGATGGTAGCAATGGAGATGAGATTTGAGAAAGAATGGACAGGATGTACAGGCAAATTGGAAATGGGGGCTGGGGAAAGGGGAGGAGTCCCAGGTGACTTCCAGCACTTGAGGTCCTGGCTGGGCATGGTGGCTTGCACCTGTATTCCCAGCACTTTGGGAGGCCAAGGCGGGTGGATTGTGTAAATGCAGGAGTTCGAGACCAGCCTGGGCAACGTGGTGAAGCCCCATCTCTACAAAAAAAAATTTTTTTAATTAGCCAAGTGTGGTGGTGCGTGCCTGTAGATCCAGCTACTCGGGAGGCTGAGGTGAGAGGATCACCTGAGCCCAGGAGGCAGAGGCTGCAGTGAGCCAAGATCATGCCACTGCACTCCATCCTGGGCAACAGAGTGAGACCCTGTCTCAAAAAAACAACAACAAAAACAAAAACAGAGGTAGTATATTCTGAAGAGTAGAAGGGCAGGCTTGGGGAATATGCCAAGGACTCCATTTTTCATGTGTTAAGTTCAGGTTGCCTGTGAGGCCTCCAAGTGCAGAGGTCAAGGTGTAGCTGAGGGAAGTCTGGCCTGAAGCTGTACCACTGGAGCCATCAGCAGACGCTAATATTGAAGGTTATGGGACTGAATGAAGTCATCTAGGGAAATGGTGTGAAGAACCAAGAGAGGAGAGTCCATGGCTGAGGCTTCATAACCCCAAATTATCTCCCTCTGTTGTAGGAGCTGGACCCTGCCTGGAGGTGGGCAGGTCCTCCTAAGACTTGAGGGAATAGATCCCATTCAGAAGTTGTGAACATGGCTCAGTTAATAGATACGGCCTGTCCCTCAGGAAACACCCAGAATCTGATGCTGTGGCATGTTCCACCCCTGAAATCCCTTTTTAGCCATGAAGTAGCATTCCTTTCTCCCAGCACTGATCTCTTCCCAGAATAGAGTGGCCAAATGATGTTTTAGAAAACTCCATGTTTTGGGTTGTCAGGGATATGAAAACACCAAGAGAAAAATAAATGGCAGCTCCAAAAGTCTTTCCTTCCTAGGAGAGAAGGAGCACCTGCACACTCAGCCCACCATGTCATATTGTGTTGTGATTGCACGTCTGTGTCTTCCACTAGGGACTTTGTCTTAATTGGCTGTTCTATCCCCAGACTTTAGCACAGTGCTTGCATGAAGTAGGTCCTAGGTATAGATTGGATGGATTGATGGATGAGAGGATGCCTGGATAATGCAGGGATGGACAATGGATGGGTGGGTAGATGCAGGATAGATTTTTGCATGAATTGATTGATGTGCCAGTGCACAGATGATTTAGGTCTGCAGGATGGATAGATGGCTGAATGGTTGGATGGATGGATGGATGGGAGGATATCTGGTTAATGCAGAGATGGAGGTTGGATGGATTGATGAATACAGGATAGATAGGTAGACAAATGCATATGTGGTTCAGGATGGATGGCTGCATTGAGCAGAGGTGGAGGATGGATGGACACAAGATGAATAGATATGTGGGTACAGGTGGATAGCTGAACAAAGAAAATCTCTGATGCTGAGCACAATGTTGTTATTCAACAAATTGTCATTGTCCTCATGTCCAGGCTGAATGAGTTAGAGTCTAGTGATGCTCCAGAGGGTTGGTTTAGTCCATAGCAGCCATGGCTGGTTCTTCCCCACTTTCAGTCAGTGCACAGGACTCCTGAGAGAGTGTAATTAAAGGGTTCAGACCTGTTTGCAGGTAGAGGAGAGGAGTAGAGGAGTACAGCCACTAATGTGAACCCTGTACTCTACCTCAGGAGTCCTGAGGCAGGAGGAAGAGAAGAACTGTGTTCCTTCCAGCCACCACTACCTCTTTGGGTCAGTAGCCCAGGTCCAGAAGATGTGGCCTGTCCACATTGGCTGCAGCCCTCACCAGCCCTCAGCAGGGAAGGCAAAGACAGTGTCAAATGATAAACAAAGGGCTGTTGAACCCTCCCAGTGGGACTGTGGAACCCTCCCCAGAATCTTTTCAATAGTTTATTTCTTTGTTGTTTAATAGACCTATCATCCCCCAGTGGCTTAATTTTTTTAATGGAACTTGTTCTGCGTTTGGATATTACTGGCGAATTACTTGATATTATGGTCATCCTCATTATGTCTTTTTTTTTTTTTTGAGATAGAGTCTCACTGTCGCCCAGGTTGGAGTGCAGTGGCGCAATCTCAGCTCACTGCAACCTCCGCCTCCTGGGTTCAAGTGATTCTCCTGCCTCAGCCTCCCGAGTAGATGGGATTACAGGCCTGCACCATCACATCCTGCTAGTTTTTGTCTTTTTAGTAGAGATGGGGGTTTCACCATTTGGCCAGGCTGGTCTTGAACTCCTGGCCTCAAGTGATCTGCCCGCCTTGGCCTCCTGAAGTGCTGGGATTACAGGCATGAGCCACCATGCCCGGCCCATCCTGATTATGTCTTAAGTGAAGCAGAGAATCTCTCAAGCTAAAGTTGCTGTCAGGCCATCTCAGGTGTATTTAACATGCTGTAGGGCACCTCCAGTTTCACGATATTACCCAAGTTCCTTTATAATAATAATAATAATAAAAAGCTTCTTAGAAGCCTAACTCCCCATTAGACTGTGTGCTGCATCATGGGAATTCAGAGGACCAGGCTCTAAAGACCTTGACAGTGCAATAAATTGCTGGACCTCATTCCCATTCATTGTCCCAGAGCTGTGAGAGGCCTGAGGAAATGAATCTTCTCTTGCTCTCTAACTTTGGGTTATTTATCCTTAGATCCTGCAAGGCCTTGTCGATGTCCGCATCCCTCATAACAACTTCTACCGAAAGTGTAAGTAGCCCTACTTTCAGCTTGGAGCTTGTTACAAGTGAAGCTCTGTGGATGGATGGCTTTTATTTCTTAAATCTCTGACACTTTGAATGTCTCTTTGGGCCCCTGAAGAGAGGAAGTGGTGGCCTGGATCTGGTGACTATCCCTTGATTCTGCGGTGGTGCCACAGGCACAGTCCAGCACATACTCACTTTGTTTTCCTTTTCTGACAAGTGTTTTTGGAAATCGTCAGTGAGAAGTCCAGATACTCTCTCCATCAGAACATGGACAAGATCAAGGTTCCGACGCAGATCATCTGGGGGAAACAAGACCAGGTATGTAACACATCCCCGCGGCAGTCTGTGCTGGTCACCAGGGCCTCTGAGGAAAAACGTCCTTGAGGAAGAACAAGTGGTTATTTATGGAGTGAGCTGATCGCTGCTGTCAGGAAGAGGGGGAAGGCACCTGTGTTGGGTGCCAGTGTTGACAGTGGGCAGAGTTCTGGGAGTGGAGAGAAACAACATTTGGTCTGGTAAAAGGAAAGACAATTTTAAATCATTTTCAAAAATTGTTTTTATCAAAGCCATGTAGTCACATGGTATAAAAAGATCTTCAAAGAACACCAAAAGGTTTATAATGAAAACTTTTCTTTTTCGCATCCCAAATTCCATTCTCCATTACCATGAGGCAACTCTTATCTTACTATCTTGAATATATTTCTTTTCTTTTTTTCGTTTGAGACGGAGTCTTGCTCTGTCACCCAGGCTGGAGTGCAGTGGCCCAATCTTGGCTCACTGCAACTTCTGCCTCCCAGGTTCAAGCGATTCTCCTGCCTCAGCCTCCCAAGTAGCTGGGATTACAGGTGCCCTCCACCATGCTCACCTAATTTTTGTTTTTTGTTCTTTTGTTTTTTTTTTTTTAGACGAAGTCTTGCTCTGTTACCCAGGCTGGAGTGCAGTGGCACAATCTCGGCTCACTGCAAGCTCTGCCTCCTGGGTTCACGCCATTCTCCTGCCTCAGCCTCTCAAGTAGCTGGGACTACAGGCACCCGCCACCATGCCCAGCTAATTTTTTGTATTTTTAGTAGAGACGGGGTTTCACCATGTTAGCCAGGATGGTCTCGATCTCCTGACGTCATGATCTGCCGGCCTCAGCCTCCCAAAGTGTTGGGATTACAGGCGTGAGCCACCACACCTGGCAATTTTTGTATTTTTTTTAGTAGAGACGGGGTTTCACCATTTTGGCCAGGCTGGTCTTGAGCTCCTGACTTCAAGCAGTCCACCTTCCTTAGCCTCCCAAAGTGCTGGGATTACAAGCATGAGCCAACATGCTTGGCCTAAATTTTTTAAGCCAGAAGTTAGCAAATGTTTTCTGTAAAGGGCCAGATGGTAAACATTTTCAGCCTTGTGGTCCAGTCTCTGTCACACCTGGACACAGTTGAGTAACTGTGACCTTATAGTATAAAAGCAGCCATAGGCAATATGTAAACAAATGGCATGGCTTTTTCCAGTGAACCTTTATTTATAAAAACGGGCAGTGAGCCATTGTTTGCCTACTCCTATTCTAAGCACACGTATAGTGTATATATATGCATACCTATACATATCTGAGCTTTCAAACATGCTAGATACACTGGCATCTAAGATGCATGTTTGAAAGCTTAGATATATATAGGTGTGCATATAAGATATATAAGATCATATATGTGTGTGTGTGTGTGTGTGTGTGTGTGTGTATATATATATATATATGTATATGTATATATAAGTAGGTATCTTGGAAATCATTTTATATCAGCCCAAACAAATCTATTCCTTCTATTCTTAAAAAAATTTTATCTTGAAATAATTTCAAACTTACAGAAAATTTGAAAGAAGGCCAGGCATGGTGGCTTACGCCTATAATGCCAGCACTTTGGGAGGCTAAGGCAGGAGGATTGCTTGAGCCCAGGAGTTTGAGACCAACCTGGGCAGCATAGTGAGATCCCATCTCTATAAAAAATAAATTTTTAAAAAAGTAGCCAAGCATGGTGGTATGCATCTGTAGTCCCAGCTACTCTGGAGGGTGAGGCAGGAGGATCACTTGAGTCCAGGACATGGAGGTGGCAGTGAGCCGTGATTGCTTCACTGCACACCAGCCTGGGCCACAGGGCGGGATCCTATCTCAAAAAAATAAAAATAAAAAAGAATACAGAGTATACCTGCATACCCTTTACCTAAATGCATCAATTTTTAACTGGCAGGAGGTCACACTGTGGCCACAAAGACCCACAAGTGCATGAATGACCCAGGCAGGAGAGAGTGGGGAGGAGCAGCCAGGCTGTGCCCATGGCGTGTACGCAGAATAAGAGGCAATGGTGTCTTAGATGAGCCAGGCATGGTGAGGATTCACAGCATGGTTTTGTGGACGTGGAGAGAAGGGGATCTCATGTGCTCTCTTCTGCAGCGCCAAGGGACTGAAAGAAGCTTTGTTTGTGCCCTGGGCTATGCCAGCAGAGAGTCATTTGATCAGGAATCAGAGCCTGAGCAGCGAAGGCCTTCTGTTGTTCTAAAAACCCCAAAGGTGATTTGGGGCTCTCAGGAGCCAACAGGGAGAGGCTGTAACCCATCTTCCTGTGGAGACAGCGCAGAAGCAAGGGCACTGGCCTTGGATTCTGAAAGTCTATGTTCCAGCCCTACTTTTGTCCTTGGTCAGCCCATGCATGACCTTGAGCAAGTAACTCAGCCCCTCTAAATTAAGGGTTTCTGAAACTTCTAGTACCAGGGTTATTTTGAGGCTCAAATGAAATAATATGTATGAAAATGATCTTCCAGTTGCAAAAAAGTTAGGTTAGCTGGTATTAGATTAGACTGCTCATGTCCTTTGCCTCTGTTGGTGGCTTCAATGCATGGTCCAAATTTTTTTCCCAGACTCAGAAGTCCGTTTCATTCCAGAAAAAGAGCCTAACATTCTATGGGCTTGCTATAAATGTGATCAGATCCTTCATGTGTTTTGTGGACTGTCCCTGGGACAGAGGCCAAATAGCAGAGGCTTCAGGGAGTCTTTTATTTCACAGCCTTTTGCCTCCCAAGCTCGCTGGCTCTTTTCCTGCTCTGTCATCAACATTTGGTGTCACAGCACCTGCCCCTACCAGGCCAAATTCAGCTTCCTTCTTCTTTGGACCCCTGTAGGCTGACTGCTATACTGCACAGCTGCAGGGGGAGCCATGTGCATTGTCATTTTTGTGAATGATGGATTTGGTCTGTATACAACCTGTACACCCAAACATGGCAGCCCTTCCTGAGAGGGTTTCTGCATGCTTCATTTCAAGCATCGCTCCTCTATGTTCAGTCCATCAAAATGGGAGGGCCATCTAGAGACAGACAGGCTATTATTCTTTATGTCCCTTCTCCCTGCCAGCACCGTGCCTGGTATGCAGGAGACCCAGAGTACACAGTGAGTGAGCAAACAAGTGAGAAATTGAGTGAACAAACCAACTAGTGAAGGGATAAACCCACTGACTGACTACACATTTAAGCCAGTTAACAGGCATTTATTGAGCACCTAGTATGTGCCTAACACTGTATTAGGCCCTGAGGATACAGTAGGGACCAAGACAGCCAGGATCCCTGCCCTCCAGCAATTTATCGTCTACCTACCCTTATAGTGCATAACAGGCCCGAGACAAGGGTGAGATGAGAGAGATGTGTCATGCAGGTGCAGGGTCAGATCCTGTCTGTATTTATGATTTTGATATTTTGTTCATCATGTGCCTTTTTCCATTAATGTTTTTTTTAACATACTGCACTAAAATATTTTCTCTTAATTTATGAGTTTTTTGGCACTTAAATTTTGTGCCTTAGGCAAATGCCTCATTTGCCTCACCATAGTTTTAGCCCTGGTGTGAAGCAATGCAGGAAAAGGTTTTGATTTTTGTTTTTTGTTGGGCAGGGGGGTTGTTTGTTTGTTTGTTCTGAGACTGGTTCTTGCTCTGTCACCCAGGCTAGAATGCAGTGGCTCAATCATAGCTCACTGCAGCCTCAACCTCCTGAGCTCAAGCAATGCTCCCACCTCAGCCTCCCAGGCAGCTGGGACTACAGGCATGTGCCACCACACCCGGGTAATTTTTTATTTTTTTTATTTTTTTATTTTTTTTATTGATCATTCTTGGGTGTTTCTCACAGAGGGGGATTTGGCAGGGTCATAGGACAATAGTGGAGGGAAGGTCACCAGATAAACAAGTGAACAAAGGTCTCTGGTTTTCCTAGGCAGAGGACCCTGAGGCCTTCCGCAGTGTTTGTGTCCCTGGGTACTTGAGATTAGGGAGTGGTGATGACTCTTAACGAGCATGCTGCCTTCAGGCATCTGTTTAACAAAGCACATCTTGCACTGCCCTTAATCCATTTAACCCTGAGTGGACACAGCACATGTTTCAGAGAGCACAGGGTTGCGGGGTAAGGTCACAGATCAACAGGATCCCAAGGCAGAAGAATCTTTCTTAGTACAGAACAAAATGAAAAGTCTCCCATGTCTACCTCTTTCTACACAGACACGGCAACCATCCGATTTCTCAATCTTTTCCCCACCTTTCCCCCCTTTCTATTCCACAAAACCACCATTGTCATCATGGCCTATTCTCAATGAGCTGTTGGGCACACCTCCCAGACGGGGTGGTGGCTGGGCAGAGGGGCTCCTCACTTCCCAGTAGGGGCGGCCAGGCAGAGGCGCCCCTCACCACCCGGACAGGGCGGCTGGCCGGGTAGGGGGCTGACCCCCCCACCTCCCTCCCGGACGGGGTGGCTGGCCGGGCAGAGGGGCTCCTCACTTCCCAGTAGGGGCGGCCGGGCAGAGGCGCCCCTCACCTCCCGGACGAGGCGGCTGGCCGGGCGGGGGGCTGACCCCCCCACCTCCCTCCCGGACGGGGCGGCTGGCCGGGCGGGGGGCTGACATCCCCACCTCCCTCCCGGACGGGGCGGCTGGCCGGGCAGAGAGGCTCCTCACTTCCCAGTAGGGGCGGCCGGGCAGAGGCGCCCCTCACCTCCCGGACGGGGCGGCTGGCCGGGCGGGGGGCTGACCCCCCCACCTCCCTCCCGGACGGGGCGGCTGGCTGGGCAGAGGGGCTCCTCACTTCCCAGTAGGGGCGGCTGGGCAGAGGCGCCCCTCACCTCCCAGACGGGGCGGCTGGCCGGGCGGGGGGCTGACCCCCCCCACCTCCCTCCCGGACGGGGCGGCTGGCCTGGCGGGGGCTGACCCCCCACCTTCCTCCCGGATGGAGCGGCTGGCCGGGCAGAGGGGCTCCTCACTTCCCAGTAGGGGCGGCTGGGCAGAGGCGCCCCTCACCTACCGGATGGGGCGGCTGGCCGGGCGGGGGGCTGACCCCCCCACCTCCCTCCCGGACGGGGCGGCTGGCCTGGCAGGGGCTGACCCCCCACCTCCCTCCCGGACGGGTCGGCTGCCAGGCGGAGAGGCTCCTCACTTCCCAGACGGGGTGGCTGCCGGGCGGAGGGGCTCCTCACTTCTCAGACAGGGCGGTTGCCGGGCGGAGGGTCTCCTCCCTTCTCAGATGGGGCGGCTGGGCAGAGACGCTTCTCACCTCCCAGACGGGGTCGCGGCCGGGCAGAGGCGCTCCTCACATCCCAGACGGGCCGGCGGGGCAAAGGCGCTCTCCACATCTCAGACAATGGGCGGCCGGGCAGAGACGCTCCTCACTTCCTAGATGGGATGGCGGCCGGGAAGAGGCGCTCCTCACTTCCTAGATGGGATGGCGGCCGGGCAGAGACGCTCCTCACTTTCCAGACTGGGCAGCCAGGCAGAGGGGCTCCTCACATCCCAGACGATGGGCGGCCAGGCAGAGACGCTCCTCGCTTCCTAGATGGGGTGGCGGCCGGGCAGAGGCTGCACTCTGGGCACTTTGGGAGGCCAAGGCAGGCGGCTGGGAGGTGGAGGTTGTAGCGAGCCGAGATCACACCACTGCACTCCAGCCTGGGCACCATTGAGCACTGAGTGAACCAGACACCGTCTGCAATCCCGGCACCTCCGGAGGCCGAGGCTGGCGGATCACTCGCGGTTAGGAGCTGGAGACCAGCCTGGCCAACACAGTGAAACCCGTCTCCACCAAAAAAATACGAAAACCAGTCAGGCGTGGCAGTGTGCACCTGCAATCGCAGGCACTCGGCAGGCTGAGGCAGGAGAATCAGGCAGGGAGGTTGCAGTGAGCCGAGATGGCAGCAGTACAGTCCAGCTTCGGCTCGGCATCAGAGGGAGACCCTGGAAAGAGAGGGAGAGGGAGACCGTGGGGAGAGGGAGAGGGAGAGGGAGAGGGAGAGCAATTTTTTATTTTTTGTAGAGATGAGGTCTTACTATGTTGGCCAGGCTGGTCTCGAACTCCTGGGTTCAAGAGATCTTCCCACCTCGGCCTCCCAGAGTGCTGATATTATAGGTGTGAGCCACCACACCCAGCCCAGGAAAAGTTTTTGACCATTTATATGAATATTCTATCTAGGAAATCGCTGAAATGGTTCCCACAGATGTGCATATCTCATCAGGGGGTCGTTCAGTAGTTGCACATACCTCTGGGTGGCCATGGAGAATGATGGATTTGTAACGCTAACCAGCAAACAGTGCCAAAGCCAGCAGCTCATATGGGTATTTTTGCCTGTGAGTTGTGGTTTCTGATATCTCTCCAGGATAGACACTCAGTTTTGCCTGGGCATGATGGTGCGTACCTGTCATCCCAGCTACCTGGGGGGCACTGAGGTGGGAGGATCACTTGAGCCCGGGAGGTCAAGGCTGCAGTGAGCCATGATCGTGCCACTGCACTCCAGCCTGTGCAACAGAGCGAGACCCTGTCTCAAAAAAACAAAAAAAGACACTCAGTTGGGAGTTTCCACTTTTTCATGCTGTTTTCACCTATTGACTGCATCTGCGTTTCTTCTGAGTGTTTCCACAGTAGCTGGGTGTTATTCCTGCTCAGTGGGTTGCCGTGGCAGCCTTAGCTGTGAGTGAGTGACAAGGCAGAGGTTTCCATTTCCTTGGCTGGAATTAGCTGTTAAGCTCCCCATTAGCTGTTCCTTTTCCTGGTCCAGGGATGCCCTGCAGGACTCTTTTCCTTGACTGAGGCATCGTCTTACCTTAACTCCCCAGTGGGCAGAAAATCTTGGTTTTAATAATTTGAGTTGGTGAGAATAGAGCAAAGACACAGAAGGTGCTTGAGTTTGTTGGGGCTTTTGCTTTTGCCGTTAAGGATGGGGAGGAGGGGCCCTCTTGTCTAGGATGAATTGAAGGTAAAGGCAGCTAAGAGAAGGGGAGTGAATGCGGATCCACTTCTGAGGGAGGATGTTGGGGAAAAAGATGGAGGTGGATTGGCATAGTAGCTGGGAACCCAGAGGAAAAGGAGAGGAAATGAGTTGTTTGAAAAGGATCAGCCCTGGAAAAGTTCTGGCTTTCATGTTGGAAAAGCATTCCCCATATCTGCAGAGGTTAGAGCCAAGAAACACACAGCTCTGGGGATCCCCAGAGGACCTTCAAAGAGACCTCCAGCTGGGTGCGGTGGCTCAGGCCTGTAATCCTAGCACTTTGGGAGGCTGAGGCAGGTGGATCACCTGAGGTCAGGAGTTCGAGACCAGCCTGGCCAACGTGGTGAAACCCCATCTCTACTAGAAATACAAAAATTAGCTGGGCATGGTGGCGGGCACCTATAATCCCAGCTACTGGGGAGGCTGAGGCAGAAGATCACTTGAACCTGGGAGGCGGAGGTTGCAGTGAGTTGAGATCACGCCACTTCATTCCAGCCTGGGCGAAAGAGTGAAACTCCTTTTCAACAAATAAAGAGATACCCCCAGCTTGTGATAATTAGCCTTCCCCTCTTGCATCCTTCCTACAGCTTGGGCTGCCCTAACCAGCCACAGGGCCAGCCTGATCAAGTCACTCACCTTAACACAGCCTGTGGTTCCCCATGGTCCGTGTGGCTGTAGGAGCAGCGCCCTCCTCTCTGCCCCTTCTCCCCACCATGCCACCCCCACTGCCCATGTGCTTGGTGTCTCAGCCGCCGTGCTCCTTGGTGGCCCCTGCACTCGCCATGATCTCCCACCCTGTGCCATTCCCACATCCGTGAATGCTCCTCCCCTGTCCCCTTTCTGCTCTCCCGGGACTCAGGAACGAGGTCTTCCCTCGACCCTGCTCATCCCCTGTGCTCTCTGACTTCCCCACCATACCATAACCTCCTCAAGGGCAAGGAACGTTTGTTTTCTACCTCAGTATTGCTGACATCAGCCCAACTCCTGGCACAGAGTTGCAGAATAAAACAGGAGGCATCATGGTTACTTCCATTCAGACAGCCACAAGCCCCAACACCAAAGGGACTTGGTCCTAAAATTCACATCCTCCTGCCCCACTGACCCCTGCCAGGCCTTGGTGGAAGTTCTGTCCACAGAGTGCACACGTGGGTGTCTGAATCTTTGTGTATCATCCAGCTCCCTTTCTTGCCCAGCAGGTGCTGGATGTGTCTGGGGCAGACATGTTGGCCAAGTCAATTGCCAACTGCCAGGTGGAGCTTCTGGAAAACTGTGGGCACTCAGTAGTGATGGAAAGACCCAGGAAGACAGCCAAGCTCATAATCGACTTTTTAGCTTCTGTGCACAACACAGACAACAACAAGAAGCTGGACTGAGGCCCCGACTGCAGCCTGCATTCTGCACACAGCATCTGCTCCCATCCCCCAAGTCTGACGCAGCCACCACTCTCAGGGATCCTGCCCCAAATGCGGTCGGAGCGCCAGTGACCCTGAGGAAGCCCGTCCCTTATCCCTGGTATCCACGGTTCCCCAGAGCTTTGGGGACCACGCGAAAACCTCCAAGATATTTTTCACAAAATAGAAACTCATATGGAACAAAATAAGAAACCCCAGCCATGAAATCTACCATGAAGTCTTCAAGTTCATGTCACTGAGAAGCTTGTGCAAAGCAGCCACCTTGGACCATAATTAAATCAAGGACATTTTCTTTGAGACATTCCTTATAGTTGGAGACTCAAGATATTTTTGTTGCATCAGGTGTATTCCCTTGCATGGGCAGTGGCTTTTATAGGAGCATTAGTCCTCATTCGCTGAACCCTGTTGTTTAGGTCTAATTTAAGTTTTACATAGAGACCCATGTATGACTGCAGCCCATTGGCTGCAAGACCAGGGAGGAAAGTGGCAAGCTGTAGAAAATGTTTACACGCATGGAGGGGCATTGCTCTAGCCCTCAGAGCGTCCGGAGCAGCAGGGTACATGGGTGGGAGGTTCATTCAGCACCCACCAGTCAGGTATGTTCTGAGTGAACCCACAGCAGTCGCAGAATGAGCACCTGGCAGGGTGGGTTTCCTAGGAATAATTTATTATTTTTAAAAATAGGCCTAATAAAGCAATAATGTTCTAGACATCTGTCTAAGTAATCAGACTCAGGTTCCACACACAAGCAACAACTCGTGGGCCTCTTTTCTATTTCAATGTGCTACTAAGAACCCTTGGATGTAACATACTAGTTAGTTAATGAATTCTGTGAATTCTGTGAAGAGTAATGTGATTGAAAATAAGTCTAAACAGCTGTAAAAGTGACCACAATGACATGAAATAAATTTAATAAGTCTAGATCAGCAACATGCAGGTGGTTTCTATTTCTGAACTCCTAATTAGGTGCAATGTTGGCAGATTTTCTGTTAACTTTAAAATGTGTTTTTTAAAATAAGGCTTGTTTAACAGGCTTTGGAAGTCTTTGCATGGATGATTTATTAGGTTTAAGGAATCATGTTTGCAATTTTTATCCAGTTGAAATTGTATATCAAAGGCCAGGTGCAGTGGCTCATGCCTGTAATCCCAGCACTTGAGAAGGCCGAGGTGGGTCGATTGCTTGAGGCCAGGAGTTCAAGACCAACCTGGCCAACATGGCAAAATCTTATCTCTACTAAAAATGCAAAAATTATCTGGGCGTGGTGGGACACACCTGTAATCCCAGCTACCTGGGAGCCTGAGGCATGAGAATCGCTTGAACCCGGGAGGCGGAGGTTACAGTGAGCCGAGATTGTGCCATTGCACTCCAGCCTGGGCAATAAGCGCAAAAATCCATCTCAAAATAATATAATAATAATTCACTGGAAATTGTATATCAAAAAAGGCAAGAGTCATCAAAATATTCTTTTTGACTCTTTCTGTAGGATTTAGGAGCCCTAAACTCCCCAGGAGCTTCACTCTTTCCAATTTTTTTTTTACAGAAAATCTACAGCCAAGTCATTCTGGGAATAAAGTGAGATAAACTTTACAGTTTAAATCTGAATTCAGGACTGTGTTTGAATATTTCAGTTTACCAGAGAAGAATGGAACTTAGAGCTTAAAAACAAGAAGAAGATATGAAAATATGACATCAAGCTGGGCTGCAGCTAAAGCAGTGCCTCAGAGGGAAATTCATAGGCTTCAATACGTATATTAGAAGGGAAGAGGCTAGGTGGAGTAGCTCACACCTGTAGTTTCAACACCTTGGGAGGCCAAGGCGGGAGGACTGCTTGAGCCCAGGAGTTTGAGACCAGCCTGGGCAACATGGCAAGACCCCATCTCTTATATAAAAAGAAAAAAGGAAAGAAAAATCAATAAATTAAGCTTCTAGCTCAAGAAATGAGAAAATAAATAGTATCAAAGCCAGAGCAAATTAGAGGGAAGAAACACAGACAAAAACAAAAATCAATGAAGTAGAAAAGAAAGTAGATATTAGACATTTTATTTGTTCCAATTTCCTATATTCACCAAGAATTCTGAGCATAGTGGGAGAGGGGTTCAGTGTTGGTGGGCCTAGGTGATGAGAGATGGTTTCCTCAGGATCAATGAGGAAGCCCCAGACCTGGGATAAGTACCTCAGATCAGAAACCGTACAGGATACAGGAACTCTTATGCTCTGGGTTGAATACCAGCTAAAGATGACATCAAAAGCAGTCCCTGAACTGTGCCCACCATGGGGTCATTCAGGCGGGGTGTGTGCCATCCATCCGAACCCAGGACAGTAGGCAGGTTCTGCATCTGGACACAGCTTCCATCTCCTCTGCTGTCACCAGAAAGCACTGACTACAAGTTGTGAGCAGAGAGTATGAAAGAGTCATTTTGAACTATAAGGTGGGTTTTCAGGTTCTCGCTTGGTGCTGCAATTCTGGGTGCACTCGGAAGACCCTTGTGCCTCACTTCCTGCCTCTGTGACTATAGCGAGCCTGCTGGTTACTGCCAGCTCTGAGTCCCCCTTGCCACACACCCCCTGGGCTCTATGGTGTGTGCCTTTGATGACAGTCGGGAAGAAGAAAGTACTCATTCATCACAGCACCCCCTGAAAGACTGCCAGGAACTTCTGAAATAACAATGGATAGCCCCAGGAATCACAGCTGCAGCTGGTCTCTCGATCTCACTGCCTGGAGTTGGGGCCTTCAGGGCCGCTGTGGGCAGACCCTCCTGGTCAGGTGTTGAAGAAGGACAAGCAGTGGTGAGAACTCAGTTTGCAGTCAGTCTGGGCTCCTTGTCCTGGACAGAGGTAACACTAGGAGTGAGTGATGTAACAAATGCATCAAACTGATGAGACTGCCTGTGTAAGCCTGTATCTTCCATTTGAGCCCCAGTGAGTATTCTTGTTGCTTTGCCCAGAGGAAATTCTCAGAACGTATGTTAGGCCAGGCTGGAGGACTAAACTATGTGCCAGGGGCTATTCTAAGTGTTTTCACGCAGCCCTGTACATATGACACTGTGCCAGTTTTTCAGCAGAGGTACCGAGGCATGGAGTGGTATTTTGTCCAAGGTCACACAGCTTATGAGGAGAGGGAAGCCTCTCGGTATATAACTAAAGGTAATGGTAACACGTGAAAACAATGCTTTTACCTGTTCAGGCAGGAGCTGTCCCACATACCTTACCAATCCACCTGGGGCTCCATTGGCTCACCCAGACCAGGCCAGTGTGTGGCAGCTTCAGCCGTAGATTGCTGGGGCCACCCTTCCTGGCTTGAGCCCCCATTGAAGAAGGTCACCCGGTTGTTCATTCATCATAGTTAAGGACTTCCAACTGCCCAGCCTCCTGCTGGACAGGAAACAGAACCCACCTGAATTCCGACATCATTCTGCTAAGGACATATCCAGGGACAGCTTGCCCTCTCCACTCCAGCCTCTTTAACAACCAGGACTGGTGTGTCATCTACTTTGGAAGGGCTCGTTCACCTTGCTGATATCCTCTCCCTGCCCCCATACTCTGGATATGAGTGTTGTTTGTTCCCAACAATATTCTCCTTTGGGAGAAGTCTCGGCTCAGTCTCATTGCCTCTCTGGGGTCTGGCATGGAAAGCAGTCAAGAGATGTGGCCTGGCCAGGTGCAGTGGCTCACGCCTGTAATCCCAGAATTTTGGGAGGCTGAGGCGGCTGGATCACCTGCAGTCAGGAGTTTAAGACCAGTCTGGCCAACATGGCAAAACCCCTTCTTTACTAAAAATACAAAAAGTTTGCCAGGCATGTTGGTGCACACCTGTAGTCCCAACTACTCAGGAGGCTGAGGCACAAGAATTGCTTGAACCCGGGAGGTGGAGGTTGCAGTGAGCCAAGATTGCGCCACTGCACTCCAGCCTGGGCAGCACAGCAAGACTCTGTCTCAAAAAAAAAAAAAAAAAAAAAAGAAAAACAAATGTGACTGCTCCTAGCTGCTGCTTCAGAAGCCAGCCCTGAAGCTCTGCTGGGGTCTGCCCAGGCATCTTTTAAAGGGATTGCTTACTGGCCAGGGGCTATACCTGCCTTCAAACACATTTTGGGTCTAATATTTATAATAAATGCTGAATGTAGGCCCCCTTATTTACTTTCCAAGCCCTGGATATTGTTCTTAGGACCATGGGTTGCTTAGGTAACTACCACCGTTCTAAAATGGTGGCTGCAGATTTTAACACGTGCAGGCCCCAGCCTTCTGCTTTGGAGGAGCCATCACCTTTCAGCTCTTCCAGCATCACCCTTCAACCACAGACTGGACCTTCTCATCAGCCTTTTCTCCCTCCCCAACCCCAAACTGGGTGCTGTTCTTGCAATTTCTCCATTTCCTGAAAGGAGACAAAAAAGTAGAGGGTTTTTTTTAGAGGGACGGGGCTGGTCACAGATAGGGCAGTGGAGATATCCTCAAATTACCTGCCAGGTGACAGTCCTGGGGCTGGCTCTTCTGGTGTCCCCAGCTGCCGCAGGGCTCTGGGGCCCAGTATTTGCTCCCTGGGGCTGGTACCAACCAGGGTGTGGACTTGGGGTTGCCTGTGCTGGCAGTGGGAGGAGAGTCTTGTGACCATCATCAGCCTAGTCTGGCAGAGGGACAGAGGGAGAGGACAGGTGACTGCTCGGGTCTCCTTTCAGCAACAGGACAGTCCCTCTCTCTTGGCTCCTGGAGGAACCTTCCCTTCATTGGTTTCTGGATCTTAGGGTCTTTAAATCCTCAAGGCAATGAACAGGCATCTGAGGCCATACCAGGAGCTGCAGCAGGGGGTGGAAGAAGGAAGAGTTCGTAGGGGCAGTAAGGGGGTAACAATTCCAATGACCAAAGGCCAAAGCTGGCTGGGTCGGGGGCAGGTGACTTCCTGAAGGACAACTGGAAAGGTGGCTGCCAAGACAACCCCTCCCCAAAGCTCTCAGGCCAGACGTGATTTGAATTCAGAAGCGTTTCGACCTGGAAAGGTATCACAGTGTGTATACCATGTATCATGTGATGCCCTCTGCAGGGTCTGGGGCCACCACACATGGTCAAATAAATGCATTTGTATTTCTGCCATGCAATGTATGTGTAGCCACAGTAAGTGGGACAAAAGCTGTAAGCCTCACCTTAGTTCAGATTAAGCATTGGCGCTGGATGAAGATACTTGGTTTCCAGTTGTTTTTTTTTTTTAGGATTTCAGATAAGGGATGGGAGCCTGCTTTCTAGGTCCGGCTCTCCTGCCTTGGGGGTGGGCTGAGGAGGCATTTTTTTCTTCCAGCATGGAAGGCGCAGCATATAGATAGGTCCATAGATCCCTCTTGTGCCTAACTATGTAAGTAGCAGGTCCTGATTTTTATTTAATAATTATTAGTGTTACCAAAATGATGCTCTGTCACTTTAAAAGAAATCAAACAAAAAGATTGCTTAAAAAAGGAGAGTCTCCTACACCCTCTGCACAGCCCCACCCTTCCCCCATCAGTCAGTCCATTGGGGTTTCTGTGCATTTGCACACATACATACGGGTAAGCAGTGTAAAACTGGTTGGCTTTGTGGATTTTTTTTTTATAACACAATTGGGGCTATGCTAGACATTACTGTTGCCCACTCCTCCTGCTCTTTTCCCTGGAGCTCTTCTAGGTCCAAACCCACAGAGCCCTCAGGTTCCTATAACAGGGATGCAGAGTCCTCCAGAGAAAACGGGGTACAAATCTCTTTGTAAGGACCTCTTTGAACCCCCAGGAGAAGGTCTCTGAATTTGAAGAAAGGATTTAAGGCCCCTCCAGAAACGGGCTGCTTTATTACAGGGTCGTTATCCCCTCCCCAAAATCTCCCTTCCTGGGGCCCTGGAGCCATTTTTTTAGGAGGGAGATTTCTAAGATCACTTCCAAGGAAAGTTTCCTCCGTCATTTAAATACAGTTCAGAAATGCTGGGTGAGACAAAGTTAAACAGCATGGCTCCAGCTATAACCCCCAGACAAGCAGGGGAATGACTGAAGGAGAAAAGATGTCCTCCAGTAGCTGCTGGCAGAGGGGTGGGTGCTGGGGCAGGGGACCAGGCTGTCTTGCTGTTCCCTGGGTGATGGGGGTGGTTTTGATGGTCTAGGAAAGGGCTTTTAGTCTTTTTTACCATTGTCTGGTGCACTGCCCCCAGAGTTCCTGCCCGAAACGGGTGTGCTTATGTCCTTCCCAGGTCCCCTTTACTGACTGCTGCATCCACCCCCCACCTGCTGGGTTGGCTGCCCAGTTGAGCCACCCTCAGATGACTGGAGGTGCCTGCGAAGCTATACCTTTTCTCCTCTTATGTCCAAGTGTTGCCAGATAAAATACAGGATGCCCAGTTAAATGTTAATTTCAGATAAACAACAAATACATTTTTAGTATAAAGATGTCCCACTCATTGTTTATCTGAAACTCAAATTTAACTGGGAATTCTGTATTTTTGCTTGTTTTTGCAGAGAAAAAACAAACAAGATAGGTGTGGTCCACAGCTCCCTCTTGTGCCTAACTACGTAAGTAGCAGGTCCTGATTTTTTATTTAATAATTATTAGTGTTACCAAAATGATGCTGTCACTTTAAAAGAAATCAAACAGCCGGGCACGGTGGCTCACACCTGATCCCAGCACTTTGGGAGGCCGAGGCAGGCAGATCATCTGAGGTCGGGAGTTAAAGACCAGCCTGACCAACATGGAGAAACCCTGTCTCTACTAAAAATGCAAAATTAGGCCAGGCGCAGTGGCTCACTCCTGTAATCCCAGCACTTTGGGAGGCCGAGGCAGGCAGGTCATCTGAGGTTGGGAGTTAAAGACCAGCCTGACCAACATGGAGAAACCCTGTCTCTACTAAAAATGCAAAATTAGCCAGGCGTGGTGGCGCATGCCTGTAATCCCAGCTACTCTGGAGGCTGAGGCAGGAGAATTGCTTGAACCCAGGAGGTGGAGGTGGAGGTGAGCAGAGATCGGGCCATTGCACTCCAGTCTGGGCAACAAGAGCGAAACTCCGACTCAAACAAAACAAAACAAAACGAAAAACAAAAAACAAATTAGCCCCGTGTGATGGTGCATGCCTGTAATCCCAGTTACTTGGGAGGCTGAGGCAGGAGAATAGCTTGAACCTGGGAGACAGAAGTTGCAGTGAGCTGAGATTGTGCCATTGCACTCCAGCCTGGGCAACAAGAACAAAACTCTGTCTCAAAAAAAAAAATCAAACAAAAAGATTGCTGAAAAAATGAAAGTCTCTTACACCCTCTGCACAGCCCCACCCTTCCCCCATCAGTCAGTCCACTGGGATTTCTGTGCATTTGCACACATACATACGGGTAAGAACTCCTGGGTTCAAGCAATCCTCCTGCCTCAGCCTCCAAAAGCACTGTGATTACAGACATGAGCCGCCGTGCCTGGCCTATCCTATATTTTTATTTGCTAAATCTGGCAACCCTATAGGTAGCAGCCAATGACACCTATAGAAGGCTTGGCCCCCTTGCCTCAAAGCCTAGAAGCTTCCTTAGTATCATTTATGCTCCAGGACTCCCCATGGGATCCAGCTGAGGCTAGACTCAGCTGAATCTGTTACTGAAACACCAAGTGTTGCTTCTAGGTCCTGCTGCTCACCAAAGAGAAAGCTAATCACTGAAACAATGAATATTGCCAGGGAAGAAGGCTTTCTTTGAGAGCTGCTGCTGTGGACATGGGAGATCAGTCTCAAATCCATCTCCCTGACTGACTAAAATTAGGAGTTTATACAGCAGAAATATAACAAATGCAGGAAAACAGGAATCAGGGAAGGATAAGGAAGGGGAGTTGGTCAACAGAAAGCAGGTCGTGGGAGACAGGCAGTCATGAAGGGTGAAGGGTCTGGACTGTCATTGTCCAAATGCAGTGATCTGGTGAGTTTCAGCTCCTTGATACTACCTGGGAAGCCTCATGGTTGGTTTACTGAGAAAGGAACTCAGATAAGACAAATGTAACTTCTCAAATTTTAAGATGAGAAGGTCAATCTCTACATATACTCAAAAGAAACCGTAAGCATCAGTTCTGTGGGATGATTGGACCGGTTTCAAATCCACATCTTTGCTTGGCTTCTTCTCCTGCCCTATCTTGCTTCCCTCCTCCCTTACAGATTTCACTTGGGGGCCATCTCCCAGTAAATCACTTCCGTGAGGGTCTCTCTCTCAGGCTTGGCTTCTAGGGATTCTAAAGCACTGCCTGCTTTTCAGAGTTTCTTGTTTGGAGATGACGCTTGAGTTGATGACACTTGAGTTGCCTCAAAGGAGCAGCTCCCAGACTGGTCTTCCACATGGGAGGGATGGAATGCAGCTTTTTAGGCTCTGGAGCCTCTCACCACCTTAGATAAATGACTTAGCTTCATTTTCTTCATCTGTGAAAAGTGGTAATTATAGTGACATTGCATGGTTGATGGAATAATGTGAGCAAGTTAGCTGGTACTTGGCAAATCTCCCTAAACTATGTGATCTTATTCTCGAAACAGAAACAATGGCTACAGTTCCATAGGTTTTAACTTCTGATCATTTTCACTTCCTTTGTCCTATCTCCACAATCTGCTGACATAGGGGGTGTTTTCCATTAAATCAATGGAGAACAGGGGGACTGGAATCTCACTTGGACCCTTCTCTCTTGCCTTTTCTTCCCCAAGTTGAGAAAGCTCCTCAGCTTTAGAAAAATCCATTTGGCACCAATAAGTAAGGCAGGGAGGGGAGCCACACAGCAGAGGGGAAGTGTGGACTTAACTCATTCTTGGCTGCCGTACCTTTCAGGGACATAAAATAGAGACCGACCCCAACAACTTTGCTCTGAAACACAGAGGGTACCTGAAATGGTCCTCTTAAGAACTAACTGGCTCCACCCAATGCAGTACAGGGTAACTTTCATAAAGACTGAGGCAGCTAACCTGGGCAACATAGCAAGATCCCCTCTCTAAAAATAAAAATCAAAAAAATTAGCCAGGTGTGGTGACACATGCCTGTAGTCCCAGCTCCTCTGGAGGCTGAGGCAGGAGGATCACTTGAGCCCAGGAGTTTGAGGCTGCAGTGACCTATGTTTGCACCACTGTACTCCAGCCTGGACCACAGAGTAAGACCCTGTCTCCAAAAAAAAAAAGAAAAAAAGACTGAGGCAGCCTTGTGTGTTTTGATTTGGAGCAATTTTAGATACATCGTCAAGAGGTAAAAGCCCCCATATCATATTTTTCAGGGGACACTTAAGAAACTCATACTAGTTGTTGCTCCTGGAGAGGGGAGAGGCTGACAGGGGAAGAGGTGGAAGGGAGACTCACTTTTTAATATCTATCCCTTTATGTCATTTGAAATGTATGCTGTAAGCCTACAGTACCTATTCAGAAGATAAAATTTAGGCATGGTGCAGTGCCTCACACCTGTAATCCCAGCATTTTGGGAGGCCAACGCAGAAGGATCGCTTGAGCCTAGGAGTTCAAGACCAGCCTGAGCAACATGGTGAGACCCTGTTTCTACAAAAAAATTAAAAATTAGCTGGCCATGGTGGCATGCACCTGTAGTCCCAGCTACTTGGGAGGCTGGGGTGGGAGGATCGGTTGAGCCTGGGAGGTTGAGGCTACAGTGACCCATGATCACATTATTGTACTACAGTCTGGGTGACAGTGAGACACTGTCCAAAAACGATTTTTTAATATAAAATTTAGTTGAAAAACAAAAGTTTTTTTTTGTTTTTTGTTTTGTTTTGTTTGTTGGCAGAGTCTCGCTCTGTCATCTCGGCTAGAGTGCAGTGGCGTGATCTCAGCTTACTGCAACCTCTGCCTCCTGGGTTCAAGCAATTCTCCTGCCTCAGCCTCCCGAGTAGCTGGGATTACAGGTGCGCACCATCACACCCAGCTAATTTTTGTATTTTTAGTAGAGACAGGGTTTCGCCATGTTGGCCAGGCTGGTCTTGAACTCCTGACCTCAGGTGTTCTGCCCACCTCGGCCTCCTAAAGTGCTGGATTACAGGCCTGAGCCACAACACCCAGCCAAAAAACAAGTTTTTTGTCTTTATCATTCAAAGGCATCTCTTTTATCCTCCGCTCTGAATTAATAAGACAGCATGAGAGAATTCAGGCAACTGGGAAGACACTTCATTTTCAGGGTTTGTTGCAGCAGGGTGAAAATTATCTATTGTTCCTTGAAGTTCAAAATACAGGAATTGCTCTGGTTTTCCTGGGCCACCTGGCAGGATACATTTGCCAGGCAGCTGGCTTACAGGAACCCTCTCCCATTACTGAGGGTTTCCTGGGGTGCCAGACACTTTATACCATCAACTCTTTTTCCCTCAACTCTGTGAGGTAGATGCTAATAATCTCTCCATGTGACAGATGAGGGAGGTAGGTAAGTGGCAGAGGATGCATTTGAAGCAAGTTCTGGCAGCTTCTGAAATCAAGCTTTTTTGAGAAAGATAATACTTGGGTCTGTGGGGTCTGTGTTTGCTTTCTCCACCTCTTCCCACATCTGGAACAAGCCCTGTCTCCTCTGAAGGAAGAAGAAAGTAGGAACCACAGAACTGGAGAGCATGGCCAAGGTTGAGGACTGAAGCTTCTGGAAACAACACAGTGGGATTTTGAGAAAATAATTGAGGAAGGAGATCCCCGCTGACTCAACTGTCCTGTGCAAGGCAACCCTTTGCCCCCCAACCCAAGCAAAACCAGCACATCCATTTATGAACAAATGCCTTCAGTAAATAGATGTTGGGTCACCATTGGGTACCAGGAACTGGGATGCAGTGGTGAGAAACACAGACAAGGCCCCATCCTCATGGGGGTTACACTAAAGTTTCCCTTCCCACTGCAGCCCCTCAATTGGTGGTAATACAGTGCAGTATGGAGAGCACTGGCTAGAATCAGACAGCCCATGCCACTGCTTATAACTGTGATCTTGAGCAAATAACTTAGCCTCTCTGTGCCTCAGTTTCTTTTCCTGTTGCCAGGCTAGAGTGCAGTGGTGTGATCTCGGCTTACTGCAACCTCTACCTCCCAGGTTCAAGCAATTCTCCTGCTTCAGCCTCCCGAGTAACTGGGATTACAGGTGTGCACCACCGTGCCCAGCTAATTTTTGTATTTTCAGTAGAGATGGGGGTCTCACCATGCTGGCCAGGCTGGTCTCGAATTCCTGGCCTCAAGTGATCTGCCCGCCTCAGCCTCCCAAAGTGCTGGAATTACAGGCATGAGCCACTGCGCCTGGCCTGTGCCTCAGTTTCTACCTCTAAAATGGTGATGATCATAGTAATAGCCATCTCAGGATTGTGTGAGGGTTCCATGAGATGACATATGTAAAATATTTTGCATAGTGCCTAGCACAAAGTAAGTCTTTACTTTGTGGGTCTTTCCAGGACGGCCTAGATAGAACACCTACTATGTGCTGGGAGTCACAAGGGACACTGAGAGTGGGTCCTATCTTTGGGGAGTGCTTGACATAGGAGATCTTGAGGAGAGGAGATGCTAGATATAATTTTGTAGGCTGGGCGCGGTGGCTCACGTCTGTAATCCCAACACTTTGGGAGGCGAGGTGGGTGGATTGCCTGAAGTCAGGAGTTTGAGACCTGCTTGGCTAACATAGTGAAACCCTGTCTCTACTAAAAATACAAAAATTAGGCCAGGCGCGGTGGCTCACGCCTGTAATCCCAACACTTTGGGAGGCCGAGGTGGACAGATCACGAGGTCAAGAGATTGAGACCATGCTGGCCAACATGGTGAAACCTCGTCTCGACTAAAAATACAAAAATTAGCTGGGCATGGTGGTGCATGCCTGTAGTCCCAGCTACTTGGGAGGCTGAGGCAGAAGAATCACTTGAAGGGAGGCGGAGGGTGCAGTGAGCCAAGATGGCGCCACTGCACTCCAGCCTGGGCGACAGAGCGAGACTCCATCTCAATAAATAAATTATAATATAATGAAAAAAATGTGTAGAATGACTCGGGCGCAGTTGCTCACGTCTGTAATCCCAGCACTTTGGGAGGCCAAGGTGGGCAGATCACTTGAGGCGAGGAGTTCGAGACCAGCCTGGCCAACATGGTGAAACCCCGTCTCTACTAAAAATACAAAAATTAGCCAGGCATGGTGGAGCATACCTGTAGTCCTAGCTACTCAGGAGGCTGAGGTGGGAGAATCGCTTGAGCCCTGGAGGCGGAGGTAGCAGTAAGCCAGATCGCGCCAGTGCACTCCAGCCTGGGCGACAGAGTGAAACTGTCTCAAAAAAACAACGAAAAAATTGTTGAATGAATGAATGAATGCATGAAGAAATGGATAACTATGAAGCACCGTCCAAGGCGGAAAAAACCCGCCCTAAACCGCACCCCAAGCAAATTGCACACACGGCTTTCCCGGAGTGGACACCAGAGGGCGCTGAGCTCGGCCGCTCTCAGCTCCGGATCAGGATTCGCGCCTGGGTCCTTAGGACGACGCCGCGTGGTGACGTCATATCCGCCTGGGCGTCACGCTTCGTGGGGCGGGACGAGGAGAAGCCAAACGTAAAGACACCAGGAGTTTCTCGGGCCCAGCTGTGGCTGCTGCCGGGGAGCCCCAAGCCTTGGCGGGTCCTTGCGGCGAATAGGAGTCTGGTCAGGCGTCAGGCTAGTCCGACGAAGAGTGGGTAGGTGGAAGCCTTCCAAAGAGCGGCGGTTGTCTGGGAGCCGTCTCAGTTGGCCGCGACCCGGGCGCATGCGCGGGGCGGGCGGTGCGCCTTGGGTAGCTTGTCCTCTCCGACCCCGGGCGCTGAGGGCCTCTGTACGGCGCCGCGTAGGGTCTCGGCCGCAGAACGTGGCCGAGAGGCCCGGGCGAGACTTCGGGACCGTGTCCTGAGCGCTCTCCATGCGCCCGGCGCGAGGTGAGCGCTAAATAGTGGTTGTTGAAAAATATTGAAAGCCACCCAAGTGCTCAGCAGTAAGGATATTGAGCTTTTTAAAGTGATTGATTTAGTCCAAAAATTGTACGTCGCACGCCCACTGTGCACGACCCAGTGTTTTAGGGCCTTGGGAAACAGCAGTGAACAAGATAGCAAGATTCTTGGAGTGGACTTTTGTTGGGGTGGGGAGGGGAAGTACAGATAAAGATAAACGAGTTACATAATTGTCATAGAAAAAGGCAAATGCTACGAAGAAGAAAGCAGGGACGGGGCATGGGGGTGGGGTGCGGTGTTAGCCGAGAAGGGCACTGGGCCAACCCGATTGAGATTTGA
The DNA here is from genome assembly GCF_000001405.40 of Homo sapiens. Lineage (NCBI taxonomy): Eukaryota > Metazoa > Chordata > Mammalia > Primates > Hominidae > Homo > Homo sapiens. The sequence goes on from NC_000003.12 coordinate 58,307,003, forward strand.
GCTAAGCCAGGAAGGGGGCAAGGGTGTGAGTCCGGTGGCTGCCTGGAGGAAGATCTTTCCCAGCATGGGGAAAAGCTAGAGCCGAGGCCCAGCGGTGGGAGCGAGACTGGCGCGTGAGAAAGAGCTAGGCTAGGCCTGTGTGGTGGCGGGGATTGAGCGGAGGGAGAATGGCAGGACATGAAGTCAGAGGTGTAGAGGGAGCAGTCCTGCAGGTGAGGCAGAGCCTTGCAGGCTGCTCTAAGGACTTTGGCCTTACTCTGGATAAAACGGGAACCATAGCAAGATTTTGAGCAGAGGAATGATGTAGCTTGAGTAGATGTTAATAGACTCACTGGCCGCCGTAGGGATGGAGAAGCGGGGGAGTAGGGAGAATCAGATTTATTACTAATAGGTCAGATTAGGAGCATCCCTGCGCAGCCACTAAAAAAGGCTGACTCTAGGCCGGGCGCGGTGGCTCATGCCTGTAATCCCAGCACTTTGAGGGGGCCGAGGTCGGCGGATCACTTGACGCCAGGAGTTCGAGACCAGCCTGGGCCAACATGGCGAAACCCCATTTGTACTAAAAATACAAAAGTTAGCTGGGCGTGATGACGTACGCCTGTAATCCCAGCTACTCAGGAGACTGAGGAGCGAGAATTGCTTCGACCCAAAGCACTCCAGCCTGGGCGACAGAGTGAGACTCCATCTCAAAACAAACAACAAGACTGACTTTAAAGATGACGATGACAGTAACTTCGTGAGCCCACATCTGTGGAGAGCCTGGTGAATATATTTAATACCAGTCTGTACAAAATAATTTCCCAGGTATCCTCTCCTTTAATGTCAGAACAGCCTGCAGAGGGCAGTGCTGTCATTTGTAAGTCTTTTTTTTTTTTTTTAATTGCAAAAAATACGTGACATAAAATTTATCGTAAGTAGCATTGAGTACATTCACAACGCTGTGCAGCCATCACCACTGTCCATCTCGTGAATGTTGTGTAAGTCTTCGTTTTACTGGCATCTAAGCCCTGGGTCTAATTTCACTCCCCTATTTTAGGCAGCCAGCTCCATCAAGGCAGTAACACTAAAAAACATTTATGTGCCAAGCAATGAAAGAAACAGATGAGGTTTCTTGTTCTCCCTGCCCTTCTAGTTAGGGGAGACTCTAGTGACTGGGAAAGAAGCATCAGGTAACTATTTCCGCTGTCCTGAAACCAAGGATTCTTTTGAATATATAGGCCTATACCACTATCACTTTTCTCTCATTTGAATACCTACTTTGTGTCATAGTATTACAGTATTTTTTGTTTGTTTGTTTTGGAGACAGGGTCATGCTCTGTCACCCAGGCTGGAGTGCAGTGGTACAATCACAGTGCACTGTATCCTTAACCTCCCAGACTCAAGCTATCCTCCCACCTCAGCCCCTGGAGTAGCTGGGACTACAGGCACACACTACCATGCCTGGTTAATTTAAGTTTTTTTGTTTTTTTTTTTAGTGACAGGGTCTCACTATGTTTCCCAGGCTGGTCTCAAACTCCTGGCCTCCCAAACTGTTGAGATTACAGGCATGAGCACCACGCCAGGCCCCAAAGTATTAATGTTTGTTGAATGGATTGGTAGATGTAGCTCCTTGACCCTGACTTCTTTTCTCCAGAGGTCATCATCTGGGAGTGGTTGGAACTGGGTCTAACCCAGAGTGGTTTTGAAATGCTGGTCCATAGCTCTGTGACCTTGGATAAGTCCCTTTCCTTGATTGGGCCTCAGTTTCCTGTTCCCTGTAGTGGGGGATCCATATATTAAACAAATAGACAGTGTTAAGAGATTGCATAACATGGGGGCTTAACTTAGAGAAGGGTGTCAGAGAAGACCTTCATGAAGAGGTGGTATTTAAACTGAAAGTTGAAGGATGAATAGGACCTATCCAGAGGGAGAGCAAGGTTGGCATGGAGCCAAGGAAAGGAACTGTCTACAGAGAGATGAGCATGTTCTACGTTCTTGAAAGTTCAGACCTTTTAGAAGCTGCATTGAGTGCCCCTTCCAGGAATCCCTCTTCTCAACCCCTGTGCTGTTTAAGCTCAGTTGTTCACAGATAGTCTTGCACAGACCTGGCTTTTGGACTGAGAGCAGGCAGACACAGGATGGGAGGAGACGGCAGAACGACCATCCCTCATTCTTCTCTTTGTGTTCTGTGTTGACTGAGAGTAAACAAGAAGAGGACCTTCAAATCTTAGATTTTACTCCTTTATGTCTTTTCTTTTTCTTTGGATAAAGAGGCATCGTAACTGGTCTTGAGTGGGCTCAGAGTGGTTGGAATCTCTGGGCACCCTTGGGCAGATGTTACCTACGTTTACTAAACCTCTGTGTCATCTTCTCGAAAATGGGAATAATAATACCTCTTACCTCAGGAGCATTTTGAAGACAAGCTAAGGCATGTGAAATGTTTAGCAAAGAGCTGGGTGCTCATAAGGAAAATTGTTAGCCAAAATTATGTTGTTATGTTTTAAGTAAGAGTACAGTGATTTGACATTTATAGAATATAGAAACTTATTTTGTATTCGTATGGGTAACCTTAGTTTGATCAGAATTAGATGAGTTACTGTGCTCAGAAGTCTTAAAAACCAAACAGGAGGCCAGGCACAGTGGCTCACACCTGTAATACCGGCACTCTGGGAGGCCGAGGCAGGCGTATCACGAGGTCAGGAGTTCGAGACCAGCCTGACCAATATGGTGAAACCCTGTCTCTACTAAAAATACAAAAAAGGTAGCCGGGCGTGGTAGCACATTCCTATAATCCCAGCTACTCGGGAGGCTGAGGCAGGAGAATTGCTTGAATCCGCGAGGCAGAGGTTGCAGTGAGCCAAGATTGTGCCACTGCACTCCAGCCTGGGCGACAGAGCAAGACTCCTTCTCCAAAAAAAAAATAATAATAACAGGAAGGCCGGGCCTGGTGGCTCACACTTGTAATCCCAGCACTTTGGGAGGCTGAGTTGGGCAAATTGCTTGAGCCCAGGAGTTTGAAACCAGCCTGGGCAACATGGTGAAACCCTGTCTCTACAAAAAATACAAAAATCTGCTGGATGTGGTGGCACGTGCCTATACTCCCAGCTACTCAGGAGTCTGAGGCAGGAGGATCACCTGAGCCTCGAGAGCCAGAGGTGGAGGCTGCAGTGAACTCTGATTGTACCACTGCACTTCAGCCTAGGTGACAGGGTGAGACCCTGCCTTAAAACAAACAAACAAAAAAAACCCAAATAGGCCAAATTCTCATCAAAACTCTGAAAAATAGCATGTGCATTGGTCATTTCTAGCCCTCTTGACTTACTGTAGGTGTGATCAGCACTGGAAAAGATGCCTGCCCCTGCTGCCACATATGAAAGAGTAGTTTACAAAAACCCTTCCGAGTACCACTACATGAAAGTCTGCCTGTAAGTTTAGTTTCCTAAGTTCTATTTTAGATTACTTTTCTAACATGAATCTGAATAGAATGAAATTTAATATGACTTTTTTTTTTTTCACTTTTTTTAGAGAATTTCAAGATTGTGGAGTTGGACTGAATGCTGCACAGTTCAAACAGCTGCTTATTTCGGCTGTGAAGGACCTGTTTGGGGAGGTATGGAATCACTTGGTAGATTGAACATTCCAAAGATCTTTGTAAGAAATACAGAAAGAGGCCGGGCGCGGTAGCTCACGCCTGTAATCCCAGCACTTTGGAGGCCGAGGTGGGCAGATCATGAGGTCAAGAGATCGAGACCATCCTGGCCAACATGGTGAAACCCCATCTGTACTAAAACTGCAAAGATAAGCTGGGTGTGGTGGCAGGCACCTGTAATCCCAGCTACTCGGGAGGCTGAGGCAGGATAATTGCTTGAACCCGGGAGGCAGAGGTTGCAGTGAGCCGAGATAACGCCACTGCACTCCAGCCTGGCAACAGAGCGAGACTCTGTCACAAAAAAAAAAATCGAGAAAGAATGCTTTTCAAACATCAAAAAAAAAAAAAAAATAAATTATACAACTCTGTATTTTTAAATTTTTATTCATTTATTGTAATAAACACATTTGTATTCCTTTTTTTCCTCCTTCATCCTCTCTACCCTCCTACCCTTCCCAGCCTCTGATAATCACCAATCTACTTTCTATCCTCATGAAATCTACTTTTTGTTGTTGTTGTTGTTGTTGTTGTTGTTTTTCTTTGAGATGGAGTCTTGCTTTGTTGCCCAGGCTGGAGTGCAATGGCACATTCTTGGCTCACTGCAGCCTCTGCCTCCCAGATTCAAGGGATCTTCCTGCCTTAGCCCCCCTGGTAGCTGAGATTACAGGCACACGCTACCATGCCCAACTAATTTTTGTATTTTTACTAGAGACAGGGTTTCGTCATGTTGGCCAGGCTGGTCTTGAACTCCTGACCTCAGGTGATCCACGCGCCTTGGGCTCCCAAAGTGCTGGATTACAGGCACGAGCCACTGTGCCTGGCAAGATCTGCTTTTTTAGCTCTCACATATGAGTGAGAACATGCAACAGTTGTCTTTCTGTGCCTGGCTGGCTTCACTTAACAAAATGGCCTCCAGTTCTATTCATGATGCTGCAAATGACAGAATTTCATTCTTTTTTATGGCTGAATAATATTCCATTGTAATATATACCACTTTTTTTTTTTTATCCATTGATGGGCACTTAAGTTCTACATTTTGCCTATTGGGAATACAATAAATATGAGAGTGCATATGTCCTTTTTTTTTTTTTTCCCCACCTTGGCTTCCCAAAGTGCTGGGATGACAGCATGAGCCACTATGCCCAGCTGCACATGTCTTTTTGAATTGATTTCCTTTCTCTTGGATTTATGCTCAGTAGTAGACTTGCTGGATTAAATGGTATTCTATTTTTAGTTTAGTTTCTTTTGTTTTTTGTTTTTGAGATGAAGTCTTGCCGTGATGCCCAGGGTGGAGTGCAGTGGCATGGTCATGGCTCACTACAGCCTCAACCTCCCAAGCTCAAGTGATTCTCCCACCTCAGTATCCCGAGTAGCTGGGACCACAGGCGTGTGCCACCACGCCAATTTTTTTACTTGTAGAGGCAAGGTCTCACTATGTTGCCCAGGCTCCTGGACTCAAGCAATCCTCCTGCCTTGGCCTCCCAAAGCACTGGGATTACAGACATGAGCCACTGCACCTGACCTATTTTTAGTTTTTTGGGAAACCTCCATACTGCTCTCCACAGTGGTTGTACATTTACATTCCTCCCAGTAGTGTGTGAGGGTTCCCCTAGAGATTATTTTATTTTATTTTTATTTATTTATTTTTTGAGACAGAGTCTCGCTCTGTCACCCAGGCTGGAGTGCAGTGGCACAACCTCCGCACCCCCCCCCGCCCCTCCCGGATTCAAGTGATTCTCCTGCCTCAGCCTCCCGAGTAGCTGAGACTACAGGTACCTGCCACCACGCCCAGCTAATTTTTGTATTCCCCTAGAGATTATTTTAAAACTGTGTTTGAAATTGCAGAAGTAAACTTTCAGAAGTGATGAATTTTGTTGGGTTTATTCTAATATGCCTTCTGTTTGACAAGGAACACGTTAGACAAATGATTGTTGTAGCACAGTGCTACTCAAAGTGTGGCCTAGACTGGCACCTGCAAACTCTTTTCCCATCTTGAAGAGATAAGGAATTTGCAGCAGAACCACTTTTAATGAGAAAGTCTCCTTATGGGCCAGGCGCAGTGGCTCACTCCTATAATCCCAGCTCTTCGGGAGGCTGAGATGAGCAGATCACTTACAGTCAGGAGTTTGAGACTAGCCTGGCCAACGTGGTGAAACGCTTTCTCTACTGAAAATACAAAAATTAGCTGGGCATGGTGGCGCACGCTTGTAGTCCCAGCTACTTGGAAGACTGAGGCAGGAGAATTGCTTGAACCTGGGAGGCAGAGGTTGCAGTGAGCAGAGATCACGCCACTGCATTCCAGCCTGGGCAACAGAGCAAGACTCTGTCTCAAAAAAAAAAAAAAAAAAAAGGGCTGGGCACGGTAGCTCACGCCTGTAATCCTAGCACTTTGGGAGGCCAAGGCAGGCAGATCCCAAGGTCAGCCGATCAAGACCATCCTGGCTAACACGGTGAAACCCTGTCTCTACTAAAAACACAAAAAGCCGGGCGCAGCGGCGGGCACCTGTAGTCCCAGCTACTCGGGAGGCTGAGGCAGGAGAATGGCATGAACCCGGGAGGTGGAGCTTGCAGTGAGCCGAGATCACGCCACTGCACTCCAGCCTGGGCGACAGAGCGAGACTCGGTCTCAAAAAAAAGGCTCCTCATGAAAAAAAGATGAACTGAACTAAACATGGTGATTAATGATACTATTGGTTTATATTCTGATTCAACTCATTATTTTGTCATAGACCAGCATTTTAAGCAACTTTGAGAACAGAAGTAGAGAAGTAGAGTTTCAGAAGTTGAAAGAAGACAGGATGCTCAGGAAATTATTTTGTGATTCATATAGTCTGTCAAATCAAAATATGCTAAGTACCTCATCAAAATTTAAAACTTTTACTCTGCAAAAGACTCTTAAGAGGATGAAAGGGCCAGGTGCAGTGGCTCACAGCTGTAATCCCACCACTTTTGAGAGGCCAAGCGGGTGGATCACTTGAGCCCAGGAGTTCCAGGCCAGCCTGGGTATCTGGTGAAACCCCATCTCTACAAAACAATTTGAAAAATTGAGCTGGGTGTGGTGGTGTGCACTGATAGTCCCAACTAGTCAGGAGGCTGAGGTGGGAGGATTGCTTGAGCCCAAGAGCTCAAGGTTGCAATGAGTGGTGATCACACCTCCATGGCTGGGGGTAGGGGTGGGAAAGGATGAAAAGATGAATTACACACTGGGGGAAAATATTTGTAAACCACGTATCCAACAAAGGACTATAGTGTCTAGAATATATAAATGACATTTGGCCTGGTGCAGTGGCTCATGCCCGTAATCCCAACACTTTGGGAAGCCAGGGCAGGAAGATTGCTTGAGGCCAGGAGTTTGAGGCTGGCTGTGGTAAACTATGATTGCACTACTGCACTGCAGCCTGGTCAACAGAACAAGACCATGTCTCAAAAATAATAACACATGGGGCGTGGTGGCTCATGCCTGTAATCCCAGCACTTTGGGAGGCCGAGGTGGGTTGATTGCCTGAGGTCAGGAGTTTGAGACCATCCTGGCCAACATGGCAAAACCCTGTCTCTGCTAAAGCTATAAAAACTAGCCGGGCGTGGTGGCACATGCCTGTAACCCCAGCTACTCGGGAGGTTAAGGCAGGAGAACCACTTGAACCTGGGAGGCGGAGGTTGCAGTGAGCTGAGATCACACCACTGCACTCCAGCCAGGGTGACAGAGAGAGACTCTGTCTCAAAAAAATAATAGTAATAATAATAAAAAAGAAGTATCAGAACTCAACCAAACAATTCAATTAGAAAATGGGCAAAAACATTAACAGACATTTTGCTAAAGAGAATGTGTGGTTGGCAAAGAAGCACATGGAAAGATGTTTAACATTAGCCATTAGGGAAATGCACATTAATGACACAATGAGATACCACTGTGTACCTAGCAGAATGACTGAAATAAAAAATGACAACACTAAGTGCTAGCAAGAATGCAAAGAAACTAGATCACTCATACACTACAGTGAGTATGTAAAATGGTGCAGCCACTCTGGAACATAGTTTGGCAGTATTTTTTTTTTTTTTTTTTTTTTTTTGTTGAGATGGAGTCTCGTTCTGTCACCGGGCTGGAGTGCAGTGGCACAATCTTGGCTCACTGCAACCTCCGCCTCCCAGGTTCAGGCGATTCTCCTGTCTCAGCCTCCCAAGTAGCTAGGACTACAGGCACACACCACCACACCCAGCTAATTTTTTTGTATTTTTAGTGGAGACGGGGTTTCACCATGTTGACCAGGATGGTCTCAATCTCTTGACCTTGTGATCCGCCTGCCTTGGCCTCCCAAAGTGCTGGGATTACAGGTGTGAGCCACCATGCCTGGCCAGCAGTATCTTTAACAAACTAAACGTGCATCTGCCATAGAACCCAGCATTAGCACTCCTGGGCATCTGTTCCAGAGGACTGAAAACTTAAGTTCACACAAAAGCCTGTACATGAATATTCATAGCAGCTTTATTTTTAATAACAATGAAACTGAAAACACCCCATATATCCTTCAATGGGTGAATAAACTGTGGTACATTCCTACTATGGAATATACTCGACAGTGAAAAGGAATGACCTATTTAGACACAATATGAATGAATCTCCAGAGAATTATGCTGAGCGAAAAAAAGCCAATCCCAAAACATGACATACTGGGTGTTTCCATTTATAGAAGACTCTTGAAATACTATATATAATCTGGAGAAAGGTTAGTGGTTGCTGGGGTGAGGAGTAGGGGAGGAGGGGTGGGTGTGGCTGTAAAGGGTAGAATAAGGGAGTCTTATGATGGTACAGTTCTTTATCATTGATTGTGGTGGTAGTTATATGAAGCTACCTATGTGGGAAAATTACATAGAGCCACACACAGGTATAAATAGGAGTAGACATACAATTGGTAAAATCTGAATAACCTCTGGTTTGTACCAATACCAGTTTTGTAGTTTTGCTACTGTACTGTAGTTACGCAAGACATTGACATTGTGGGAGGCTGGATGAAGAGTGCATGAACCTCCCTGTACATTTCTTTTTTATTTATTTATTTATTTTTGAAACAGAGTTTCGCTCTTCTTGCCCAGGCTGGAGTGCAATGGCACGATCTTGGCTCACCGCACCCTCCGCCTCCCAGGTTCAAGCGATTCTCCTGCCTCAGCCTCGCAAGTAGCTGGGATTACAGGCATGTGCCACCACACCCGGCTAATTTTGTATTTTTAGTAAAAATGGGGTTTCTCCGTGTTGATCAGGCTGGTCTCAAACTCCCAACCTCAGGTGATCCGCCCTCCTTGGCCTCCCAAAGTGCCGGGATTACAGGCGTGAGCCACTGTGCCCGGCCAATCCCTGTACATTTCTTTGTGATCTCTTGTGAGTCTATAATTTTTTTAAATACAAAATTTTAAAAAAAAATATCCCTGTGTGTACCTGTGTGTCAGGTAGAAAACCTCGTTCCTGGGGTTTATATAGCTGCAAACAAACAGACATGGCCTCTGCCACATGGACTAATGTCTTGGTTCTTGTAGTAGGAAAACATGTTGGACAATTAGTGACAAGAATAAAGGGAATTATGAAAGAGAAAGTATGGTGTCCTGTACAAGAAAGAACATAGCAAGCTGACTTTGTCTCATCTTGAAGATCAGTCAAGGAACAATTTAAATGAAGGCTCAAAGGATGAGAGACATCAGCCATATGAAGAGGTGTAGGCAGAACATTCTAGGCAGGGGGAGCTGTAAGTAGGCAACTAAAGTGCCAGCACCATTAAATAAAATACTGCTTATGTGGAGGAGAAAAGCTCAAAACTCATTTGTTGTCAAAAGTTGACAAGCATTCAAGAATAATGGTGAGAATAGCCTGCTAATAGCATTATTCCATATGCAGGTTGATGCCGCCTTACCTTTGGACATCCTAACCTATGAAGAGAAGACCTTGTCAGCCATCTTGAGAATATGTAGCAGGTATGACAGAGAGTGGGAAATTTCTAGTATAACAGGGCAGAGAGACCGATGGAGCAAAAATGCTCTCTTCTGAGAATGAGAATAAATTTTTTGTTGTGAACTCTGAGCAGCTTTTGGGAATTTAAACTGGGATGAATATGAACATTCATCCACCAGAAACTTGTACTCTAGAGAGGGCAAAACTTACGATTTGGTTACAGCTGTAGTTTTCCCATTGATGGTTATAGTTGCAAAGTCAGAAGTGAATATTTTAGAAACCTTAGTTGAAGTTCATTTTGTTCTCTGTCTATGACACACTATGTATTTTCTTGATCTTTCTGCAGTGGTCTTGTCAAATTGTGGAGCTCTTTGACCCTGTTAGGATCCTATAAAGGCAAAAAATGTGCTTTCCGGGTGATTCAGGTAAAGACTATTCCCTCACATATTCCAAACAAGACTGAGTGATGGGTCAACTGCTTCTTAATATACACAACTCATTTTTGTGCTTGCATAAATGTAATATGGTTAAAATGATCTAAGTAGGGGAAAATAAAGGACTTGATTGTTTCCAAAAATGTGAGACAGAGCACTTAGATTTTAAAATCTATGGGAGATGTTTTGGGATAAAACTTGCAACCCTGTGGTTAAGGCTTACTTTTTTTATTTAACACTTAATGCCTTGTGTGTTATATATTGGTACGCTCTTTTTGAGATGTGACCACTTGTTATCGAAGGCTTCCTCTCAGGATGCTCTGTAAAATGCTCCTGCATCAGCTTTGTTTATCCTGTAAAACTGGGCATGTTTCCCCATTGCCCTGTGCTTCAGTGTGGTTTCTCCCAATGCCTTAACCTTTTTCTTTCTCTTCTAGGTTTCTCCATTTCTTCTTGCATTATCTGGTAATAGTAGGGAACTAGTATTGGATTGAATGAATAGTCTTCCATTTTGGAAACGTTCATCCACTCTCATATTTATTTTTTGGTGCCTGCATGTTTGAAGACTGAAGCAGGCTAAAAGCTCTTGATGAAATTTGAGGGTGCTGAAGATGTTCCCACTAATTTCCAGCCATCACCTTTGGTGGGGTGGGCTTCGGAGGACAGTCTGTCTGAACCTGCCAGTGCTGACCCTGCAGCACTTTCAGCATATGCACATCAAAGTTGGAGACCGCGCTGAACTTAGGAGGGCCTTCACACAGACTGATGTGGCTACCTTCTCAGAATTAACAGGGGATGTCAATCCTTTGCATTTGAATGAAGACTTTGCAAAACACACCAAGTTTGGAAATACAATTGTACATGGAGTTTTGATCAACGGACTTATCTCAGCTCTCCTAGGAACTAAAATGCCAGGGCCAGGCTGTGTATTTCTTTCCCAGGAAATTAGCTTTCCAGCCCCTTTATATATTGGAGAAGTTGTTTTAGCTTCTGCAGAAGTGAAAAAGCTGAAGCGGTTCATTGCTATTATTGCAGTGTCATGTTCTGTAATAGAAAGTAAAAAGACTGTTATGGAAGGCTGGGTTAAAGTTATGGTTCCAGAAGCTTCCAAATCCTGAAATAGATGTTTTAAAGATGCAACCTCAAACACCAATGCTGTTGTTAAAGAGCCTATGGGGAATTGCTGCTCTTTACCAAAGAATGGTTGATAGGCCCAGAAGCCCATCTTAGTTAGGGGAAGGGAGCAGGAAGAGGGTTGTTCAAATGCCCACTTTCCAGTTTGGCCTTATGCTTCATGCAGACTTGAGTGTATGCAGGATTTCATTATCTGCCTGGGTTTTTTGTTTGTTTTTTGTTTTTTAATTCAAGAAGTAGGCTGGGCCCGGTGGCTCATGCCTGTAATCCTGGCACTTTGGGAGGCTGCGGCAGGCGGATCACTTGAGGTCAGGAGTCCAAGACCAGCCTGGCCAACATGGTGAAACCCCATCTCTACCAAAAAAAAAAAAAAAAAAAAAGTGCAACTAGCTGTGCTTGGTGACTTGGCCCTGTAGTCCCAGTTGCTTGGGAGGCTGAGGTGGGAGAATTGCTTGGGCCTGAGAGCTGGAGGTTATGGTGAGAAACTGAGATTGCACCACTGCACTGTAGCCTGAGTGACAGAGCGAGACCCTGTCTCAAGAAAGAAGTATTGGGAAGGTTATTTAAAGACTCTACTTTTAAATCAGGCGTGGCAGCTCACGCCTGTAATCCCAGCATTTTGGGAGGCTGAGGCAGGCGAATCACTTGAGGTCAGGAGTTCAAGACCAGCCTGGCCAACATGTGAAACCCCATCTCTACTAAAAATACAAAAACTAACCGGGCATGGTGGCGGGCACCTGTAATCCCAGCTACTTGGGAGGCTGAGGCAGGAGAATCTCTTGAACCTGGGAGGTTGCAGTGAGCTGAAATCACACCACTGCACTTCAGCCTGGGTGACAGAGCAAAACTCCACCTCAAAAAAAAAAAAAAGATTCTACTTTTAGAAATTCAGACCTAGATAGATTTGCATTTGGATAACAAATCCCTACCTATAGCCATGTGGAAGCAGCTTGTCACTGTATTTTAACTGTGTAACAATTATTGAAGGCGAAAATAGAAGTTGGGTCATCTTTGAACACCTACCTTTTATCAATGAATATTTTTAGACTGTTCTTCAGTATCTGAGTCAGAGTTTATTGTAATTTGTTATTTACACCAAGGTGGCATCTTAGTCTACCTTCAGTGAGACTTGCGTTTCAGGGGAGGGGCGTATGTGCATCCTCGGTCTCAGTTATGTAAACGGTCTGATCTGTAAAATAGTGGTAGCACATGCCATGTGGGATAGTTGGTGGAGATGATAGATGGAGTTAAGCACAGGGCCCAGCCTGTCAGCAGTAGCTACTATTATTGTTGCCCATTTCCCCTGCAACTGAGGTGAGAGGTTTTCCTGAGTTTGAAGCTGACTGGCCCACAGTTAAACGTAACAGACCAGTTTTTCAGGGTGTCAGCCAACCTCTATTAGTGTTCTTAAGTACAGTTTCTGTTATAAAAGTTCAGATTATTCCTTGAAAATTTGGATCTACCTCCCATTATTATGAGTAATACATGCTTATAGTAAAAAAAAAAAAATTGTAAGAAATAAATATTAAGAAGATTATGGAGGCCAAATTCTTAAGACTTTGGGGGCTGGGGTCAGGGAGGTTATATTGAAGGGGAGATGTGCCTAACATGTTACTACTAAATGGCCATCCCAACACAGCCAACACTTTTGTTTCCCATTTTTTTTTGTTTCCCGTTTTTTAATAAAATTGAGATATAATTCACATACCATAAAATTCACCTTTTAAAAGTGTACAGTTTAGTGGTTTTCAGAATATCCACAAAGTTGTACAACCATCACCAAATCAATTTTTTATAGCATTTTTCATCACCCCCAAAAGAACCTCCCATTAGCAGTCAATCCATTTCTCTCCTCCAGTCTTTGGGAATCACCAGTCTACTTTCTGTCTCTATGGGTTTCCCTGTTCTGGACATTTCATAAAAGTTCATACAATGTATGATCCTTTGGAACTGGCTTCTTTGATATAGCATGTTTTCAGGGTTCATCCATGTTACAGCATGTATCAGTACATCATTTTATTTTATGGCTGAATAATATTCCATTGTATTTACCCATACATCAGTTGATATTTGGATTATTTTCGCTTTTGGGCTGTTAAAAATAATGTTATGAACATTATAGAAGAGGTTTTTATGTGCACAGGTTTTAAATATATATATATATATATATTTTCTTTTTTTCTTTTTTGAGATGGAGTCTTGCTCTGTCGCCCAGGCTGGAGTGCAGTGGTGCGATCCCAGCTCACTGCAAGCTCCTCCTCCTGGGTTCAGGCCATTCTCCTGCCTCAGCCTCCCAAGTAGCTGGGACTACAGGCGCCTGCAACCACGCCCGGCTAATTTTTTGTATTTTTAATAGAGACGGGGTTTCACCGTGTTAACCGGGATGGTCTCGATCTCCTGACCTCGTGATCTGCCTGCCTCGGCCTCCCAAAGTGCTGGGATTACAGGCGTTAGCCATTGCGCCTGGCCGACAGGTTTTAAATTCTAGGAGTGGAATTGCTGGATCATGTAACTTTAATATTATAAAGAATTGTCAAATTGTTGTTCAAATTACTATTGGGCATGAGGTGGTATCTCATTGTAGTTATGATTTCCATTTCTCTAATGTCAGCCAACACATTCAAGACAATCTATGACAGAATTTTTAATTTTTACCCAGAGAGCAGCTGAACAGACAACTAGAAAGAATTATTCTAGGCCAGGCGTGGTGGCTCATGCCTGTAATTCTCAGCACTTTGGGAGGCCAAGGCAGGCGGATCACGAGGTCGAGGTCAAGAGATTGAGACCATCCTGGCCATCATGATGAAACCCCATCTCTACTAAGAATACAAAAAAATTAACTGGGTGTGGTGGTGCGTGCCTGTAATCCCAGCTACTCGGAGGCTGAGGCAGGAAGATTGCTTGAACTGGGAGGTGGAGGTTGCATTGAGCTGAGATCGTGCCCCTGCACTCTAGCCTGGGCAACAGAGCGAGACTCCGTCTCAAAAAAAAAAAAAATTATTCTAGTCGCTAGAGGGCAGTGTTGTGTATAAAGTTAGTACTTTAAAACTTTAATACTGTATTATACCATATACTAGTTTTCTAAGGTGGAAGACAAGACCAAAATCAATGTGGGGAGCAAGGATACTGTTCTTGTGAGTTTCAGAATGTGCAGCATGTGCAGGCTGAGATCCACTTGAAGAAGACATTTATAGGTGAATCACTAGACATGCTGAAAATGTGTTCAAATGGCAAAACAAAATGGGGAACATGCACAAATATACGGACTTGAGGCCAGGACTGCTTGCTCCTGCAGAACTCATTCCCTGGGATTTAGCAGCAGTCTTAAAGTTAGGTCCATAACTGGATTGGGATGTGATCATTGATACTGATAGCCACCATTTTTTCAATGCCTGATGAGTTGATTTTCTACATTAATGCTAATCCTTGAAACAACTGTGTGAAGTTAACATTATCCTGTTTTTAAGTAGGATAACTGACTTGCCCAAGGTTGTTCAGCGAATAAGCAGTACAGCTGGGATTCAAACTTGGGCCTGCCTGGCTCCAAAGCCTTTCCTTTTTCCATCACTCTGTGGGTCTTAGGTTCCTGTAGGAACCAAGGGGAAACTTCCCCTTTGCCCTCTGAAGGTTCACTGAAAAATCAACTGAGAAAAGGCAAATTAATTGGAGAAAAGGCATACCAATATATTAGCTTGCATGAAGGGGAGAGCTACAGAGTGATTACCCCCCAAACCCCCACCCAATAGGGTTTAGAAGCTTAAATACCACCTAAAGGTTACAAAAAGAGTGTGGGCTCGGATCAGTGGCATAACATGTTCGGGGAGCTGGAGAAGGGGAAGCCTGGCTAGCAAAGGTGGTCTTGTTATGTAAATGAAGCCCCACAGGTGGCAGCCCTCAAAAGAATAGATGGTAAATGTTTTAGACCTTTTTTGTTGTATGAGACAGAGTCTCGCTCTTATTGCCCAGGCTGGATTGCAATGGCACGATCTTGGTTCACTGTGGCCTCCGCCTCCCGGGTTCAAGCGATTCTCTTGGCCTCAGCCTCCCAAGTAGCTGGGATTACAGGCATGTGCCACCATGCCCAGCTAAATTTTGTATTTTTAGTGGAGATGGGGTTTCACCATGTTGGCCAGGCTGGTTTCGAACTCCTGACCTCAGGTGATCTGGCCTCCTCGGCCTCCCAAAGTGCTGGGATTACAGATGTGAGCCACCATGTCCAGCATGTTTCAGACCTTTAAAGTGTCAGACTAAGTTAATCTTCCCGAGATCCAGACAAGGGAAGGCCTGGCTGCATCAAGCAGATTCTCTGCAAATGCAAGTTTTCTCCAAAAAAGACAGCTTTGCAGGGCTGCTTCTTTTGGCTCTCTGAACAGCCATCTGAAAATATGACAAATATATTTTGGGGTGAAATATTTTTATTTCCCTCATTCGTGTTGCTGGAACTGGAGCACTGTCAGTTTCTATAATGGCATCTTACATGGCATTAAAATAATTGGAATCATTCTATAGCAATCTTTTTGCTTTCGGAATGTTCTAGATCTTATTCCCCGCTAGAGTTGTAGCGTTTTCCTAATACTATTAGTTGAAAGTCTTCCACCCATGCATATCACCTACACATTTTCTAAGCCGACATTCAGTGATTATTTGTCTTCACCGAAGAATGGCTTAAAGGGTTAAAGATGAAAAATATAGGGTACGGAAGGGATGTCAGATCTGAATGATAGTTGATTTATACTGTGTAACTTTCAAAAGTAGCTACTCAATGTGAGCATTTCCACTGTTTTTTTTTTTGTTTGTTTTCTGAGACAGAGTCTCACTCTGTCTCCCAGGCTGGAGTTGCAGTGGTGCAATGACTGCAGCACCTCCTGGGCTTACACAATCCTGCCTCAGCCTCCTATATAGCAGAGAACAGAGGTGCACACCACCATATCTGGCTTATTTTTTGATTTTTTGCAGAGATGAGGTCTCACTTTGTTGCCCAGGCTAGTCTCAAACTCCTGGGCTCAAGCAATCCTCCCACCTTGGCTTCCCAAAGTGCTGGGATTACAGGCATGAGCCACTGTGCTCAGCCTTCATGTTCACTTTTTTAAAATGTATGTATTTTTTATAGAGATGTGGGTCTCACTGTGTCGCCCAGGTTGTCTCGAACTCCTGGTCTCAAGCGATACTCCTGCTTTGGCCTCCCAAAATGCTGGAATGAGCCTCTGCATACAGAGTTCCACATTTTTATGCTCCCTGAGTCATGGTCTTTGAAATCTATAAATCAATAAAGGTTGGAAACAGAGAAGTAGACAAGAAGTTATCAGTACTTCTCTTTAGTAACTTGTCATTTTTATCCAGAGTCAAGATTCTCAAACCACACGTGCTTTGTTAAAGCTGGCTATAAGGAAAACTGGTTGCTTGGCTTTTTCATTGAGTCTATACAAACTGCTCAAAAGAATGACTCTTAATGAAAGCCTGAGTGACCCTCAAATTAGGAAATTCTCTCCCAGATAATTGAGAAGTGGCCTTGACTGTACCAGGTCACACATGGAAATAAGTACAAAAGTAATGACTAAAATAGGCCAAGTTGACCGAGCACTTTGTACATAGGGGTATTATACGACTGCAAATTGTGTGATGTTTAATTGTCACAGAAAGAGATACTCGTTTTAAGCACTTTTAGCCTAATGTACTGGAAAATTGCTTAATGGATTTTTATACTCTATTGGAAACATTTCCATATTGGTGAAATGCCACTCATTCCTTTTTCTGAGGAGCAAATCTTGAGTAGCAATGGGAAGAAAGCCTGGCAACAGCCACCATTTGTCTTGTGGACCTGACATGCTTATTCACCTAGAAAAAGAAGAAATTGCTAAATGCACACTGATACCTCTTAGGTAACCACAGGTTTTCATTTTGTGCTGAATTATTAGTCATTTTTCCTTTATGTTTTTAGAGTATGATTCAGAGACCAATTTATTCCCAAAGAAAATTGCCATTACATCTACTAAGTTTTCATATTAAAACATTTTCTACCAAGGGATGACTGTCACTCTGAGCAACTGTGCCACTGTGAATGCCTCATGTGTCAGCATAGCTTATTATCTAGCTCTGAGCAGAATGGGAGTGCTGCTGAATTAGTCTTGGTCCACAGGTATCTCCAGTGTCCCAGATGTTTCACCTCCTTTGTTCTTATCTTTGCTTTTATTTTGGGTTACAAACACAGCAGATAAATTAATTCTCAGCATCTTCAGAGAAACTGTGGGTTAGAGCAGAATCACCAACTAGAAGAAACCATTTAAATTCAAAAATCATAAGGAACCCAGAACCAATGTTAACACTGCATAAATACAACAAGATTAATAGGAGGCCCCACAGTTAATTCCTAAGGTGGTTCTTAGCTGTAAAGCAATTCAAATGACCTTCTTATAAACCCTGGGCAAAAGTCCCCTGTGATGTGGTGGAAAATATCAACACGTAAAGGAAATAAGAATGACTGTGAGTTGAGTTTTGTTGTTTTAGATCCAGATCATGAATATTTAAAGAAATAAAAGCATTTTGAGTTGGGAGGCCATGCTACTTAGGAAACACTGAGTTTTTCACAAGCTTCTATGATTTGATTTTGTAGAGTAGTTGCCAGGCCTAAGGAGCATCCTTGCTAAAACTCATTATCTTCAGTCAATCTGGGCAAACATCAAGTTGTTAGACAAACAACCTGTGGGCCATTTAAACATTTGGCAACAGTGGGAAATATGTGTGTGTGTGTATATATATGTATATATATATATTTTTTTTTTATATACATTTTTTTTTTTTGCGAGCCCTGAGTAGTTGTATGTGTGGCAAAAACTGAGGTTCCCTCTTTCCTCATTAGCCTTAGGCAGCCTGAGACTATAGAAAAAAACCCGATTTAAATTAGATCAGCTCCGGCCTTGGGGTGTTTCCCCATGTTCAGCCTAAGCCATTTCTTTTCTATTCTTTTTTTTTTTGAGACAGGATCTGGCTCTGTCATCCAGGCTGGAGTGGAGTGATGGGATCACAGCTTATTGCAGCCTCGACCTTCCTGTGCTCATGTGATCCTCCTACCTCAGCTTCCTGAGTAGCTGGGATCACAGGCATGTGCCACCATGCCCGGCTAATTTTATGACTTTTTGTAGAGATGGGAATCTCACTATGTTGCCTAGGCTGGTCTCAAACTCCTGGGCTCAAGCGATCTGCCTGTCTTGGCCTCCCAAAGTGCTGGGATTATAGGCATGAGCCACCATGCCCAGCTAGGCCTTAGCCATTTCAAATGCCAGGTGGATATCGAGGCGGTCTTGGGGTTTGAAACCTGGTTCCCCATGGATCATGGATCCAGTTTAAGTCCAGTGTCCTCAGAGGATCACTGACAAGACACTGATTTGGGTAGATAAAAATAAATCATGAGGCTTACCAAAATATTTACTTTAAGGGGCCCACTTCCCAGAAGAATTTGCAGAGAAAGGGAAAGGCTAGACTGAGAGCTTATCTCTGGCTTCATTTCATCAAATACCTGATTTCTCACTTTCAGTTTCCTTTCCTTAGTAAGGAAAACTAGATAAGGCTGTTATTGTATGACCTTTGCAACTCTGACCTTCAATTCTAATTCCTTTTCTGTTCTCTTCCCTTCCAGGGAGAAAAGTATTTGAATTCCTTTCCGTTGAACAACTTTTCTCTCCCTGTACGGTTCATCTGCTGATTTCCTTTATTTTTAATTTTTATTTTGTTTTAGAGACAGTCTTGCTTGGTTGCCCAAGCTGGAGGCCAGTGGCACAATCATGGGTCACTGCCACCTCAGCTGGGCTCAAGAGATCCTCCTACCTCAGCCTTCTGAGTAGCTAGGCCTACAGGCATGCACCACCACACCTGGTGACTTTTTAAAAATTTTGTAGAGACAGGCAGGGCACAGTGGCTGACGCCTGTAATCCCAGCACTTTGGGAGGCCGAGGTGGACGGATCACGAGGTCAGGAGATCGAGACCATCCTGGCTAACACGGTAAAAACCTGTCTCTACTAAAAATACAAAAAATTAGCCGGGTGTGGTGGCAGGCGCCTGTAGTCCCAGCTACTCGGGAGGCTGAGGCAGGAGAATGGCGTGAACCTGGGAGGCGGAGCTTGCAGTGAGCCAAGATAGCGCCACTGCATTCCAGCCTGGGTGACAGAGCGAGACTCTATCTCAAAAAAAAAAAATTTGTTTGTAGAGACAGGGTCTCACTATGTTGCTCTGTCTGGTCCTGAATTCCTAGCCTCAAGCCATCCTCCCGTCTCTGTCTCCCAAGGTGCTAGGATTATAGGTGTGAGCCACCATGCCCTGCCTCCTTTTTTGGTTTGTTCATACATCCATTTGACAAATATTTACTGAGCACAAACTCTGTGCCAGGAACTGTCCCCAAAGAGACTCAGGAGCCCTAAAGAGGCAAGCCCCCACACCCGACCGTGATTTCCTTTATAACATAAGAGCTAATACTCTGCATTCTCCCTACCAGCCTGTCTTCCAGGTCATTGCCTACATTAGCGCATCCAGTCCTCCCAATGATCCTACAGAGTGGAGGCTATCATTATCTTCATTCTGCAGACGAGGAGCTGAAGCAAAGAGAGGTCAGGCTGCCAGTAAGCTGTGTAGCCGGTGTGAACCCAAGAAGTCACCTGGGAGCTTAGGCCCTTAACTATGACCAACACTCCAGCTTCTTCCTCAGGCTTATGAGGGCAGCTTTTTGCCTAGTTTTTGAATCTCACATTCTGCCTTTTTTTCTCTCCATCTGCCTACCTTCCCCTCTCCCTCCCGACTTCCCCGCTTATCTCCCTCTTCTCATTCTCATCACTCCCTCACTACTTTTTTATTTTATATTTATTTATTTATTTTTTTTGAGATGGAGTCTTGCTCTGTCACCCAGGGTGGAGTGCAGTGGCACGATCTCGGCTCACTGCAACCTCTGCCTCCCGGGTTCAAGCGGTTCTTCTGCCTCAGCCTCCCAAGTAGCTGGGATGATAGGCACGTGCCACCATGCCTGGCTAATTTTTTGTATTTTTAGTAGAGATGGGGTTTCACCATATTGGCCGGCAGGATGGTCTCGAACTCCTGACCTTGTGATCTGCTTGCCTCGGCCTCCCAAAGTCCTGGGATTACAGACGTGAGCCACTGTGCCAGGCCTTTTTGTTTTGTTTTGTTTTTGAGATGGAGTTTCGCTCTTATTGCCCAGGCTGGAGGCAGTCGCATGATCTCGGCTCACTGCAACCTCTGCCTCCCGGGTTCAAGCAATTCTGCCTCAGCCTCTGCCACCATGCCTAGCTAATTGTGTAATTTTAGTAGAGACAGGGTTTTTGCATGTAGGTCAGGCTGGTCTCAAACTCCCGACCTCAGGTGATCCACTGCCTCAGCCTCCTAAAGTGCTGGGATTACAGACGTGAGCCACTGCTCCTGACCCCCTCATTACTTTTACCTGCATGTTATTCATGTTCCCTCCTTGAAGCAGCAGAGCCCAGGCCAGATGTGTGTGTCAGTGGTCACTGTGATCTCAGAGGGGCTCCTCTGAGGGAAGTATCTGTTCCCTTGCAAACATCCTTAACTGTCAGGAGCCTGTGTAACACAGCTGGGGATAGAAGGGTGCGGAAAGGCTCCTTTCCCCACCTTTCCAGTTGAGCCATCTCCTCCCCAGCCCTTCACACATCCTACTTTCCAGTCCTGCAGCCTACATGGCTTTGCAGTGCCCAGGGCTTCCATAAACCCCTGAACTAGCCTGTCACTGCATGTCCACGTTGTTTTCTTTTCTTTCTTTCTATTTTTTTTTTTTTTTTAGCAGGGGTGGGGAGTGATGGGTACAGGGTCTCACTCTGTTGCCCAGGCTGGAGTACAGTTGTACCATCATGGCTCACTGCAGCTTCAATCTTCCTAGGCTCAAGCTATCCTTCCACCTCAGCCTCTTGAATAGCTGGGACTACAGACATGCACTATCATGCCTGGCTAATTTTTTCTTTCTTTCTTTTTTTTTTTTTGAGCCAGAGTCTCGCTCTGTCGCTCAGGCTGGAGTGCAGTGGCACGATCTTGGCTCACTGCAACCTCCACCTCCCGGGTTCAAGCGATTCTCCTGCCTCAGCCTCCCGAGTAGCTGGGATTACAGGGGTGCATCACCACACCCGGCCAATTTTTGTACTTTTAGTGGAGATGGGGTTTTGCCATGTTGGCCAGGCTGGTCTTGAACTCCTGACCTTAAGTGATCCACCCATCTCAGCCTCCCAAAGTGCTGGCATTACAGGCATGAGCCACCGTGCCTGGCCTTTATTTTTTGTAGAGATGGGGTCTTGCTATGTTGCCCAGGCTGGTCTTGAACTCCTGGCCTCGAGCCGTCCACCTGCCTCAGCTTCCCAAAGTGCTGGGATTACAGGGGTGAGCCACTGAGCCCGGACTCATCGTTTTTCTCGTTCATGTAGGTAAGCAGCTTGATAGACGATGACATCTGTCCGGTTTGTTTTAACTCCCCTGTGCCTGACATAGTGTCTGGTATCTAGTATTCTGCAAGGAATTTGCTAAAAGATTGAGTGAAATGGGCCAGGTGCAGTGGCTCATGCCTGTAATCCCAGCACTTTGGGATGCCAAGATGGGCAAATCATGAGATCAGGAGTTCAAGACCAGCCTGAAACATGGTGAAACCTCGTCTCTACTAAAAATACAAAAATTAGCCAGGCATGGTGGCAGGTGCCTGTAATCCCAGCTACTCGGGAGACTGAGGCAGGAGAATTGCCTGAACCCGGGAGGTGGAGGTTGCAGTGAGCCGAGATTGTGCCACTGCACTCCAGCCTGAGCGACAGAGCAAGACTCCATTTTGGAAAAAAAAAAGATTGAGTGAAATGTTCTTTCTCCATATCCTGCTATCCAAATCTCACCCATCATTAAAGGCCCCTCTCAAACCCCAGTTCTTCCATGAACTGCCCCATAACCCAGTCTAGTGCCATGACTCTTTTCTTTCTTATCTTCTCATGGTACCCAGAGCCTCAATTTCAGGACTCAGTATAGGCTGTCTTGGAGTCACTGTTTCTGTGACGATCTTTCCTATCCTCCTTAAAAATTATTGGATGAAAAGGAGTCTGCTTCTTTTCCATTTTGTCCTCTACAGGACCTGCAATATTGAAAGTCTTCAAGTACCACTTACTGACTTTGAAAAAAAATCACTACTGTGATCATTTGTCAAAAACATACGCATGAAGATTGTCATCTGCCAATCACATAATCTTAAATGAAAAAAATCTAATTTGTAAAAGTATGCAAAATGCATTTTTCAGAGCATGTGAAATTTCTTGTAAGGTATGAACTATGGACAAGTTGGTTTCTCTTACAAAAGCATTTGGACTGTGTGGACAGATTACAGAGAAAATGGAGCTAAACCCCAGAGAAGCCTTCTTCCAGTTACTGTCATGACTTTATCTTATGGAAGCAGTTGTCAGAGCACTGGACTCCAGTTGTCTAACATTTTTCCCCCAATCATACAAGTTAAATACAGAAAAGCATACAGAAGAAATCATCATGATCCTGCTTCTTAGAGGCCCACCGTTCATATTTATTTATTTATTTTTGAGACGGAGTCTCGCTCTGTCACTGAGGCTGGAGTGCAGTGATACGATATCGGCTCACTGCAACCTCCACCTCTTGGGTTTAAATGATTCTCCTGCTTCAACTTCCCGAGTAGCTGGGATTACAGGTGTGTGCCACCATGTTCTGGCTAATTTTTCTCTAAAAGTAGAGACAGGTTTTCACCATGTTGTCCAGGCTGGTCTCAGACTTCTGACCTCAAGTGATGTGCCCGCCTCGGCCTCTCAAAGTGCTGGGATTACAGGTGTGAGCCTCTGTACTCAGCCCATATTTTGATATATTTTCTTCTGGTGTTTGTCCTGTAGATATGTTGGGATTATACGGATGCTAAATTGCTTTTTTCATTTACTATTATATCAAGAGCATTTCTCAAGATCATAAAATATTTTTTAATCATGTGACTTTTTATTTATTTATTTGTTTGTTTGTTTGTTGAGACAGGGTTTTGCTCTGTTGCCCAGGCTGGAATGCGGTGATGCAATCTTGGCTCACTGCAGCCTCCACCTTCCGGGTTCAAGTGATCCTCCCACCTCAGCCTCCTGAGTGCCTGGGACTATAGGCATGCACCACTTACCCTGGCCTGATTTTTAACATTGCAAAAAATTCATGATTGTACCAAGATTTGTCCAAAACCCAACTGTTAGTCATTTATCCTTGCATGCTATTTTTTTTTTTTTACTGATCTCTGATTATTTTCTTAGGATACCCTCCTAGACGCAGAATTACTTGGTCATAGGATAAGAACATTTTCAAAGCCCTTAATACATATTTGTTTTAGCTCCTAGTACTAGGTCTATTACATAGTAGGTACTTAGCAAATAATTGTTGAATGAATGTACGAATGCCCTCCAGAAAGGTGGCGCCAATTTATACTCCCACCTGCAGTAAGAGAAAAGAGCCTTGTCTTGGTCAGTCCACATCACAATAGGAGTAATGATTATAGCTGGATTTTGGTTTCTGTGACTCTGGCAGAGAAATAATCTATTTGCCTTAAAACAAAGAAATGAAAGTAAAAAGTTGAATCCTCCCTAAATGACATATGGTTTTGCTTTAATAGACTGCTGCTTTTAAACACACTGGCACAAAAGTGGAATGGAGGGAGAGTTCTGATTATTTTAGGGCTGAATCATGAAGGTCCAGGATTCCTTCTTCACATCTCGCTCTATTAGATCTTGGCCCCTGGGACCAATCTCATGGCTACTTGACTCAACGGGGCTGCCCACCAATCCCAATAAGCTTGAGATCTGGAGAAGGGACCCTTTATGTATGATGTGGGCCTTTCCTGTGATGTCAAATTTTGGTGGTGGTGGTGGGATTACCAAGGAACTTTGTTCCCTTATCTGAAGTGTAGAAATTTAGTGGAGGCAAATTTAAGAGTTAGGAACCTTCCATTCTGTCAACTGTAGGGGAAGGAGGAAACTAATATTGACTTTGTTTTGTTTTTTTTTTGTTTTTCCGGAGACGGTCTTGCTCTGTTACCCAGGCTGGAGTGAAGTGGCATGATCATGGCTCACTGCGGCTTCAACCTCCTGTGCTCAAAAAACTCTCCCACCTCAGCCTCCTGAGTAGTTGGGACCACAGGTGTGAGCCATCATGCCCAGGTATTTTTAAAATTTTTTTGTAGAGACGGGGTCTCACCATATTGCCCAGGCTAAACTCCTGGACTCAAGCCATCCACTCTCCTCAGCCTCCCAAAGTGCTGGAATTACAAAGGTGAGCCATCATGCCTGACCACGGTTTGAGGTGTTTTTGTTTGTCTGTTTTTTTGTTTGTTTTTTGAGACAGAGTCTCACTCTGTCACCCAGGCTGGAGTGTAGTGGTATGATCTTGGCTCACTGCAACCTCCCCCTCCCGGGTTCAAGCAATTCTCCTGCCTCAGCCTCCAGAGTAGCTGGGTCTACAGGCACGTGCCACCATGCCCAGCTAATTTTTATATTTTTAGTAGAGGGGGTTTTGCCATGTTGGCCAGGCTGGTCTCAAATTCCTGACCTCAGGTGATCCACCCACCTTGGCTTCCCAAAGTGCTGGGATTACAAGCGTGAGCGATCATGCCTGACCACCGTTTGAGTTTTTACTATGTGCCAAGCCCCTTCCCAGTCTACTGCATTCCTTGTATTAACCTTTTCATACAAATAATATTATCTCCACTTTGCAAATTGGGGAGTTGGGACTCAGAGAGGTTGGGTAACTTATTGAAGATCACACAGCTGGTAAATGCCAGAGCCATGGAGATGATGGTCCTCCAATTCTAAATTTAACTCTTCACTATCCTGGAATGCTGCCCTAGGAGAGGGCAGTGTGGGTGAAATTTCTAGGTGTATATGGAGATGGGGGGGATGAGGTGGTGCCAGGATTATGGCTTTGGGTTCAGGCAGACTGTGGGCAGATTTAGGGCTGAGAAGTTGATCCCAAGGTTCTCTGGCTTGGCTCTTGGTTTGAAGTTCTTCTAGTCCATATGGTGGGATCAAAAACTCCCAAGTCTAAGGGATGTGGTTGAGCCCGCAGTGGGGGCCAAGAGTAGAGGCTAGGGGTCTCTGGACCATTTTATAGGGTCTCCAGTTCTTAGAGCTTGGGTCTGAGGGTTCTGGGGCCCAAGACCTCCAATTATGGGGTCCAGCTCTTAGGTGTTCAGGCCTGAGGAGCCACGTTCAAGAGTCCCTGTGAAGTTTCAATAGGAAGGGCTTGTTTCAGAAAGTCTCTGGGTTTGCAGGGCTCAGACTGGGGGTCCCATCCTAAAGGCCCTTTTTCTGAGTTTTAGGGTCCTTGGGCCTGGGGGATGAGAGAGATCCAGTTCTGAGGGTTTCAAGAGGTACGGTCCCCGAAAAGCCCAGTTCTGAGAGGCCTGGTTTGGAAATCTCGCCCTGAAGATTCCTGGATCCCAGGGCTCAGGACCAGGCGTCTCTGGATCTGAGGATCCTGGTAGTGATGGCTTAGGGTGGTGTTCCCTGGTCCGAAGCCCGGAGCTAAGGGCACCGGGTCTGCGGTGCGGCTGCGAGGAGCAGGGAAGCGCAGGCCCATGGCAGCCGCGAGGCGGAGGAGCGGGCCAGCGGGCGGCAGTGCTGGCGGCCCCCACACGTTCTGCGCTGGGTCGGCGCTAGGACTCCGGGGCGGCGGCCGTGGGAAGGGCGGCGCTAGGACCCCGCGGGCCCGGCGGCGCGTGGGGCGGCGCGTGTTGACAGCGGCGGCGGTGGAACCGGGCGGGCGGCGGGAGTCGGCGCCTCGGGTTCCTACCTCGCGTCCCTAGGCGGCGGCGGCCGGGCGTCCCGGGATGGCCTTCATGGAGAAGCCGCCAGCCGGCAAGGTGCTGCTGGACGACACGGTGCCGCTGACAGCAGCCATCGAGGCGAGCCAGAGCCTGCAGTCCCACACGGTGCGCGGCCCAGCGGGCGGGCGGGCGGCGTGGGGCGGCCCCGGGCCGCGAGGGGGCTGCGGGCTGCCTGGCGCGGGCCGGGCAGGGTCGTCGGACGGAGACCGGGCCACAGGGTGGGCGGCCCTGGCCGAGAAGGCTGTGGCGCGCCGCTGGGTCTGGGTCAGGGCCCCTGGGGCCCAGGCGAACGCTGAGGCCCGGAGGGGCCAAGGATGGGGACCGCAGCTCCCGGCGCCGCGGGGTGGAAGGAGCTCGGCGGCGACCAGGAAAGCGACTCCGAGTTGGGGGGCGGGGGCGGGGGCTGCGGGATTCCCGGGCTCACCTTGGACTAGGGGAGCAGGAACGAGACCGCTCAGGACCATCCACTTCTGCCCGCCGCCAGCCTTTTCCTTTTTGAGGCCGTGTAATTTCCTCCTTGCAGCTGAGGGTCTGGGTGATGGGGATGAGGGTGTGCCGGGCCAAATGAAGTGTGACTCCAGAGCCTACTTGTTGGGACAGCAGAGTGTAAGTGGCTGGGGTCTGCAGCCCCGTTTCCAGGTCAGCCGCTTGGCCCTGGTCCCGGGAAGTGGTGGGGGCGGCAGTCGGGGCGCTGTTAAGCAGGTGTATGAATGTGCTTCTCTAACTTGCTCTTTAGTGGGCAGTGGTAGCATTCATTTGAGTTTAAAATCCACTCGAGTAGCATAAAGGAGTAATAGGTCCTCATAGTAAACATTGGCAGGGTTCATTTCTGCTACATATACGGTCTTTTATGGGGCTTTAAAACCGTGGTTGTTTTCATTTGCTTGTACCTTTTTTTTTTTTTGAAAGGCCCACTATGCATTATAATTTCCAAGCAATAAATCTAGGAACCAGCAAGAAACCTGGAGCTATCAGCTAGTGGGACTTTTTTGGAAAAGTAATGAGTGAGGAGAGAGATTCCTTCAATTGTGATGTTTTGTCAGTCCACCGAATCAGATTCAGACTCAGAGGCTTGTTTGTTTACCATTGCAGTGTGTTTGGGGGGTCATCATCTGGAGGCTAAAGCTCACAATAGCCTTCTGTTTCTCTTTTCGTTCAAGCTCTTCTGATGACTTCAAAGAGACCTTTTATTCTGTTGTATTAAAGTGAGACTTTTTTGAACCTCAGTTTCCTCTTCTGACAGCCGTGCTTTGTAGGGCTTGAATTGTTCAAAGCATTCACTTCCAGTTAAGAAAATTATTATCTTTTTAAAAAGGGCTATTTATTTCACGCTGTGTGTCTTTAATCCTATTCTGTAGACATGTGAGAAGGCACATACAGGACAGAATTTGTTAAACTTGCTATCATTTGTGCCTAAAGGGAGTATGGCATAAGGGTTGAAATTTAGGATAGGGAGTCAAGAGTAATTCAGCTATTAAATTTGATTTTTGACTTGACTATTGGCAAGTAAGTCTTATAACCTTTCAGGGAATAGTGT
Source organism: Homo sapiens (assembly GCF_000001405.40). Lineage (NCBI taxonomy): Eukaryota > Metazoa > Chordata > Mammalia > Primates > Hominidae > Homo > Homo sapiens. Next base: position 58,334,523 of record NC_000003.12, read on the forward strand.
CGAGTCCTTTAGGTTTATTTTGTATTGAAAATAAAGAGATAGATGTTTCTAAATACTCACAAATTACTTTCCCTAGGAAGCATTCATGATTTCTACAGCCCCAGCCCATGTGCCTACCCACACCTTAATCTTGATTAGTTTGTCCTGTAATTACTTCTTTACTTTTTGTCTCCACCAGGCTACAAGAGGAGGGGCACTTCTTCCTCACTTTTGAGTCTCATTCCCTGGTTTTTGATAGGATTTCAAATGTGTTTATCAAATGACTAAATAATCCAACTTCAACCTTACTATGCCTCTTTTTCTGTTTATGTAAAATGGTAATTGTAAACATTGAAAAAATAACTTAGAGATCAGTGCTTTAGCTAGGTGGCGAAAGATGTAATAGGATTCTGTTTTTATTGTAAGGGTGTGTGTGTGTGTGTGTGTGTGTGTGTGTCTGTGTGTGTGTGTGTGTGTGTGTGTGTAGAGACAGCGTCTCACCATGTTGTCCAGGCTGGTGTGTGTGTGTGTGTGTGTGTGTGTGTGTGTGTGTGTGTGGAGACAGCGTCTCACCATGTTGTCCAGGCTGGTCTGGAACGCCTGGGCTCAGGCCGTTCTCCTGCCTCAGCCCCACAAAGTGCTGGTATACAGATGTGAGCCACCACACCTGGCCCTGCAGATCTTTTCTTTAAAAAATAAAATAATTTAGGGTAGAAAATGGCAGTTCTTGTAGGGATGACTGACCACAAAAGACAGTGACTCACAGGAGACCCATAGAGGCAGATGTGGTAGAGTAAAAAACTGTAGCATTGTCTTGCGTAATTTTTTGACTGTTCTGTGTTCTTGTCATTTTAGCTGTAAAGTTTGACTGAGAAATGTTGCATCAGCCCTGAAGTTTATTGAGAAAATCTTACGCTGATGCAAACTTTTTGGACTGTTAGTGTCTTATGAGTAAGTCTTTTTTAAAACAGGAACTGTTGGAAATTATTTTGGAAAGAAGTAGTTGTTAAGAGGGGTATGTAGAAGAGAAAGGCACTGTTTTTTCTTGGGGAGATTGAAGTTGGCTTTCCAGCTTGGTAGCTGAAGGGAGATGGTGTTCCAGAAGTCAGAGCTCTACTCTCGCTTTGAAATGCTGAATCTCTAGGAAGTTACTCCTTGGCTGTAGACAGAAACATACGGAGTTAGAGACAGACTTGGGGTTGGAAGAGGCAAGACCTTAATACAGGTCTGAGCTGATACTTGCTAGTCATGTGATATAGGCTGGGCAAGTCACTTAAACCTTTTTGAAGTTTAGTTTTGTCATCTGTAAATGGGAGTAATAAATGCCTGCCCTGCCTGCCTCCCAAGGTTGTTAGGAAGATCAAATGAAATCATCTTGATGAAGTATTTGTAAAATGTATTCCTTCCTCCCTCCATCTCTTCACTCCCTGACAACATTTGTGCAAAGCGTTAAACACATTAGAGGGCGTTATTGCAAGCAAGCTCATTTCTGTCCATAGTTCCTTTCATTTATCAAGTTTGTTTAACCTTGGGAAACATATATATATATATATATATATATATATATATATTTTTTTTTTTTTTTTTTAATACCAATGGGGTTCTTGCTGTGTTGCCCAGGCTGGTCTTGAACTCCTGACCTCAAGTGATCCTCCCACCTCAGCCTCCCAAAGTGCTGGGATTATAGGTGTGAACCACTGCACCCAGCTGGGAAACCACCTATAACAGAAATGATTTAGGATTTGTGAACTTGGTAGGGAAAAATTCTGTGGTTTGGAAAACTGAGTCACCAGAAGGATGAAGGGAACACAAGGTCACCACCAGAAAGGCATATTTGGATGAGCAACTGGCAGAAAGGACATGTGTTGGTAGGTGATTCTGTGCTTTGCTGATGCTGATGCATCATTTTTATGGAGCAAAATGAATTTAGCATTAAGAGCTAGACCAGCCCTCTGCTGCAAGGAAATGAAGCTTCTATAAAATCAGAAAGGCTAGTATTTAGGGGGAGGATGCTTTCAGGTTAGGTTTGGAGGAAGAAGGAAGATTTTCCAGACAAAAGGAATTCTGGTGAAAAGCCACACAGGTGAGTTGTGAGAAAATTTAGGAGGACCAAGAGAGGACAAGGGAAAGGTAAGTTCTTGGCTATATAAAAGGGAAAACTTTTTAAAGTTAGTAGACTAAAAAAATGCTTACATAGCTGAAATAGAAACCAGAGGAAACAAAGTTTTGGAAAGCGCTGTTATCAAATGTGCACATCCAATTTTTGCTGGTGGGTAGGCTGTGTGTGATAGCTTTTCATCTCAGTTTTCTCCTTTTTTTGGGGGGTGGGGGACAGAGTCTCGCTCTGTCACCAGACTAGAGTGCAGGTCGCAATCTCAGCTCACTGCAACCTCCACCTCCCAGGTTCAAGCGATTCTTCTGCCTCAGCCTCCCAAGTAGCTGGGATTACAGGTATGCACCACCATGCCTGGCTAATTTTTGTATTTTTAGTAGAGATGGGGTTTCACCACGTTGACTAGGCTGGTCTTGAACACCTGACCTCAGGTGATCCACCTGCCTCGGGCTCCTAAGGCGCAGGGATTACAGGTTTGAGCCACCATGCCTGGCAGTTTTCTCCTTTTTAAATATTCTTCTGTGGAGTTCATCTGGATCAGGGACTGTTTATCTTCCATTTGGACATTTTGTTTTTGAGAAACAGATAATTATAGTGATAGTTAAGGCACAATAGAAAACATTTTTTAAAATCAGTGGAAAAGATAATATTACATGTTAAAATCTTTACTGAAAATGGATCTCTCCTTGAACTTTTGATATTTGGAAACTGCATTCCTGCATGGCTTATTTATTCAGCTATACTCATTCATTCAACAAAAATGTATTAAATGCCTACTATGTGCCAGGCACATGCTAGAGATAGAATGGTGAACCAGACAGCTCCTGCATCCATGGAGCTTTTGTTCTGTTGGATTCCAAGGTCTTTTTTTTTTCATTGTGAGACAGGTTCTTGCTCTGTCACCCAGGCTAGAGTACAGGACCACAGCTCACGGCAACCTCAGTCTCCTGGCTCAAGGAATACTCCTGCCTCAGCCTCCTGAGTAGCTGGGACTATAGGCATGCACCACCATACCTGGCTAATTCTTTGATTTTTAGTAGAGATGGTGTCTTGCTATGTTGTCCAGGTTGGTCTCAAACTCCTGAGTTCAAGTGATCCTCCTGCCTCGGCCTCCCAAAATGCTGGGATTATAGGTGTGAGCCACTGTACCTGGCCTCAACTAGGATCTTTACCATTCATAAAACAGATGGTTTTAGTGGCTTGGTTTATTGATCTTCAGCTTCTCATCAGTGACCCGACCCTTTTTATAGACTTTTAAACTTTATTTATTTATCACCAGAATAACTATTCAAATGTAATGGCAAATTAGGAGACATTGCTGCTTTCAGATCCTGAAATTTTAGGGTAATCTAGTACTCAGTATCAGAATTTGAACTTCCTTTTAGAATGCTACTTGGAAGTTTCTTTAGAATTCTAAGTTATACTGAATACTTTAAAAATTTCTTAGCCAGGCGTGGTGGCTCGCACTTGTAATCCCAGCACTTTGGGAGGCCGAGGCAGGCAGATCATCTGAGGTCAGGAGTTCGAGACCAGCCTGACCAGCATGGTAAAACTCAGTCTCTACTAAAAATACAAAATTAGCTGGGCGTGGTGGCACATGGCTGTCGTCCAGCTACTTGGGAGGCTGAGGCAGGAGAATCCCTTTAACCCGGGAGGTGGAGGCTGCAGTGAGCCGACATCACGCCATTGCACTCTCCGTCTCAAAAAAAAAAAAAAAGTTTCTTTAGGCCAGGCGCGGTGGCTCATGCCCATAATCCTAGCACTTTGGGAGGCTGAGGCGGGTGGATCACCTGAGGTCAGAAGTTCGAGAACAGCCTGGCCAACGTGGTGAAACCCTGTCTCTACTAAAAATACAAAAATTAGCTGGGCATGGTGGGGTGTGCCTGTAATCCCAGCTACTTGGGAGGCTGAGGCAGGAGAATTGCTTGAACCTGTGAGGTGACGGTTGCAGTGAGCCAAGATTGTGCCATTGCACTCCAGCCTGGGCGACAGAGCAAGACTCCGTCTTAAAAAAAAAAATTCTTTTAAAGATGTTTGCATACTGTGTGATAGGTAACTTGCAGCACTTCCTTTTTCTTTTTTTTTTTTTTAGCTGGAGTCTTGCTCTGTCCCCCAGGTGGGAGTGCAGTGGCGCGATCTCGGCTCACCGCAACCTCTGCCTCCCGGGTTCAAGCAATTCTGCTTCAGCCTCCCGAGTAGATGGGATTACAGACGCCCACCACCACACCCGGCTAATTTTTGTATTTTTAGTAGAGACAGGGTTTCACCATGTTGGCCAGGCTGGTCTTGAACTCCTGACCTCAGGTGATCTATCTGCCTCAGCCTCCCAAAGTGTTGGGATTACAGGCGTGAGCCACTGCACTCAGCCATCTTGCAGCACTTCCACACATTATAATAAAATATAAGAGCAGTTATTTTCTGGGCATCTATTCTATGTGGTTATGTATTTTTCCCCACTTGTCCTGGAAATCTGAGATGGACGCAGTCGGAAAACCCTGAGTTGAAAGCTTTTAGGTACTGGTAATTAGTTCATTTAGAGATTGTAAGTTGTCTCTTCCTATTGAAGACGTTGGTTTTTTTGTTGTTGTTGGGTTTTGTGGGGGGTTTTTTTTTGTTTTTTTTTGTTTTTTTTTTTAGACGTAGTCTTACTCTGTTGCCCAGGCTGGAGTATAGTAGTGCGATCTCAGCTCACTGCAATCTCCGCCTCCCAGGTTCAAGTGCTTCTCTTGCCTTGCCTCTCGAGTAGCTGGTATTACAGGCGCCACGTACCATGCTCGGCTAATTTTTGTATTTTTAGTAGAGACGGGGTTTTACCACGTTGGCCAGGCTGGTCTTGAACTCCTGACCTCAAGTGATCTGCCTGCCTCGGCCTTCCAAAGGGCTGGGATAACAGGCATGAGCTACCGTGCCCAGCCAGAAGTTGGTTTTTTTTGCAGCCTAATTTATGGGCTGGTGATACTCAATCCCTGTATATCATCTGTTTTGAGGACTATCCCATGAGAAAGATTTCTCGTAATAAGAATATAAATCCGAGTACCTGACTATAATTACTAGGAAGAAATCTAAGATTCTGGGGCTGAGGTTTATTTCATGTGAAAAGATAGTTACATGTTTTGCTTCCCTAGGGAACAGTGGAAAGAGCCACCCATGGGTACTTAGCTTCCATATGGATTGTGATCTTGAGATTGTTCAATATATAGATTTTTTTTTCTTTTTTGAGATGGAGTTTCACCGTTGTTGCCCAGGCTGGAGTGCAATGGCGCGATCTCGGCTCACTGCAACCTCCACCTCCTGGATTCAAGCGATTCTCCTGCGTCAGCCTCCCGAGTAGCTGGGATTACAGGCGACTGCCACCATGCCTGGCTAATTTTTTTTGTATTTTTAGTAGAGACGGGGTTTCACCATGTTGGCCCGGCTGGTCTTGAACTCCTGACCTCAGGTGATCCACCCGCCTTGGCCTCCCAAAGTACTGGGATTACAGGCCCCAGCCACTGCGCCTGGCCGATTTTTTTTTTTTTTTTTTTAAGACAGGGTCTCACTCCGTCAGCCAGGCTGGAGGGCAGTGTGGAGTAATCTTGGCTTACTGTAGCCTTGACCTCTCCAGCTCAAACAATCCTTCTGCCTCAGCCTCCTGAGTAGCTGGAACTACAGACACGCATCACAATACCTGGCTAATTTTTAAATTTTCTGTCGAGACAGGGCCTCCCCATGTTGCCCAGGCTGGTCCCAAACTCTTGGCCTCAAGTGATCCTCCCACCTTGGCCTCCCAAAGTGCTGGGATTACAAGTGTGAGCCACCGCACCAAGCCTAGATTGTTGATCGAAAGTTTAAGGCTGGTGTGGTGGCTCACACCTGTAATCCCAGCACTTTGGGAGGCTGAGGTGGATGGATCACCTGAGGTCAGGAGTTTGTGACCAGCCTGACCAACATGGAGAAACCCCATTTCTACTAAAAATACAAAATTAGCCAGGCGTGGTGGCGCATGCCTGTAATCCCAGCTACTCGGGAGCCTGAGGCAGGAGAATCCTTGAACCCAGGAAGTGGAGATTGTAGTGAGCCAAGATGGCACCATTGCACTCCAGCCTTGGTAACAAGAGGGAAACTCTGTCTCAAAAAAAAAAAAAGTTTAAATGGGTTTACTTATTTGGAGCAAGTAAAGTAAACCCTCTGTTCCTCACTGCAGGGCAGGTAGTGGTTTCTTTTTAGGCTGCTAGAGATTTTGGGGTAGCGTCATAGGAAATGAATCTCCTTTATGTTCCAGCTTTTAGCACCCTGAGAAAGGGGGAAATGGATCCCATTTTAGAAGTCATAAGAGCTTAAGTGTTTGGGATACCAGAGGGGGAGTAATAGAGTTTTTCCTTTTTTTTTTTTTTCCTTAAACTAGAAGTCATTCTTATCAGTGCCTTCCTTTGCAAGCACCAAGTATGTACAGGGGGAAGTTAAAGTTGACTCCTCTTCAGAAGAGATGACAGTGGCCCTTCATTTGTGGTTTGAAACTTTTGACTTAGGAGTATGGAACAAGTGCTTTATCTTTGGTAAATACTTGGACCTCAGGAGGAGGAGAGTTTCTTCAGATTGACCATTTAGTCTTCAGCTCACCTTGCTGACAACCACATTTAGGGTAAGTAACCATTTTTAGCTGAAGTTAAAATATCAAGTGTTTTGAGCCAGGCATGGTGGCTCATGCCTGAAATGCCAGCACTTTGGGAGGCTGAGGCAGGCAGATCACTTGAGGTCAGGAGGTTGAGACTAGCCTGGCCAACATGGGGAAACCCTGTCGCTACTAAAAGTACAAAAATTAGCTGAGAGTGGTAGTGCACGCCTGTAATACTAGCTACTTGGGAGGCTGAGGCAGCAGAATTGCTTGAACCCAGGGGACGGTGGTTGCAGTGAGCCAAGATCATGCCACTGCACTGCATCCTGGATGACAGAGTGAGACTCTATCTCAAAAACAAAACAAAACAAAACTTTATATAATTCACATACCATATGAGTCACTCATTTAAAGCATACAATCCAATGGCTTTTGGTATATTTACAGAGTTGTGTATTCATCACCATAATCAATCTTAGAACATTTTCTTTTCTTTTCTTTTCTTTTTTTTTTGGTGAGGAGTCTTGCTTTGTTGCCCAGGCTGGAGTGCAGCAGTGTGATCTTGGCTCACTGCAACCTCCGCCTCCTGGGTTCCAGTGATTCTTCTGCCTCAGCCTCCTGCGTAGCTGGGACTACAGGCACCCGCTACCACGCCTGGCTAATTTTTGTATTTTTAGTAGAGATGGGGTTTCACCATGTTGGCCAGGCTGGTCTCAAACTCCTGACCTCAGGTGATCTGGCTGCCTCAGCCTCCCAAAGTGCTGGGATTACAAGCGTGAGCCAACGCGCCTGGCCAGAAACTTTTCAGTACCCCAAAAAGAAGCCTTAGTCATCACCCTGTTTTATAACTCAGAATGTTTTTTTTTTAAACCTACAAGGCTACTAAACTAATTTAATATAAACACCTGATTACCAAACTCCAAGAAACAACTAAGTTCTATTGTTATCGGAATTGTTTCAGAAAGTATTCTAAGCACAAGTTCTTTAGCTCTTCGGGCCCAACTCCTTTAAGGATCTCATCACAGGGACTGCTTCCCTGTTCATAAATACCCATAAACATGTCTTTGTGAACTCTCAGAACCTCACTGACCTGAAGCCCATTCTTAGGCTTTGGATCTTAGGGTAAGAATCACTGCCGGAAAAACTTTTTTAGGCCAGGCACGGTGGCTCTTGCCTGTAATCATAGCACTTTGAGAGGCTGAGGTAGGTGGATGGCTTGAGTTCAAGACCAGCCTAGGCAACATGGTGAAACCCTGTCTCTACTAAAAATACAAAGATTAGCCAGGTAAGGTAGTGCATGCCTGTAGTCCCTGCTCCTCAGGAAGCTGAGGCACGAGAATCGCTTGAACCTGGGAGGCAGAGGTTGCAGTGAGCTGAGATCATGCCAGTGCACTCCAGCCTGGGCCACAGAGTGAGACTCTGTCTCAAAAAAAAAAAAAAAAAGAAAAGAAAAAAAGAAAGAAAAACTTTTTAAAACTGTAAACTTGGAGTATTACTTATTTTAGTTGGTGAAATATGTGCATCTGAAAAATGTACTATAATACCATCTATATCCTACTTTAAGAAAATCCTGTATTTAGAACAATAGATGAACTATGTCCTCTTAGTTTGAAAACAAATTGCTTTGGGTTGCAGCTTGCCTGGCGCGTTTAAGTGTGTGCACAGATGACTTATTAGACAGTGGCATGGGGAAGGGCAAAGGGCTCTGTGCCGGAGAGCAGGGTTCTAGGCACGGCTCTGCCTGCTGTCGCAGCACCTCTTTATAATATTTAAACAAGGCTGCTCACATTTCTTTGATGTGCTCATCAGAAATAGGTCATTTCTCCTCATTAATTCAGTTGAGGCTTTTTTGCTGGACTGGAGGGAAGTGAATGGAGTGTTGGTATGGGAGAATCCTGGATCTCAAAATGTCTAAGAGCCACCTGTAGTGGTGAAAAGGGAAAGCAGTGTCGTTCATTCATTGCCTTCCTTTTGAGCCTGCCCTTCCACCAGGTAACAAGTGATTCCTGGGCAGGGACTCATTGCACTTTAGTCCTGCATACGTTCCTCTTGCCAGAAGTAGAGGGAAATGAAGCCAGAAAGAAATGGGTCTGCTCACACCAGACCTCTAGCATCAGGCAGCATCAAGCACCCTGCTGGTCCGTGAGAGCACAGGGAATGGCTGAGTGTCACACTGCCATGCTGTAGGCATCTATGCATGTGACCATGTAGCCCACCATATTCACCAGCAGCCTGGCACTGGTTTATTCCACATTCCACAGGCACTTCTCAAGCTCCCACTCTTTGGTGAGTGTTGTGGTCTCCAGGAATGCAGTGGTGAGCAGTCGCTGCTCTAGGGGCTCATGCTGTTGAGGGTGGACAGGAGGGTCTGTGCATAGAAGACACACCTCTGCTTCTTCCCACTCTGTAGATGGTAAGGGGCGCAGGCAGCTTGTTCTGCCTCTTTGAGGCTTGTTTTATTTTTTTCTCTAAATCCAGACTTTATTGTCTATGTATTGCTGGGTTGATTCAATTTCAAACTAGCCCAGTCCCTGGCACATAGATAGTAAGCCTACAGCAAACATTTGCTGAATAAGTGAATTTGAGAATGAATGCCATTATTGGAGGTAAAGCTCTTATGTACTGCTGCTGACCATTGTACCTGCCAAGCGGGTTACGGGGTACTTCTGCCTCTTGTCTGCCAAGCTGGATATAATTTTCCTTCCTCTGAAATTCCCATAGAGTATATCTGCCTCAAAGGTACACTCATTTTATACACCTATTATTTCTTACTACCTTGTTTTCTGTTTATAACCCCCCTCCCCCAGTCACACACAGGTAAAACTGTATATAATTGGGAAGAGCGACAATGGCTTAATGACCTTGGACAAATTGCCGCTTGATTTCTCCAGCCTCAGTTTCTTCATCTGTAAAGTGAGGATAGAAAGAGTATGTTAGGACTGCTGTAAGGATTAACCGAGCTCATCCACATGGAGTATTCAGAACAAAGCCCAGCACATAAATGTCATTTGTTTTGTTGTTTATTACTGTTGTATTTGCCAGAGCACTGGCGTACTACTTAGTGCTTTTTTGGCATTCAAATATATGTTTTGAATGGGAAAAGGAAAATTATTTATTTAAAAGTTTGTCTCACTGTCAACTGTGATTACTTTGCTAATATGTGGCAAAAAACATCAGTGACACCTCCAAGAGTAGGTTTCCCCCTGTTTTTTCCTTTTTACCCTGGAGTAACACGTTTTGACAGCCATGCTTGGGAGATGCAGCTCAGGGCCTCCTTACCAGGCTGCAGAGCTGGCTATTGGTGTTCAGTGGTGACGGAAAAGACAAGTGGTCGGCTGGGCACAGTGGCTTATGCCTGTAATCCCAGCACTTTGGGAAGCCAAGATGGGCAGATCACCTGAGGCCAGGAGTTCGAGACCAGCCTGGCCAACATGGTGAAACCCCATCTCTACTAAAAAATACACAAATAATTAGCCAGTTATGGTGGTGGGCACCTGTAATCCCAGCTACTCAGGAGGCTGAGGCAGGAGAATCGCTTGAACCTTGGAGGCGGAGGCTGCAGTGAGTCGAGATTGCACCATTGCACTCCAGCCTGGGCAACAAGAGTGAAACTCCATCTCAAAACAAAACAAAACAAAACAAAAAACAAGTGGGCAGGCCATAGGGCTCAGCCATGAGCTCCCGGAGGCCAGACCTGAAGGGAGGCAGCCCCCAGCAAATGCCCATTTCAGCTCTTCCCCTCTCAGTTTTTGTTAATCCCTAAAGGGGTTCCAACATCAGTACATAGACATTTGATCTCAGGAACATTAACAGATACTTAAAAAGAGTCTTCTGCGTGCCAGGCACTGTACTGCCTATTAAGATAAAAAGATGAATGAAGCAGGGAGCTGACATCCTAGTCAATATAGCAGCCACAAAAGCAAAGATGAAGCAAAGTACTAAAGGGCCCCTCTGCCTGGGAGAGCAGGGCACAGGGGAGAGGCTGGTCAGGTCCTCCCTGGGGCTTAGGGAACTCGGAGTGGTTAACAGAGGAGCCAGCATTTTAGAGAAAACGTTCTAAATCAGTATGCCTCAGCCTTTTCTAACTTGCAAACTCCTTTCATAGTAATAGGGAATGGTACAGACTCTCTGGAAGTTATTTTAAATATAAAAATATTTTATTTAGATCAGTATATTACTAAAAATTGTTTGGGATCTGAACTATATATATTTTTAAATTGTGTTCAGAGGAATACAACTTAAGGCCCTGAGAAACAGCATCTTCAGACAACTTGTAGAATTACCGTTTTTATGATAATTCTCACTTGTATTTCTCACTAACTTCTCACTAACATGTGTTTTGTCATTGGCATTGCTTGAGCCTACATTTAGTCAGCGGTTTATTATGGATGTAAATGAAATCATATATGACTAAGAGCAAAGTCAATTAAAATACTGTGTAATGGTAAAAACTGTGATAAACCAACTGAGTTATGAGCATACTCATGACTTCCACAACTCATCCCATGCTTCCTGTGTGCCCATTTGGAAGCTCCTACTCTATTCTAGGTTAAAGGGAAAAAATATTTATGTTATTGTTTTATCGATATTTAAGTTATTATTTTTGAAAAGTAGAAACAGAAGCCTTATAGCCTTTAACGTATATATCCTGAAACACCTTCTGGGGCACCTCGTTGTTCATCCTCTTCCAGACTCTTAGTAACCCACCATAAGGATCTCAGTTTAAAAATCTGAAGAATGATTCTTCTCTGAGGTCAAGGTTGCATTTGTAGACTTCAGGAGTTCATTAGTTCATTCAGCAGATACTGCTGTGAGTATGCCCTGTGTTCCTGGCATGGCCTAGGCACTTGGGGTACAGGTCTAAGCAAGACAGACTTGGTTCCTGCCTTCTTTGTTCATTCATTCCAACTGGGTTTATTGGTGAAGATTCTGGGGTGGGGTAAAAGATGGAAAAGAAAGGTTAGAGCCAATTGTGGGGCCTCTTGGATGCCAGGCTAAGGAATCTGAACAACAGTGAGGGGGGGTTTGGGTGGAGGTGTGGCTCATAAAAGTGGCATTTTAGGAAGCTTAATTTGCTGTCTGTGTGCAAGGTGCAGTGGAAAGGGTGAAGGAAGGAGAGAAGAGAGTCAAGGATGCTAATGGAACAGTGAAGTTAGAGAGGCCACAGCTCAGGTCTATGGCAGGGAGAGGGGAGGAACACAATAGAGGAAAAGTCTGCCAAGTAGAGGCCACAAGGGAAACAGAGGCATCAGGAAATTATTAGAGAAGTAGTACAAGGTAGATGAAGGGTAGCTGGTTTTCCCAGGAAGATGATGAGTCTGTTTGGTTTTAGACACCTTGAGTAATACTGAAAAGGGAGTGTTACTTGTCATAATAGATGACATTGTTTAAGCTTTCACTATGTGCCAAGCCAAGTGCTTTATAGTAATTCTATAATTATTTTTCTTTTTTCTTTTCTTTTTTTTTTTGAAACAGAGTCTCACTCTGTCACCAAGCTGGAGTGCAGTAGCGTGATCTTGGCTCACTGTAGCCTCAACCTTCTGGGCTTAAGCGGTCCTCCCACTTCAGCCTCCTGAGTAACTAGGACCACAGCCTCATGCCACCACATGTGGCTAATTGTGTCCTTTTTTTGGGAGGGTGGGGTGGGGGGCACGGAGTCTGGCTCCGTCACCCAGGCTGGAGTGCAGTGGTGCGATCTCGGCTCACTGCAACCTCCGCCTCCCAGGTTCAAGCCATTCTCCTTCCTCAGTCTCCTGAGTAGCTGGGACTACAGGCGCGTGCCACCATGCCCGGCTAATTTTTTTGTATTTTTAGTAGAGATGGGGTTTCACCATGTTGGCCAGGGTGATCTCAAACTGCTGACCTCAAGTGATCCACCTGCCTCGGCTTCCCAAAGTGCTGGGATTACAGTTGTGAGCTACCGTGCCCGGCCATGTTCATTTTTTATAAAGACGAGGTCTCACTATGTTGTCCCGGCTGGTCTCGAATTCCTGGGCTCAAGGGATTAGATAATTCTTTCTCTCTCTGTTTCTCTCTTTCTGGTCAACTTTGTTGAAGTAAAATTTACATACAATGAAATTCACCTATTTTAAGTATACAATTTGATAAATCTTGACAAATATATATATACACACCCACTTTCATCGCTCCAGTTGTTTCCTTGGTGCCCCTTTGCAGACCCTGCCCTCCTTCTGGTCCCTGGGAACTACTGATCTGCTTTCTGTTACTATTGTTTAATCCTTTCTATTAATAGAATGTCATCTATAAGTGGAATCTTATACAATATAGTCTTTTTTTGGTCTGGCTTCTTTTACTTAACGTAAAGCTTTGAAATTCTTCTATGATGTTATATGTTTCTTTTTATTACTGAGTAGTATTCCATTGTATGGATTTAACATTTGTTATCCATTCACCAGTTGGTAGATATTTGGGTTATTTCCAGTTTGGGGCTATTATAAATACAGCTGCCATGAATATTTGGGTAAAGTCTTTGTGTAGATATATTTTTTCATTTCTCCTGAGTGAATGCCTAGGAATGGAATTGCTGAGTGATAGGCTAAACTTTATAAGAAATTGCCAAACTTTTCTAGATTTTTGTTTTACCTTCATGATAGTTTGAATTGCATTAGTTATTATCCCAGTTTTGTAGTTGAAGAAAATGAGGTGCAAAAAGAGTAAGATTGAAGGTTTCTATGAGGCTAATGAACTTTGTTTTGTTTTTTTGAGACTGAGTCTCACTCTGTTGCCCAGGCTGGAGTGCAGTGGTGTGAAGTTGGCTCACCGCAACCTTCACCTCCCGGGTTCAAGTGATTTTCCTGCCTCCCAAGTAGCTAGGACTACAGGCGCGTGAGACCGTGCCCGGCTAATTTTTGTGTCTTTTCAGTAGAGGTGGGGTTTTGCTATGTTGGCCAGGCTGGTCTTGAACTCTGACCTCAAGTCATCCACCTACCTCTGCCTTCCAAAGTGCTGGGATTACAGGTGTGAGCTGCCGTGCCCAGCTGACTAGTGAACTTTGAATGAAAGAGGTAAGAGTTGGCAGCCATCCCTAAGCTGATCTGTTGTCAGGGCCTACAGAGTGGTGGACCTGATTGATGGCTCCACTAAGCATTGGTTGAAAGAGGACAAGCTAGTGGTCTCCTTCTGAACCACAGAACCAGACAATGATTTGTGTGACCGTTTTCTCAGTTCTTCCATTCTGGCTGCATAGGGATGGAGTTAATTCACTACATACGACAGAGGCCTTAGGGCAGTGCTGTCCAATGGAAGTATAATGCTAGCCACATATGTAACTTTACATTTTCTAGTAGCCATGTTAAAAAAGTAAAAAGAAACAGGTGAAATTAATTTAAATAATATATTTAACCCAATATATCCAAAATATTATAATTTCAACATGGAATCATTATAAAAATTATTACTATGTTAGGTGCAGTGACTAATGCCTGTAATCTCAGCACTTTGGCAGGTTGAGGAGGGAGGATTGCTTGAGGCCAGGAGATCGAGACCAGCCTAAGCAATATAGCAAGATCTAGTCTCTACAAAACTTAAAAAAAAAAAAAAGTCAGGTGTGGTGGCATACCTGTAGTCTCAGCTACTCAGGAGGTTGAGTAGAAGAATCCCTTGAGCCCAGGCAGTGGAGGCTGCAGTGAGCTATGATTGCACCACTGCACTCCAGCCTAGGTAACAGAGTGAGACCCTGTCTGTACTTTTTTTTAATTAATATGTTTTGCATTCCTCTTGTCATAAAAGTATTTGAAATCTGGTGTGTATTTTACAATTACAGCATATCTCAATTGGGACTAGCCACATATCAGATGCTCAGTAGCCACATATTGCTTGTGGCTACTAGGCAGCAGAGATACAGACATTAAAAATATTTGCCAGGCATGGTAGCTCATGCCTGTAGCCCCAGTTACTAGGGAGGCTGAGGTGGGAGGATCACTTGAGCCCAGGAGTTCAAGGCTGCAGTGAGCTATGGTTGTACCACTGCACTCCAGCCTGGGCGACAGAGCCAGACCCCATCTCCAAAAGAAATTAAAAATAAAATCCCAAATGTGTTGTTATGGAGAGAGATCCATGTTATATTAAGTGAGAGAAAAAGCAAGTCATAACACACTATGTTTAGTATGCTTTCATTCTCATAAATATCTTTTTTTTTTTTTTTTGAGACGGAGTCTCACTCTGTCGCCCAGGCTGGAGTGCAGTGATGTGATCTTGGCTCACTGCAACCTCTGCCTCCCCGGTTCAAGCGATTCTCCTGCCTCAGCCTCCTGAGTAGCTGGGATTACAGGCTCCTGCCACCACGCCTGGCTAATTTTTGTATTTTTAGTAGAGACGGGGTTTCACCATGTTGGCCAGGCTGGTCTTGAACTGCTGACCTCAAATGATCTACCCTCCTCGGCTTCCCAAAGAGCTGGGATTACAGGCATGAGCCACAGCACCTGGCCACATTTTCATAAATATCTGTGTTTATACCTGCAAATAAACAGTCTGTAACTGCACACTATCCAGTATTTTAGCCACTAGGCTAATAAAATTAAGCTAAAAATTCAGTCCCTTCGTCACCCTATCCACATTCCAAGAGCTCAGTAGTCCCTTGTGCATAGTGGCTACCATATTGGATATCAAGCCTTAGGTCACTGCTCTCTTCAAACTGCTGAACTGGTTGAGAAAGACTGAGCTTAACGGATAGAACCTGCTAGCCCTGCAGCCATTGGGGTTTTGTGACTACTGAGTCCCAGAGCCTCTGTGGTTTTTAAGAGTAACACACAGGAAGGAAGCTCACTGAGGTGCAACCGTTATTAGTACCTTGGGGAGTTTAACAGGAGCACAGTGTAGAAGCAAAACAGCTTTGTGGAGGACCCTGTTCCGTTTTTGTACAACTGAAATTAACTACTATTCAAATTGCTGAGGATCACATAAACCTGATGTCCACTTTAGGCATGTTCTTATAAAAATGTTCCTTTCGACTGCTTCTTAACTGCCTAATGTACATTATGGGGCTTGCTTAACATTTTGGAGAAAAAATAGTTTCTTACTTGTACATAACTTCTAGGTGGTGCTCACATTACATTCAGCTCCAGCAGTTTGTGTCCATGTAGTAGGAGGTAGGCTGCAAAGTATAGGGGTATTAAAACCAGGTGGTTGTGGTATTCTGAGAGCTCTATTGCTATAGTAACTCATATTCTCCAGGCCCGGGTTCTTGTCCTTACTCTGCCCTTCACCCTGTCAGCTTCCCCCTGACTTGATAGACTGGTTCTGCCTGTCCAGCTGCACTCTGTTCATCAAAATGAGTCCTTGGAGCATGTGAAAGTATTGTGTCCAAGGGCATAGAAGGTAGGAACCGCTGTGCCCCTGGGTCAGACTGGCCTGGGGTGGAGTCTATTCTCATCACATACTAGTGGTGCGCCCTTGTTTAAGGCATCTACCCTCTCTGAGCTTCAGGGTTTTTGTTGTATAAGAGATGTAGTGACGCCTCCCTTCAGACATTGTTGGGAGATGGAGTAAACTGAGGGCTAGAAGGCAGAGAGTAAGTGCCCCATAAGCAGAGCAGTTATACCTCCCTCTCTGAAGATATGTGTCTGCATGGCATGTGTACTGTGGTCACTTCCACAGTTGGTTATGAAATTGGAGCTAGTGTCTCAGGATGACACAGCAACCTTCTCAGAGTAGGAAGGATAGATTTATATGTACGTTATCCTAAGTGATGGTGACCATTATTAAAACCAGTAGGGACTTCTAGCTTGACTTCAGCCTATAGTTTCAAGCTTCTCTCCCACTAAATGCTTTAGCAGCCCTGTTACAAGTAGAAGAGCTCCTTTACTTTACTTTCATCTTCTGTTTTCCCAGTCTCCCCAGCACAGAAAGTACTGATGAGTAGTAAAATGACCAAAAGCTCCCTTGTCAAAGGAAAAAAGGTGCATTTATCATTGATAACATACCAGGCTCTTACCCAAGCTCAGATGATCTCAATCTTTATTACTCAGGATTCCTTATTTAATTTATTTTATTTTTCCAAGAAAGGGTCTCACTCTATCGCCCAGGCTGGAGTGCAGTGGTGCAATCACGGCTCACGGCAGCCTCCATCTCCCTGGGCTTAAATGATCCTTCTTGGGCTTCAGTGATCCACCCGCCTCAGCCCCCCAAATAGCTGAGACTACAGGTGTGCGCCACCACAGCTAGCTATTTGTGTGTGTGTGTGTGTGTGTGTGTGTGTGTGTGTGTGTATTTTTTGTAGAGACAGGGTTTCACCATGTTGCCCAGGCTGGTCTTGAACTCCTGGGCTCATGCAATCCACCTGCCTCATCCTCCCAAAGTGCTGAGATTACAGGTGTGAGCCACCGTGCCTGGCCAGGATTTCTTATTTTAAAGTATCATGTTTTAAATTACATGTGTAGCAAACTGAGAAACTTTTCCAAAAATTGTTTTTCCTGATTGTAAAAATAATTTATGCTCATTGAGGATAACCTGAAAAACGTAGGAAAAAAAAAATAGCCAAAAGTGGGCATAGAATCTAGGACAACAGAGGCTGGAGTCATGGTACTCCTTCTTAGAAATCAGAGACTGATACAATTGTTTCTCATATTTAAAGAGAATGGCTGCTTTTTGTTTTTTCTGGGTGCTCTTCACAGTGCTGCCACCGTCTTCTGTGCTTGCTGATTAGAGTCGTGATATACTCACCTGCAGACACTTTGTGTTTGCTATTTTCTTAGCAGGGAAGAAAACAGTTACAAAGCTGGCCATTGTGCTGGCTGCTCTAAATATACTGTCTTCTTTCATATTCACCATGACTCTGAAGGTGTGATTTAGCAGGTGAGGAAACTGAAGCACAGAGAAGTTAGGCTGCAAAGCTAATAAGCAGTCGTTGGGCTTCGTTCCAGATCTCTGTGACTGGAAAATGTGTGCCCTCCCCTGCTGGGGACTTGTGGCTGTGCTATGGAGGAGGGATGGCACATTGTGGCTGATCATGACACAGTGACCAGCTCCTCCTTCAGGTTCCAGAAGGGCTCCCAGGGGGCCTGTCTTTGAGGCAGTGGAAAAGGGGGAAGGTAGAGGAGACATGGCCCAGGAGGGAGCGCTTCAGTCTCCAGCAGGTACTCAGGTCAGTGCCAGTGAAGGGCGTGAGGGATGAGGAGCTGGCCACCTCAGATACCAGAGCCCAAAGAAAAAGCATCATTTCCAGCGGATCCGAGTTTCTATGTTGTTGTCTATTCTAGCCTACTAAACATGTAGTGGGTAGTTCTCTGAGATCATGTTCACTTCATCCATTTGTAGAGTTTTAGGACATTGTGAGGATTATTGAACAAGTGAAAGTTATATTTCGTTTTTAATTACTATTTAATTGAGCTTCAGATTTTTAAAGTTTGGTATTTTTTTTCTTTACTTTGATGTAAGATGGAATTACTGGGTTTCCATTTTAGCAAATTATGTAATTTGCGTGGGTGTCATTTAAGGGTCATTATACTATAGAATGCTGCAGGAAGTGGCTATTTAAAAAGCTGTATCCATTCTGTAGTCATGTTTGAGGTCAAAAGGATTTTGGAGTGCTTCTTTGCAGTGTTTTTCTTCTCTGGAACATCAGCTGTCTTTGAAGTCGGTGTGGAGACCAGCTCTCCTGGTAGGGCAGGAGACCATCCCACAGCGGAGAGTGTAGACTTCAAAAGGCCCGGAGAAGGGAGAAGAGAAGCATGCATGATCATGACGCTCATCTCACTGCAGGGATCAAAGCGTGTTTGCAATGTGTGCTTCATCTCTTCTTTTGCTAAAGTTAAAGCACATGATTCTATGAATTAGATTTTTTTTTTTTGAGACAGAGTCTTGCTCTGTCACCCAGGCTGGAGTGCAGTGGTGCGATCTCGGCTCACTGCAAGCTCCGCCTCCCGGATTCACGCCGTTCTCCTGCCTCAGCCTCCCGAATAGCTGGGACTACAGGCGCCCGCCACCACGCCCGGCTAATTTTTTGTATTTTTTAGTAGAGACAGGGTTTCACCGTGTTAGCCAGAATGGTCTTGATCTCCTGACCTCGTGATCCGCCCGCCTCGGCCTCCCAAAGTGCTGGGATTACAGACATGAGCCACTGTGCCCGGTCTCTATGAATTAGATTTTTAAACAAAATTTATTTCATGTGGCTGAAAAGAAGATGCGTTTGGCTTTATTCATCTGCCAAAATTTAGGTTAATACGGTAATGATTCTTCAGATGCCTTTAAAAACCCTTAACATTTTCATTTGTTTTGGGGCAGTTTTTGCATATTATTAGATTGCAGAAAAATTGAAACAAAACAAAGGTAGGTTCTAGCACTGAAAATCTGCAGATGAAACGACAGTAAATAATGACTACTTAGCAGAGCAAGGAGTAATCACTAATTCTAAGTGAAATATTAAGGACTGTAAGTGGCCAGGCAGGTGGCCAGTGAGCTAAGCAGAAGTCCTGCAAGCTGAATTCTATGAGAATTTCCTCAGAAACCTTGCTGTCCTCTAGGATGATGTGGACTGCTGCCTATGGCTGCAGCTGTTGTGCTGTGTGACACTGTGATTTTGAATAGGTAGAACAGCGAAAAGAGGGGCATAAGTAAGGGATATTTAGGTTATAAACAGTCTGACTGGGTAGAGGAGGGTTTGCATGGGAAGAAAGGGTTAGGACAGTTTGGTCAGGTGGTAGAAGAATTTGGAAGCTAGGCTGAGGAATTTGGATTTACCCTGTGAGCCAGTGGGAGCCATGGAAGGTCCTGGAGCAGAGAAGTAGCGTGGTGGTAGATTCCAGCCAGGTCACTTGTTTTCAGCATTCTTTTCAGGCCTTCCTATGAAGAGAAAGTGCCAGGGGAGAAGTGAGTTTCGGAGTGAACCCAGAGGGGTGGTGTGGCTGATGGGCACTGGAGACAAACAGGCCTGCCTCCTCTCCCAGATCCACCACTTTCTAGTCAAGGCATCTATCCTTCAGAGACTCATTTCCTCCAGCAGAGGGAAATAGTTCTTTCTTGCTCCTTTAAACGGCATTGGCAGATAGTGTGAGTGGTGCCTATGGGAGCCACCACTACAGAGCCCAGTGTGAGGGATTTCTAGAGGCTCAGGTTAGATACCAACCGTACCCCCAAAAAGACAGACGAGCTGAGTCCTTAAGAGGAGGTGGGGAGATATGGGTGAGAGTAGAGGAGATTATGAGGTTTGGTTGGTGGTTGCGTCATCTGTTTCCTTCCACTCATGCAAGGTTTTTTATTTTTGTGGTGTGGAGCTGCTTCCTAGTTTTTTTTTTTTTTTTGAGACTGAGTCTCTCACTCTGTCACAGGCTGGAGTGCAGTGGCCTGATCTCAGCTCACTGCAACCTCCACCTCCTAGGTTCAAGCGATTCTCCTGCCTCAGCCTCCTGAGTAGCTGGGATTACAGGCGCCCACCATCGTGCCTGGCTAATTTTTTTGTATCTTCAGTAGAGATGGGGGTTTCATCATGTTGGCCAGGTTGGTCTCGAACTCCTGACCTTGTGAATCGCCCACCTCGGCCTCCCAAAGTGCTGGGATTACAAGCATGAGCCACCGCGCCTGGCCCGATTTCTTTAAGAGGTTTAGAACAATGGTTCTCACCCCTGGCTGCACATTAGTATCAACTGAGGAACATTTAAGACCTGCTGGCCAGGTGTGGTGGCAGTGGCTCGCGCTTGTAATCCCAACACTTTTGGAGACTGAGGCAGGTGGGA
The DNA here is from genome assembly GCF_000001405.40 of Homo sapiens. NCBI lineage: Eukaryota > Metazoa > Chordata > Mammalia > Primates > Hominidae > Homo > Homo sapiens. The sequence continues at coordinate 58,354,897 of NC_000003.12, forward strand.
TCACCTGAGGTCAGGAGTTCGAGACCATCCTGGCCAACATGGTAAAATCCCGTCTCTACTAAAATTGCAAAAATTAGCCAAGCATGGTGGTGTGCGCCTGTAGTCGCAGCTACTTGGGAGGCTGAGGTACGAGAATCGCTTGAACCTGGGAGACAGAGGCAGAGGTTACAGTGAGCCAAGATTGTGAATTTTACTCCAGCCTGGGCAACAAAGTGAGACTCTGTCTCAAAGAAAAGGAAAAAAAAAAAAAGAAAAAACAGAAGACCCGCTAATGCCTGTGCCCAGGCCAGACAAATTAAATCAGAATCTGTGAGGGCACAAGTGTAGGTATCTTTTCAAGTTCTCTAGGTGATTCTAGAATGCAGCAGGGTTGAGATGCTCTGCCTTAGGGGTAGAGAGGTGGGAACACTGACAGGTTCTGCAAAACATCTCTGAACAGCTGCTGGTGTCTTTTTCTGTACTTCAAGTTTCACGGCACATCTGATAGCTGTGCCGAAAGGGAAGAGAGAATTACGTGGGCTAGGCTGGTTTGAAGGTTTGCGTAAGTTTTGGCTTGAGCGACTTAACACGTTTATTTCAAAGTAATTTGTGTTTGTAGCCTCACTAAAGTAATTTGGGGCCAGAAAGGTTCAAAATACGTTTTCCTACTTAGTTTTCCTAAAATTTCACCAAACCGAGGTACCTTTGAGTACCTACTACTGTGCAGTGAAATCCCACATACCCTTTCAGAAACTCAGGAAAACAAATTGCAAATGGGGATGCTTACTTGGAAAATGGCACGGCCAGTGTTGGGAGCATTAATCAATTCCAAAGGTGTGGGAATAACAGCCCCCACCTCTGCACCCTCAGGTAAGAGTCAGTGGGTCTACATCATTGGGGTGAACCAGCTCAGTCCATGGACTAGTGAGGACTCCCACCTTTCCAAATTGCAGAAAGAGCCTGGCCTCAGGACTTCCCCGGGTTGCCAGCTATGTCTGGCAGGTTGGAGGGTCTTGGGAGTCAGCAGGACTTGGGTTCCAGTTCCCAGCCAGCTGCATCCTAGCTATGCCACCTTGGATAGCTCATTCGATCTCGCTGAGCTGAGATCTACCACCTAGGGTGGCTGTGAGGATTAATGAGAAGTATTGGGTTAGGGGCTTAGCAAAATTCCCAGCACATGATCAGTACTGGTTTTAAGTTAATTATCTCTTTTCCTCCCTCACTTAAGTCAGAAATCACGTGGTCCTGGTGCAAGTGCATTTCCAGTTTGAAAAACTTCAGCACCAGACCTCAGTGATTTGCCAGAATGCCCACATGCTAGGGCTTGACACAGCAGCCTCCCTGGCATGCCAAGATAGGGGGTGTTGTGTCAAGAGGAGGGGCAGAAAGGAGTGGGCCCTTTGGGGAAGTGGCAGCAGATGGCAGGGTTTGGTGGCAGGCTGAAATCCGTCTGACTCAGGTCTGCCCTGCAGGGCTGTTAGCTCTCCTTTCCATGCCTGATGGGCCTTGGTGCTTTATCTTCTCTTTTATGTACTCTGTCGATCCTGTTCCACATCGGAGAGGGCAGTAAAGATGGGAATGATTCATTGGAGGATCCCAGGCTGCTGACTCCAGCTCAGGAGGTAGAGGCCTGACTTCAAATGTCGAGTTTCTGCTGGTCTCCAGGGCTCTCTTCTCTTTACTTTAATAAGAGCTACAGCTTGGTTGCAAGCAGTAGGCAGCTGTGTTTTTTTTTTCTTTTTTTTTGAGACGGAGTCTTGCTCTGTTGCCAAGGCTGGAGTGCAGTGGTGCAATCTCGGCTCACCACAACCTCCGCCTCCTGGGTTCAAGTGATCCTCCTGCCTAAGCCTCCCATGTAGCTGGGACTACAGATGCGTACCTCCATGCCCGGCTAATTTTTGTATTTTTAGTAGAGACGGGGTTTCACTATGTTGGCCAGGCTGGTCTTGAACGCCTGACCTTGTGATCCACCTTCCTCAGCCTCCAAAGTGCTGGGATTAGAGGCGTGAGCCACTGCGCCCGGCCTCTTTTTTTTTTTTTGTTCACAGCATTGGAAACTTGAGGTGAAAACAGTTCCCTTTTGATTAGGCTGGTTGGTATATCGAGCAATCTAGAAAACTTCAGGCTGGGCGCGGTGGCTCACACCTGTAATCCCAGCACTTTGGGAGGCTGAGGCAGGCAGATCATGAGGTCAAGAGATGGAGACCATTCTGGCCAACATGGTGAAACCCCGTCTCTACTAAAAATACAAAAATTAGCCGGGCGTGGCGGCACACGCCTGTAGTCCCAGCTACGTGGGAGGCTGAGGCAGGAGAATCATTTGAACCTGGGAGGCAGAGGTTGCAGTGAGCCGAGATTGTGCGACTGCACTCCAGCCTGGGCAACAGAGCGAGACTCTGTCTCAAAAAAAAAAAACAAAAACTAAGACATAAACACACACATTAGCCTGGGCCTACACAGTATCAAGATCATCAGTATGACTGTCTTCCACTTCCACATCCTGTCCCACTGGAAGGTCTTCTGGGGCAATAACACACATGGAGCTCTCCTATGATAGCAATGCCTTCTGGACACCTCCTGAAGGACCTGTCTGAGGCTGTTTTACAGTTACCTTTCATTTCTAAGTAGAAGGAGTATACTCTGAAATAACTATAAAAAGCAGTAGGTTTATTTACACCACCATACTACAAACACATGAGTAATCCATTGCGCTATAATGTTAAGACATCTGTGATGTCACTAGGCAATAGAAATGTTTTTAGCTCCATTATAATCTTATTAGACCTTGGCCAGGCGTTGTGGCTGACACCTATATGTAATCCTAGCACTTTGGGAGGCCAAGGTGGGCGGATCACTTTGAGGTAAGGAGTTACAGACCAGCCTGGCAAACATGGTGAAACCCCATCTCTACTAAAAATACAAAAATTAGCCTGGCTTGGTGGTGGGCACCTGTAATCCCAGCTACTTGGGAAGCTGAGGCAGGAGAATTATATGAACCCGGGAAGCAGAGGTTGCAGTGAAGTGAGATCATGCCACTGCATGCCACTGCATGTCACTCCAGCCTGGGTGACAAAGTGAGACTCTGTCTCAAAACAAAAAAACAAAAAAACAAAAAAACCAAGAAAGAAAACCTAATCTTACTGGACCATCATGATATTTGTGGTCTGTTGTGACTGAAATGTCATTATGCAGTGCATAACTATATATACTTTGTGGAATAATTGAATCAAGCCAATGAACATATTATCACTTCATGTAGTTATCATTTCTTTGTGGTGAGAACATTTAAAATCCACTGTTTTAGTCATTTTGATATATGCATTATTATTGACTACAATCACCATGGTGTGCAGTAGATCACCACAGCATATTCTTCGTGTCTTACTTGAAACCTTCCACCAGCATCATCTCTTTCTTGGTCTACTCCCACTGCCACCCTGTGGTAACCACCATCCTACTCTACTTCTGGAGGCTCATTCTTAATGTTCCTTTACAGGGGAAATACAATGGGTATGGGTGGTGCCTTGGGGCTACCAGTAACTAAGCGCACCCTGTAGGTAGACATGCACATGCTACAAATGGTGTTGCATGTAGGATAGCAGTGGGCCACGGTCCAGGGCAGGTGACAGCAGAAGTAACTCCCACTCCATCCTGTATCCCAAGCCTCCATGGGCTGGTGTGACCTCTTCTACTCACCTGATCCCCAGTTTCTCAACCTTGGTACTTTGACATTTGGGGTCAGATGGCTCTTTGTTGTGGGGGTCTCCTGTGCATTACAGGACATTTAGCAGCATTCCTGGCCACTACCTATTAGGTAGCACTCCTGTCCCCTGTGACAACCTAAAATGTTTCCAGGCATTACCAGATGTCTGCTGAGCAGAATCACCCCCGCTTTTAAGAACACTGACCTAAACATAGAGTGTCTTGGCAGAAACATTAACTAGGATATCATTTTGGGATGTCACAGCCTGACATCAGGACGCAGGCATTGTCTTGCTGCTACTGCTTCCCATATGCCAAATGCTTTCCCCAAACATTATTGCTTGTTTTAAAGCCAAGTTTATTTTTTTAATCTAAATTATATCTATACACAGGAAAGGAATGGAATGCAGTACCTTTTTCGTCAGAATGCACTTTTCTGTTGAGAATCATTTCCCCAGCATGAACAAAGCACGGGTTTGGAACGTGATAGGTGCTTAGTCCATGCTCACAATTGGCAGCAACATCTTCATAAAAACACATGTCCAAACTTTAAACTCAAAGCTATGTAGTTTATATGTGTTTATATAAAGGAGACCAGCAAATGCTTACTTAGTAGCTTCTAAGTGCCCAACATTGAGCTGGAATTTTAAACATTAAAATTATTCCTCTGATGGCCAGGCGCAGTGGCTCACGCCTGGAATCCCAGCACTTTGGGAGGGCGAGGTGGGCAGATCACGAGGTCAGGAGATCGAGACCATCCTGACCAACATGGTGAAACCCCCTCTCTACTGAAAATACAAAAATTAGCCAGGCATGGTGGTGCGTGCCTGTAAATCCCAGCTACTCGGGAGGCTGAGGTGGGAGAATCGCTTGAACTAGGGAGTCAGAGGTTGCAGTGAGCCGAGATCGCGCCACTGCACTCCAGCCTGGCCACAGAGTGAGACTCTGTCTCAAAAAAAAAAAAAAAGAAAAAAAATTATTCCTCTGATACATGAAGCAATCGATGCGCAAAGTGATTTTTGTGATTTAACATTTTTTCCCTCTAGACATAAAAAAAACATGTTTATGTGTAGTTGTTTGGAGTTATCCAATTATACATGCCAATTTACATTTCTATAAGAATGTAAAAGCCAAGAAAATGTGTCAGTAAAACGAACCTAAGTTGACAAGAACATTTAAATGCTAAAGGACTGATCTCCAAATGTAAGACTGTCAGTTGTTTTTAGCATTTTATCTTTATGTATTCAGAAATAATTGCATTAGCTTATTGCTTAAGAGATTTGCCTGAGGCTGGGCATGGTAGCTCATGCCTATAATCCCAGCACTTTGGGAGGCTGAGACAGAAGAATTGCTGGAGGCCAGGAGTTCGAGACCAGCCTGAGCAACATACTGAGACCCCGTTTCTACAAAAAATTTAAAAATTAGCTGGAGTTGGTGGAGCGCACCTGTAGTCCTAGCCACTCAGGAGGCTGAGGTGGGAGGACTGCTTGAGCCCAGGAGGTCGAGGCCGCATGCCATTGTACTCTAGCGTGGATGACAGAGTAACACCTTATCTTTAAAAAAAAATAGAGGGAGAGATTTGTCACACTACACAAGTCAGTTTTGAAATGTTTTATAACCCCATATAAAACCATGCCAAGTACATAATAATTGAGCGGATATTGTTGAACGTTGAATGTACCATCCTTAACATAATCCAGGAGAGGCAGAAGTTCCTGCTTATTTGGAATTTATCAGTCTTTGCCAAATAAACAGCATATAAATGAATGATAGTGTAATACGATCAATTTTAAAATGTAGTTACCAGGTTAACGTCTCATTTGGCTTTATTTTCTAAATAACCTATTTAAATCAGTGGAATCAATTCAGTAGAAAGGATTTGTTGAGTAGTGACCGTGAGTAATGCCTATATGATACCACTCAAAGTTAGTAAAACAGGCTGGGCGCAGTGGCTCATACCTGTAATCCCAGCTCCAGGCTGGGCACAGTGGCTCATACCTATAATCCCACCTGTAATCCCAGGGTGGGCAGATCACTTGAGTCCAGGAGTTTGAGACCAGCCTGGGCAACATGGTGAAACACCGTCTCTACAAAAAATACAAAAATTAGCCGAGGGTGGTGGTGCATGCCTGTGGTCCCAGCTACTTGGGAGGTTGAGGCAGGAGGATTGCTTGAACCCGGGAGGTGGAGGTTACAGTGAGCTGAGATTGCACCATTGCACTCCAACCTAGGCAACAAAGTGAGACCCCGACTGAAAAAAAAAAAAAAAGTTAATAAAACAGTTCTGAACATTTGAGGAAACAATAACATTCTTTATGATTTAATTTATACTTTCATCATAATGTCCTGTGTGTATAAACTGGAGGCTGCTCTAGGTCTGTGTTTCATGCTTGCTTAATAATTATTACCTGGGGAAGCTATTAAAACTTCTCATTTTGGCCGGGCGCGGTGGTTCACGCCTGTAATCCTGGCACTTTGGGAGGCTGAGGTGGGCGGATCACCTGAGGTCAGGAGTTAGAGACCAGCCGGGCCAAGGTGGCGAAACCCCGTCTCTACTAAAAATACAAAAATTAGCCAGAATGTTGGCGCGCACCTGTAATCCCAGCTACTCGAGAGGCTGAGGCAGGAGAATCACTTGAACCCGGGAGGCGGAGGTTGTAGTGAGCTGAGATTGTACCACTGCACTCCAGCCTGGGTGACAGAGCAAGACTCTGTCTCAAAAAAAAAAAAAAAAAAAAAAAATGCAGAGAGATCCCATATACCCTTTACTCAATTTTCTCCAATGGTAACATCTTGCAAACCTATAGTACAATATTATAACCAGGATATTGACAGTGATACAGTCACGATAGAGAACACTTCCATTATTGCGAGCATTCCTCACTTTGCCCTTCTGTAGCTACACTGCTTCCCTCTGACGCCCATCTCACTACCACAGCCTTAACTCCAGGTAACCATTAATCTGTTCTCCATCTCTATAATTTTGTCACTTCAAGAATGTTATATAAATAGAATTGTACAGTATATAACCTTTCAAGATTGCTTTTTTTTCCACTCAGCATGATTCTCTGGAGATCCATCCAAGTTATTGTGTATATTAATAGTTCATTTCTTTTTTTGCTTGAGTAGTATTTCATGGTATGGATATAGCAGAATTTAACCACCTATTGAAGGACATCTATCTTGTTTCCACTTTGAGGCTTTTACTGATAAAGTTGCTATGAACATTTGTGTATAAATTCTTATGTGAATATAAGTTTTCATTTCTTTGGAATAAATGTCTAGGAATACAGTTGCTGGGTTGTATGGTAGTTGCATATATAGTTTTTAAAGAAACTTCCAAACTGTTCTGGAGTAGTTATACCATTTTATAGTCCCATCTGCAATGTATGAGTGATCCAGTTTTTTTGTATCCTAGCCAGGATTTGGTGTTATTACTGTTTTTTATTTAAGCCATTCTGATAGGTGTATAGTGGCCTTAATTTGCATTTCCCTGAGGGCTAGTAATGTTGAATATATTTTCATGTATGCCATCTGTATATCCTCTTCAGTGAAATGTATTCTTATTATTTGCCCATTTTCTAATTGGATTTTTAAAAAATGTTTGTTCTTTCATAGAAAAATGTTTTTAATTTTGATGAAGTCCAATTTTTCCCTTACATAGATCATGCTTTTGCTGTCAAGAACTTGTTGCCTAAACCTGGATCCCAGATTTTTCTCTCCTATTTTTTTTCCTAAAAGTCTTACAGTTTTACATTTTACATTTAAGTACATAATTCATTTTGGTAGTACAATGTGTGAATACAATGCCTGAATCTTAGGTTGAGGTTCATTTCATTGCTGAGTGTCCAATTGCTCTGACACGTGAAAGTAATACAACACATGAATCTTAGGTTGAGGTTCATTTCATTGCTGAGTGTCCAATTGCTCTGGCATCATTTGTTGAAAAGGCTATCATTCCTCTATTGAATTGCCTTTGCACTTTCATCAAAAATTTAATTAGGCATACTTATATGGAATTATTTCTGGGTTCTCTGTTGTCTTCCAGTGACGTATATGTTTATGCCTCCACCAACACTACACAGTCTTGATTACTGTATTGATGTAATAGTCTTGACATCAGGTAGACTGAGTCCTCATACTTTATTTATTTAGAGACAAGGTCTTGCTCTCTTGCCCAGGCTGGAGTGCAGTGGCATGATCTTGGCTCACTGCAGCTTCAGCCTCCCAGGCTCAAGCAATTCTCCTTCCTCAGCTTCCTGAGTAGCTGGGACTACAAGTGCGTACCACCATGCCCGGCTAATTAATTTTTTTATATTTTGTAGAGATGGAGTTTCACCATGTTGCCCAGGTTGGTTGAACTCCTGAGCTCAAGTGATCCTCCCGCCTTGGCCTCCCCAAATGCTCAGATTATAGTCATGAGCCGCTGACTTGGCCCCATCTACATTTTAGAATAATCTTGACTATATTTGGAAAAAAAACTTTTAATAGGATTTGTTTTAAACATGTATATCAATTTAGGGATAATTGAAATCTTTATTTCTATTCGTTTATTCAGAGCTTTGATTTCTGTTATCAGTGGTTTGTAGTTTTCGACATACAAGTACTGTGCATGTTTTAGATTTCCCTCCAAGTATTTTTTTTTGAGTAATTGTAAATGGTATTGTATTTCTAATTTATACCTATATATGTTCATTTCTAGTATATAGATACACAACTGATATTTGTATACTTGTATTCTGTGGCCTTGTTGAACTCAATTAATTAATTAATGACTGGGTCTCTCTCTTTTGCCAAGGCTGGAGTGCGGGTGCCAACATGGCTCACGGCAGTCATGACCTTCCGGGCTCAAGCATTCCCTCTGCCTCCTGAGTAGCTGGGACTACAGGCATGTGCCACTATGCCTGGCTAATTTTTTTATTTTTGTAGAGACGAGGTCTTGCTGTTTTGCCTGGGCTAGTCTTAAACTCCTGGACTCAAGCAGTCATCCCACCTCAGCCTGCTAAAGTGCTGAGATTACAGGCATGAGCCGCTGAGTCTGGCCTAAGAATTTATTAATTCCAGTTTTTTTGTAGATCCCTTGGGATTTTCTACATAGACTATCATGTTGCCTAAAAATACGAACAGTTTTATTTCTTCCTTTTGATCTATATGCCGTTTATTTCTTTTCCTATTTTTATTACACTGGCTAGATCTTCCAGTAGTTTGTTGAGTAGGAGAACACACTGCCTTGCCTTGTTCCTGATCTTAGGGGAAAATACTGAGTCTTCCACCATTAAGTATGTCAGCTGTAGGTTTTTTGTAGAACTTTTTCATCAACTTAAGAAAGTGTCCTCTATTCCTATTTTTCTAAAATTTTTTATCATGAAAGGATGTTGAGTTTTGCCAGATGCTTTTTCTGCATCATTTGATACGATCACATGATTTTTCTTGATTAGCCTGTTAATATGGCAGATTACATCGATCAGTTTCTGAATGGTGAACCAGCCTTGAGTCCCTAGAATGAGACCCACTTGGTCATGGTATATAATTCTTTTTATAAATTGCTGAATTCAATTTACTAATATTTTGGTAAGGATTTTTGAGCCTATGTTTGTGAATGGTATTGATCTATAGTTCTCTTTTTTGTACTGTCTTTGGTTTTGGGACCTGGGTAATACTAGCTTCATCAAGTGAATTGGGAAGTGTTCCTTCCTCTTCTGTGTTTTAGAAGAGTTTGTAGAGAATTGGTGTTGATTCTTCTTAAGACACTTAGTAGAATTCTCCAGTGAAACCATTGGGCCTTGATACATATTTGGCGGGGGGAGGGGAGCGGAGTTTTTTAGTTATGAATTTAATTATAAATCATTATAGGCTGGGCGCGGTGGCTCACGCCTGTAATCCCAGCACTTTGGGAGGCCGAGGTGGGCGGATTACTTGAGGTCAGGAGTTCGAGACCAGCTGGGCCAATATGGTGAAACCCCATCTCCGCTAAAAACACAAAAATTAGCCGGGAACAGTGGCAGGCACCTGTAATCCCAGCTACTCAGGAGGCTGAGGCAGGAGAATTGCTTGAACCCAGGAGGCGGAAGTGGCAGTGAGCTGAGATCGTGCCACTGCACTCCAGCCTGGGTGACAGAGTGAGACTCGGTCTCAAAAAAAAAAAATCATTATGAAGATCAAATTATGTATTTCATATTGAGTGAGTTGTGGTATTTAGTGTTCCTGAGGAAGTGGTCCATTTCATCTAAGTTGTCAAATTGATATATGTAGAATCGTTCACAGCATTCCCTTATCCATTTGATATCTGCACAGTCTGTAGTGGTATCCTAATTCATTCTTGATATTAATAATACATGTCTTATCTTTATTTTGTCCATTTTTGTCAATTTTATTGGTCTTTTCAAATAATCAGCTTTTTATTTCTTGACTTTTCTCTATTTCTTTGTTTTCAATTTTATTGATTTCTGCTCTTTATTTTTCCTTCTTCTGCTTGCTTTGAGTGTATTACGCTCTTCTTTTTCTAGGTTCTTGAGGTGAAGTTTAGGTTATTGATTTGATAGTTTTTCTCTTTTCTAATATAAGCATTTAGTGCTTAAATTTCCCTCTCAGTGCTGTGTTAGCTGACGTGTCCCACAAATTTTGATATGCTGTATTTTCTTTCAGTTCAATGTATGTAATTTTTAATTTCCCTTGAGATTTTGTCTTTAAAACATGGATTATTTAGAACTGTGTTGTTTAGTTTCCAACTGTTGTGGAGATTTTCCTGTTACCAATCTTACTGATTTCTAGTTTGTATGATTTTGGTTCTTTTAAATATTTTGAGATTTATGGCTCAGGATATGATCTGTATTGGTCTATGGTACGCATGATGACTTGGAAAGAATGTGTATTCTGCTGTTACTGGATGGAGTGCTCTATAAATGCTAATTAAATCCTGTTGGCTGATGGTATTGTTAAGTTCTTCTATATCCTAGTTGGTGTTCTGTTTAGTTGTTCTGTCAATTCCTGACAGAGGAGTATTGAAGTCTTCAACTATAATTTTGGATTTGTCTGTCACTTCTTTCAGTTTTATCAGTTTTTTGCCTCACATATTTTACAGCTCTGTTGTTTGATGCATATACATTGAGGATTGCTATGTCTTCCTGGTAGATTACCCTTTTGTTTTTATGTAATGTCCCTTTCTCTCTGTCTCTGGTAAATTTCCTTGCTCTGAAGTCTACTTTATCTGATTTTTTAAAACTTATTTTTGATTCCCTGCTTTGGGAATCAAACTCAGTTTTATAACTGAGGTTATTCTTCCCTTCTCTTTTTAAGGAATATATTATTCGAGTGCAAAGAGGAATTTCTGTGGAAAACAGCTGGCAGGTAAGCATCTTTTTTTTTTTTTTTGTCAATTAGAAAAATATTTAAATGCGTGACTAAAACCCTGACTTGGGGCCTCTGAAAGTCTGGAAAAATCAGAACATGCATAAATATAAATCATGTTTCTTTTAGCTATAAACTTTTAGCTTTAAGACAAGTATGATAAGAGTCTTTCCTGTCCCCAGTTGTTTGGTTAAATTGTGTGTGATTGATATTACTATGGAGGGTATCTAGGAATTTGTTCCCCAGCTCAACCCAGGGCAAATAGTGTATGCAAATTACTTGTTTTCTTTCTAGAAATTCACACCTTCTCCCCTGTAGCTATGGTTTGAGTTCAGTCTACCAGGTAGAAAGGTGAGATTGAGTCTTGGTTATTGTACAGTTTGGGCCACTACATTTTATGGATCTCAGGTCCACTCATGGGCAGCTTCTGGTGCTAGCTCCCTCATTGTCTCTAGGGGAGGGTCTTCTTGGGGCCCCAGGCTCTGCTTTCTTCAGTGGTGGCCTCAGAGAGAAAAGAATTCCTGGACAGATCGAGAGGTCCTTCCCATCTGAGTTGACTTACAGAGGGTGGCTGAATTCTGCATAGGGGCCCTTTCTTTCCTGTTTTAGTAATTATAATTACCACCTCCACCTCCCCGCAACACTTCTTCTCTCCCAAAAATCTTACCTTCTCCTTCACAGCCCAGCTCAAACTTTAACCTTCTACCTTAAGCAGCCTCTTACACACAGTTGTCCACACTTGGTCTTTTCTTTGCCTGAAATTTCAAACTACTGTTTGTTTGAATAATTATTATATTTAACATCTATTGAGCATGTATTAAGTGTTCACTGGTTTAAGCACATTAATTCACTTAACCTTTTAAAAATGTCCTATGTGGTAGTATTGTCCTCATTTTACATTTGTGAAGTAAGTAACTGTCTAAGGTCACAGTTAGATCATTGGCAGAGTAGAGTTGGAATTTGCTCATTCTCTGTGGTTAACCACTCTACGATCTTTTGCTTCTTGGCTCTTATCAGGGATGACCTTATATTTAACTTTTTGATGTATATTTGGCAAACAGGGCCAACAGCAGTGTCCTACCAGAAAGATCAACCCTTGGTGCAGTTTTCTAGATCCATTGCATTAGAAACCCAGGAGTACTCAACAAAAATGTAGACTCTTGGGCCCCATCCTAGACCTACTGATCAGATTTTCAATGGGTGGGGTTGTAGGGGCAGAGAGGTGTGATACCTTTCTTCACCCATGGTAATGGTTGTGGCCAACACTCCTATAACAGAAGACAGATTAATAAGGGAAAAGCATAACAAATTTATTTAATAAAAGCTTTTTTTTTTTTTGAGACGGAGTCTTGCTCTGTCACCCAGGCTGCAGTGCAGTGGCACGATCTTCGCTCACTGCAAACTCCGCCTCCTGGGTTCACGCCATTCTCCTGCCTTAGCCTCCCGAGTAGCTGGGACTACAGGCACCCGCCACCACGCCCAGCTAATTTTTTTGTATTTTTAGTAGAGACAGGGTTTCACTGTGTTAGCCAGGATGTTCTCGATGTCCTGACCTCGTGATCCGCCTGCCTCGGCCTCCCAAAGTGTTGGGATTACAGATGTGAGCCACTGTGCCTGACCAATCAAAGTTTTATGTGACACAGGAACTTTCAGAAATGAAGACCCAAAGACCCGGGGAAAACTGTCCATTTTTATGCTTGATTTGATGAAGAATGGATAGCCATGTAGAATGTGATTGAACAAACAATTTCTTTATGTTTTTATTTTTATTTTTTTGAGATAGGGTTTTGCTCTGTGGCCCAGACTGGAGTGCAGTGGTGTGATCACAGCTCACTTCAGCCTCGACCTCCTGGGCTCAAGTGATCCTCCCACTTCAGCCTCCTGAGTAGCTGGAACTATAGGCAGGTGCCACTATGCCCAACTAATTTTTGTGTGTTTTTTATAGAGATGGGGTTTGGCCATGTTGCCCAGGCTGGTCTGGAACTCCTGAGCTCGAGCAATCCTCCTGCCTTAGCCTCCCAAAGTGCTGGGATTGTAGGCATGAGCCACCATGCCTGGCCTTGTCTGTTCTTCTTTTTTTAATTTTTAGTTTTGTAGAAAAGGGGTCTTGCTATGTTGCCCAGACTGGTCTTTAACTCCTAAGCTCAAGGGATCCTCCTGCCTTTGCCTCCCAAAGTGCTGGGATTGTAGGTATGAGCCATTGTGCCTGGGCCTGTCTGTTTTTCTTGGTCTGTCCGTGTAGCCTTCCTTCCTCCTGGGTATGGGGCAGGACCCCTTTAGAATGAGAGTCCTCAAGGGAGAAGGGAGAGAGCAACCTCTAGGTTTTATGGCTTACTTTGTGAGAGGTAGAGGGGCTAGAGACAGGAGGGCAGAAGACCAGAAAGAATAACTCATTTGTGAGCCCTTCTTTTTTTTTTAGACAGAGTCTCATTCTGTTGCCCGGGCTGGAATGCAGTGGAGCGATCTCTGCTCACTGCAATCTCTGCCTCCTAGGCTCAAGCGATTCTAGTGCTTCTGCCTCCCGAGTAGCTGAGGCTACAGGTGCTCGCCACCATGCCCAGCTAATCTTTGTATTTTTAGTAGAGACGGGTTTCGCCACATTGGCCAGGCTGGTCTCGAACTCCTGGCCTCAGGTGATCCACCCGCCTTAGCCTCCCAAAGTGCTGGGATTACAGTCACAAGCCACTGTGCCCAGCCCATTTCTGAGGCCTTCTAATCTCCTTTAGTTCAAAGTACTTAGCATGCCAAAGTACCATACTGGGATATCATTTTCTGAGCCCCGATAGGGTTCTAGGTGATATCCAGGTAATACTTTTCTGCACATTAACATGTGAAAATCACCAATAAAGGTTAAAGTCAAACTATTCAAACCAAAATTATTTTCTTGATCAGGGCCTGAAGAACTAGTAGAATTTGACTATAGCCTAATCAATGGCATTAATACAACTGAGAAAGAATGTGTAGACAATGGAAGGTGGACTGTCTGTCAAGAGGGGGAACCCTGGGGAATCAGGGCGATGTATGTGTGGCAGCTCTGCCTGCAATGCAGTCCAGTCTCCAGGGTGGTGGGAGCTCACCTGGGGAAAGTTTGACCCAGGACAAAGGTGAAATGGCCTCAAAACTGTCCATTTCCTCTTGCTTTGATTCCATGCTCAGTAAAACTTTTTTTTTTAAGTCATTCATCTTTCTAGGTGCCTGGTTAATAAGAAAGACAATTGAAGGGCTGTTTGCCCTGAAAACAAATATTCTCACTTATCTCTTGGCATCTTGTGAATTTGACAGGTATTAACCAGTTTCCCATGGCCCAGCCAACGCTTGGCACTGCTAAGTCTGTTTTCTAGGCTTGTCAGGTTAAACAGTTAAGCACCAGGTATAAGCCCTACTACCCTTAGCACAAGTGCCTGAGCTCTAGAGTGCCAATATTACTAATTCTAATACATATTAAATAAAGAAATGAAAAGAGATAGTCTTTGCTGAATCAAAACACTACTTCTTGTCTCTTACAGATTGTTAGAAGATACAGTGACTTTGATTTGCTTAACAACAGCTTACAGGTAAATGTTTTGAAATTCTAATTACACACATTGATTACTTGGGGTGTCTAAAAAACTGGCTGGAGTCGGGGCACGGTGGCTCAACGCCTGTAATCCCAGCACTTGGGGAGGCCAATGCGGGTGGATCACCTGAGGTCAGGCGTTCAAGACCACCTGACCAACATGGAGAAACCCCATCTCTACTAAAAATACAAAATTAGCCAGGCGTGGTGGCGCGTGCCTGTAATCCTAGCTACTTGGAAGGCTGAGGCAGGAGAATCACTTGAACCTGGGAAGCGGAGGTTGTGGTGAGCCGAGATCGCACCATTGCACTCCAGCCTGGGCAATAAGAGTGAAACTCTGTCTCAAAAAAAAAAAAAAAAACAAAACTGGTTGGAAATGGCAATATCAGAAACAAGAAATTAGCACATTTCCCTGTCAAAGAAAATAAATTCATACTTTATACAGATGATGTAAAGTATTCCCAAAAATAAACTTTTGGGAATCAACATGTGATTTATAATTAATAGTCACCTTGCAACCAAGTATTATTGTGCCAGACTGTATTCTTACCACAGTCATAGGAGGCTGACGTAATATCTCCTTTTAACAGATGTGGAATGATTGCGTGGATTGCTAGTGTTGTTCACTTAGGTGGAGCTGGGACTCTGAATCTCTTCATTGAACTAGGCTACATATCAGCTCTGCGGATCAACATGCAGCAGTAACTGAGAGTCTCAACCTTTTTCTGTTTAACTTTTTTATCCTAAATATGTAGTTAGAAATCCCTTTGTTTTAAATGTTCCTAACTTGAGGGCCATAATGGGAAGAAGCATGAGCTGGAAGGTCTTCATCTAGAAACACAGCCAGTGTTGGTAATGGTTAAAGGGTCCAAGAGGGGCTTTAGCACCTTAGGAAGTCCTGCCAATACCCGCCATGTCTTCACTTGGCAGGCTGGTCTTCAAGTGCCTTGGATTACTGAAGACTATTGTGCTCTTGTGTGTCATACTTCAGGTTTGATTGGTAACATAAAACCCTTTAAACCTGAGGAAGAGTGCACGGCTTATGAGGTAAAGGACTCAGCCAGGAGGGAAAGGACTGCTCCCGTCATTGGTGAGCTAGCCGTTATCGCTCATTCTGAGGGACCTCTGATCTTGCCCATAAAGGTCAGGAGGACTGTGCACTAGGAGGAAGCGTAATACTTCCTTTCCTTCAGAAGGCCACGTTTTGTTGGTCAGACTTCAGAAAATAAGCATTTGGGCCACACGTCGTGGCTCACTCCCGTAATCCCAGCACTTTGGGAGGCTGAGGCGGGTGGATCACCTGAGGTCAGGAGTTCAAGACCAGCCTGGCTAACATGGCGAAACCCTGTCTCTACTAAAAATACAAAAATTAGCTGGGTGTGGTGTGGGCGCCTGTAATCCCAGCTACTCAGGGGGCTGAGGCAGGAGAACCGCCTGAACCCAGGAGGGGGAGGTTGCAGTGAGCCAAGAATGCACCACGTTGCACTGCATCCTGGGCAATAGAGCAAGACTCTGTCTCAAAAAACAAACAAACAAAAAAGGAAATAAGTATTTGTACAGCCCACACTTTAACATTATTTATAATGCTGCTGAAAGCATGAATGCCTTGTTTTCCTTTTGAAGGAAGGGGCCTGAGTATCTGCAGATGATTATGTATTGCCATACTTGTCATGCATTTGACACATAATGTCTTTTTGTGTTTTAATTTTAGTATGACCCATTTGAGTCTTCAGATAGAATATTGGCAGACATCAGATTCTCATCAGTGGGTTTAATTGGTTTTATTTATGGATTTTAATAGCATCTTTGCACTCAGACAAGAGCTGGGCCTATGATGACATTGTAGATAAGGTATCAATGTGCAGTTTATTCCAGCAGTGGATTTTCTCCTCAAGCCCTCCTCTCCCCAGTGCAGTGGCCCATGTGACATTTCCACAGTGGTGTAAGCATTTGGGAATTAACAGTGGGCCTACTAACTGTTTCTGCCTTTATGCTCAAGCGAACCTTTGCTTGTGCATAAAGGGGGCGTGATCTTTGTACAATGTCATTCAGCCAGGCCGAGTAAGAATTGTGGGAGAAATATTTTTGAAATTGAAATTGCCTAGACTTAGCCTCTAAGAATAGAGGGTGGGGAGGGGAGTTTTATCTCTCATTTACTCATACTTTGGGGTGATAAAGTTTCTCCACAACTCTTCACTTATGGCCTTTTTAATATAGTGAATTTTATGCTTGCTTCAGTGTAATTTTACCTTTTAAAATGGGGACTTTCAATGTGCATCTTATTTCAAATGCAAATATCCCCATGTATTGATGTTGGCTTATGTTGGGCAGAATATGGTCAGACATCATTTCAGTGGGAGGTTTTTCTGGATTCAAGTAAACAAACAGAAGAAAGCACATACAGCTTTTTGGCAGTGAAATAATTTAAAACAATATCCATAAAACAGACCAAAAAGACTCAAACCTCAGAATAAAACTGTGACCATGATTTTCAGTGTCCAATTACCCTTTTGACAGATAAATGAGTTCCTGCTGAAGAAAGAGAAATATAATACACATATGCAGAGTTGGACACATGTCTGAGTCCAATAGGAACATGTCTAAGTGAAAAAAAAGCAGAATGCAAAATTATATATGCCATATAATATAATTACAAGAAATGTTTGGAAAACAGGATTGCAAGTAAATATGCCAAAATGTTAATGGTGATCCCCAGGTGGCAGAATTATAGGTTATGTCTTTTTCTGTTTCTTTGTTTTGTTTTGTTTAATGTTCTGTACTTTCCAAGTGCTCCACAAACAAGCACATGTAGGCTATCTAAGTGGAAAAACAGAAAAAAGCTGCTTTTTCTTTTTTTTTTGAGATGGAGTCTCACTCTGTCGCCCAGGCTGGAGTGCAGTGGCGCGATCTTGGCTGACTGCAAGCTCCGCCTCCCGGGTTCACCTCATTCTCCTGCCTCAGCCTCCCGAGTAGCTGGGACTACAGGCGCCCGCCACCACGCCCGGCTAATTTTTTGTATTTTTAGTAGAGACGGGGTTTCACCGTGTTAGCCAGGATGGTTTCAATCTCCTGACCTTGTGATCTGCCTGCCTCGGCCTCCCAAAGTGCTGGGATTACAGGAGTGTGCCCAGCAAAAGCTGCATTTTCTAAAGTTTTTTTTTTTTGAGATGGAGTCTCGCCCTGTCACCCAAACTGGAATGCAGTGGCGTGATCTTGGCTCACTGCAATCTCTGCCTCTTGGGTTCAAGCAATTCTCCTGCCATAACCTCCCGAGTAGCTGAGATTACAGGCACGTGCCACCATGCCCGGCTAATTTTTGTATTTTTAGTAGAGACGGGGTTTCACTGTGTTGGCCAGGCTGCCAGACTTTTTATAGTGAGCATATTTTGTGGAAACAATGAAGAAAAATCACCATCTTATTTTAAATGCAACATCAGATTAGCAGCCATCTAGGGAGACAGCATACAACGAAGGGAAAGAAGCAGGCTGTTGAAATGTTGGGAACTGGGCAGAGAGAGAAAGAACTCAGTCTCTGTTCCTTAGACTTGAGAAGGAACCCAGGCCCTGCCCCTTCCAGTGTTGAGACCTTGAGTCCGTCATTTCTTTTTTTTTTTTTTTGAGACGTAGTCGCTCTGTCGCCCAGGCTGGAGTGCAGTGGTGCATCTCTGCTCACTGCAAGCTCCACCTCCCAGGTTCACGCCATTCTCCTGCCTCAGCCTCCTGAGTAGCTAAGACTACAAGGCGCCCGCCACCATGCCCGGCTAATTTTTTGTATTTTAAGTAGAGATGGGATTTCACTGTGTTAGCCAGGATGGTGATCTCCTGACCTCGTGATCCGCCCACCTTGGCCTCCCAAAGTGCTGGGATTACAGGCGTGAGCCACAGCGCCTGGCCGAGTCCATCATTTCTTCTCTTGGGTTTCACTTTCGCCGCTGAAATAAAGGGGTTGAACTAGATGACTTCTGAGGTCTCTTATAGCACAAATGTTTTGTAATTAGAATTTTACTGCCCATTGTTGACCTTGGAGAGACTTACTGTACTCCAGGGGACAGCAGGGGGTTGAGACAAATTGAGGGTCTGTTGAAAGCTTAGAACTCCCTAGGATACTGACTGGAATATGGTTGAAGGCAATTTACAGATCATGAAGATCTGATGTTGGAAGTAAAGAGCAATGAACAGATTGAGGTTGAAAGTTTTTCATTCCTGTCTTAGCCCAGGGCCTTTGTATGTTCTGTTTCCTCTGCCTGGAAGTTGCTGTAAGCTTGTGGCCAGTGCCATCTCATCCCCTGACGTGGTGGCTCACGCCTGTAATCCCAGCACTTTGGGAGGCCGAGGTGGGTGGATCACGAGGTCAGGAGATCGAGACCATCCTGGCTAACATGGTGAAACCCCGTCTCTACTAAAAATACAAAAAATTAGCAGGGCGTGGTGGCCGGCGCCTGTAGTCCCAGCTACTCGGGAGGCTGAGGCAGGAGAATGGCGTGAACCCAGGAGGTGGAGCTTGCAGTGAGCCGAGATCGCACACTGCACTCCAGCCATGGCGACAGAGCGAGACTCCGTCTCAAAAAAAAAAAAAAAAAGTTTTCCCTCCAGATAAAAGCTAGTTTTCTGAAACTGTAATATAGTTTGTCATATAATTTTGGGCTCTAAATCCCAATTTGGGAATCATTCCCTGCTTTCCATTTTCTTTCTTTTTTTTTTTTTGTTTTGAGACAGTCTCACTCTGTTGCCCAGGCTGGAGTGCAGTGAGCCGAGATCGTGCTCACTGCAACCTCCACCTCCCGGGTTCAAGCGATTATCCTGCCTCAGCCTCCCAAGTTGCTGGAATTACATGCCCCCACCATCATGCCTGGCTAATTTTTTTGTATCTTCAGTAGAGATGGGGGTTTCATCATGTTGGCCAGGTTGGTCTCGAACTCCTGACCTCAGGTGATCCACCCACCTCAGCCTCCCAAAATGCTGGGACTACAGGTGTGAGCCACGGCGCCTGGCCTCCCCTTTCCATTTTCACTCTGCAGTTGTGCATAGAACTCCGGGGACTCCTCTGCTGGCTGTCTTGTTCTCTTTTCCTTCTATAAGGAACTCAAGAAGGGAATCCATAGGGCATGTTAAAGAGGAAGGTAGTGAAAGTGAGATGATGAGGCATCCTGGCTTGAAGTCATCAGTGTGGAGGTGTCTAGGAAATCAGTGGCTTAGAGACTTTATTATTCCATGTGTAGTATTTTTTTCCCTCCCTTCTAATTAGCCATTGGAATTCTAAATTTTCTATTCTGTAATTGGTAAGCAGTTTAGAAATTCTAGGAGAAAGCTGAAAGAGAAAGTAAGTGTCTCTTGAATAATCTTTTTTAAGAGATGGGATTTTAAAATAACACATATGTTGCATAGTCTGAGTACCTTTAGGAATTTTTTTTGTGAGATCTTAAACTTAGGGCAGGAAAACCACCTCCGGTCTGTCTGACATAGCAGGGACATTATAATTGCAGCTGTTGGCAAAAGAGCTCTTTGTTTCACCTGACGGTTTGAAAGAACTGATGGGATGTCTGGGCAGAGCAATACATTTAAAAAAGTGAAATGAAGCTTGACAAACTGGGTATGTTGAAGCTTGGAAGCCACAAAGTTCAAAACAGATACTTTATGAAATTCACTCTCACATCCCCACAATGAAAGAAAAGGAGCCAGAATATTGGGATTTGAATCCAATGATGTCAGATGTGACTCCTTTCTGAGTGATGTGGACTCAGCTGGGGATGCTGCTATGCGGTAGTGCAGGCAAATCTGTCGATACTGGGTAATGGTATTTTAAAAATCCTTGCTCCATATACAATCAGTTTGATAAACAAAAGCACTTTTCTTTCTTTAATTGAAAAAAAAGTAGTAAATGAGCACTGTAAACATTTCACAGTAGAGAAATAAAAATTAATGAACCAACCCACTCCTAGAAATGGTTATTGTTAAGCAGTTGGTGTGAGTCCTCCCAGACATTTTTTCTGTGCCTGTGTAACCATATCCCGGGCTAAGACAGCAGGCTCTCAGATAACACCGTTTTGTTCAACATTGTTTGGTTGTAATGTTGATGAGAAAAAAATAAATCTATCCACGACCAAGGCCACTGTGTGAATGGAGTTTGCACTTTCTCTCCATGTCTACGTGGATTTTCTCTGGGTACTCCAGTTTCTTCCCACATCCCAAAGATGTACAGGTTAGGTGAACCAGCATGTCTGCATAGTCCCCATGTGAGTGTGGGTGTGTGTGAGCGCACCCTGACATGGGATGGGTTCCGGCCACCTGAGACCCTAAACTGGAAACATGGCATAAATAATTAACTTGTTAAGTTGGCAAAATCTCACCAATGCTAAGCATTATAATTGCTTAAGTAATTTTCCATTTCTTCTGGATTCTTTAATTACATTTTAATATCTATATAATTGCTTTAAGTAATGAATGTTAAGTGCAAAAATACACCAAGTTAACAACAGCTACCCTCCAAAATAATAATTATCTTGTTTTTATTAATCTTTCTTAAATTATATATAGGTAATATTTATTTCAATGTTTATTATTAGACATGTTTTAGGTCTTTAGAAGTTTGCTGATGTTTTTGTGACCAGAAATATGCTGGAGGAAGTTAATTCTTGTTTATATAAATTAGCCTGGCCGGGCGTGGTGGCTCACGCCTGTAATTCCAGCACTTTGGGAGGCTGAGGTGGGTGAATCACTTGAGATCAAGAGTTTGAGACCAGCCTGGCCAACATGGTGAAACCCCATCTCTACTAAAAATACAAAAATTAGCCAGGCGTGGTGGCAGGCACCTGTAATCCCACTTACTCGGGAGGCTGAGGCAGGAGAATTACTTGAACCCAGGAGGCGGAGGTTGCAGTGAGCCAAGATTGTGTCATTGCACTCCAGCCTGGGTGACAAGAGCGAAACTCTGTCTAAAAATAAATAAATAAATAAAATTAATTAATTAGCCTATGGTAAAATTAGTCTTGTTATTCATTTTGCTTAAAGTCCCAGTTTGTAAGAACCTATAGACAACATTAAGTGATAACTTAGCATACACACACGTAAATGAGATGATATTCTGCAACTTCATAAAATAGTTTCAGGGAAGATACATCAGTTGTGTTTTAGGTAATATATTACCCTTTATTATTTATTTATTTATTTATTTATTTTTGAGACAGAGTCTCACTCCATTACCCAGGCTGGAGTGCAGTGGTGCCATCGTGGCTCACTGCAACCTTTGCCTCCTGGGTTCAAGCGATTCTTGTGCCTCAGCCTCCTGAGGAGCTGAAATTACAGTCGTGTACCACCATGCCTGACTAGTTTTTGTATTTTTAGTAGAGATGGGGTTTTGCTATGTTGATTAGGCTGGTATCTAACTCCTGACCCCAGGTAGTCCACTTGCCTCGGTCTCCCAAAGTGCTGGGATTACAGGCATGAGCCACTGTGCCCGGCCTACCCTTGATTTAATTCATCATGTCCTTGAACCAAAAAATAAAGTGATTGGCTTGGATGTGCAATAGCTAAGTGATGTACTTTCTTCATATGTATGCATTTTATTCAGCTAAAAAAGAAACTGCTATTAGATAAAGCCTAACTGTATAAATGAGGCAAATGATGTGAAATTTGATTCTTATTTGGAAATGAATTATGCTGTGATAGAAAATTTACTCTGTGTATGCTCTGACATATTTTCGTAATTATATTTGAGAAATTGGCAATTTAGAATTATCCGCCAACCTTTTCATCTTGTCCAGTATCAAGTTCAAGGTCTTCATTTGGCTGCATCATTGTTGTTTGAAAAATACAGAATGGAACAGTTAGGTTTGCCCAATTTAATGGTTTAGATTACATCCTTTTCTGAATTCAGGATGCCCTTCTCTTTAGACCTTACCCTCGATCAATACACATGCCACTGGACTGCTCTAATATAAGCACAAGTCTAGAATAGTACTACTCTTTGAAAGTGACTTTGCTCATTAAATTAAAATGCCGATCTCATGCTTTGCTTTTTATGTTTAAAAAATAAACTCACAGTCCCAGCTACTCGAGAGGCAGGCTGAGGTGGGAGGATTACTTGCAACCAGGAGTTCAAGTACATAGTGAGACCCTATCTCTTTCTAAAAAAAAAAAAAAAGAAAAGAAAGAAAAGACTAAAAGTTTTAAATAATGTGGAAAATGATAGTAGATTGAGTACCTGTATTTACTTTTTCTCCCTCCCGAAATCAGTCTAGAATAATAGTGGATTGTTTATATACACAAACACACTCTGAAGGACAAACAGAACAGGAGAAGAAAAAACCACAATAAAACACTTTAAGCTGAAAATCCAGTGGGTGAGAGCTAACTGATTAAGCAAATGTAGGAAGGCAGAATTCTGAGATGGGAAGCAGATAATCTCATTGGGTCTCAATTTATATCACAGAACCCCTGGAAGGTTCCAGCATTGGCAGTACCAGGTGCTGCCCCCAGAGTGGGGTGAAGGTCAAGGAGTTGCAAGTCTGTTTAAGAAGCAGTCAGATCCCCAAATCTCCCATGTCCGTACAACTTATGCCTGCCCTCCTCCCTCTAGCAAAAAACCGTAAGTTTATTTTCTGGAGAGGGTCAGTCTTTAGGCTGGGGTATGCAGGCACATTTGAAAACATGTACGTACTATACGTGAGGACCCCACTCCCTCCCTAGCTTCCTTCTTCCTCTCAACTCCCAGAATTCTGGCAGTCAGGCTTCAGACTTTTCAGGCAGGATATTAGAAGATTGTTTTAGAGGAATCTGTCCTGCCTAAGAGGAAAGAGCTAAAGGTTTGTCCAGTAAAACAGCTGCATAGGGTCATCTGGTAAAATAAAGCCCACAGTAGATAAATCCCAGGGCACTCACCCAGAGGTTCCAGTCAACTTTTGGTGCCCCACTCTTGAATATGGGCTGATAACCAAAGGGTCACCAGACTCCTACAGGACTCATTTTTGTTTCTTATTTAAATGTTTTCATTGGATTTGGACTTCATTTTTCTTCTTTTTTTTTTTTTTTTTTTTTGTGTGTGTGTGTGTGTGTGTGTGTGTGTGTGTGTGTGTGTGACGAAGTTTCGCTCTTGTTGCCCAGGCTGGAGTGCAGTGGTGGGATCTCAGCTCACCGCAACCTCTGCCTCCCAGGTTCAAGCGATTCTCCTGCCTCAGCCTCCTGAGTAGCTGGGATTACAGGCATGCATCACCATGCTCAGCTAATTTTTTGTGTTTTTAGTAGAGATGGGGTTTCTCCATGTTGGTCAGGCTAATCTCAAACTCCCGACTTCAGGTGATTCGCCTGCCTCGGCCTCCCAAAGTGCTGGGATTACAGGCGTGAGCCACCGCGCCCAGCCGGACTTCATTTTTTTAAGGAGTATGTAGACATAACTAGTCTGATCAGATATTAGCATATATATTTTGGTAGCCCTTTATTATTATTATTAGTAGTAGTAGTATTTGAGACAGAGTTTTGCTCTGTTGCCCAGGCTGGAGGGCAGTGGTGCAATCTTGGCTTACTGCAGCCTCCGCCTCCTGGGTTCAAGCAATTCTCCTGCCTCAGCCTCCTGAGTAGCTGGGATTACAGGCACCCACCACCTTGCCTGCCTAATTTTTGTGTGTTTAGTAGAGACGGAGTTTCACCATGTTGCCCAGGCTGGTTTTGAACTCCTGACCTCAGGTGATCCACCCACCTCAGCCTCCCATAGTGCTGGAATTACAGGAGTGAGCCACTGCTCGCGGTAGCCCTTTATTTTTATACCTAAGAACTAGTTTACTTTTTCTCCATGTTCAATACTTAGCTTTGGTAAAAATTTGCCGTGTTCTTCCTTATCTGTTTCAGAAGCATTAGAGTTTCACCTACTTGGTGTAAGTTGCTCTTTAATTGTCTTCCTGTGGATATGTTTTGTAGGACTCTCTGCTTTTTCTAAATTTCACTACTCACATCCCACAACATTATCTTCCCATAATTCTGGCAAAAAGGAGTCCTGGGATACCTCTGAAGTGTGGCCCTTAAATCCCAGTTCCTGTTCATACCTGACTCCCACCAAGAAAGACTTTTAACTTGAAAGTGACCAAAACAAATAGGAAAAAAAGGAACCATCAGGAAGCAGAAGGTATGCAGTGAGAAGAATGCTTTAGACTCTTGAGGAAGATTATCTTTTGTCTTCTCAGAGAGATAAGAAATGGTATTACATTCAAGGTGCTATTAAGGAAGAAAAAGAATAGAAAAGAGTACTTACAAATAAAAAGTAACAGTAGACAACTATTTAGAAGGGCTAAAAGATAAAGGAAATACTCTTTAAAAAAAAGAAAAGCGAAATACAAAAATTAGTCGGGCATGGTGGTGCACATCTGTAGTCCCAGCTACAGGTGTGTACCACTTGTAGAGGCTGAGGTGACAGGATTGCTTGAGCTTAGGAGGTCGAGGCTACAGTGAGCGGTGATCATGCCACTGCACTTTAGCCTGGGTGACAGGGTGAGAACCTGTCTCAAAAACAAAACAAAACAAAAAGAGCAGAAAATTAAAAAGATAAAATTACAGGAGCAGTCCAGGAAGTCCAACATTGAAAAAATAGGAGTTTCAGTAAAAGAAAGCAGAAGGCATGGAGGGGAAGAAATAATGACCTAACAATACAATAAAAGGCCAAATAACTTAAGGAGATTAGTTTTTAGTTTGAAAGGACTGAGTGCTCACCATGAGGGATGAAAACAGACACATGAAAGTCACAAACTGAGGTCATAGAGAAGATCCTGAAAGCTTATGGGAAAACAACAACAAAAAATGGATCAAGAATCATTATGATTAGCTGTGTGTGGTGGCGTGCACCTGTAGTCCCAGCTACTTGTGAGGCTGGGGTGACAGGATCTCTTGAGCTCAGGAATTTGAGGCGACAGTGGGCTATGATCACGCCACCACACTGCAGCCTGAGTGACAAAGCAAGACCCTATCTCTTAAAAAAAAAAAAAAGGCATCAATATGCTTGAACCTTTAACAGCAGCACTATAAACTAGAAGACAACCAAATATTTATTTAAAATTCTGAAGAAAGGCCGGGTGCAGTGGCTCACGCCTGTAATCCCAATACTTTGAGAGGCCAAGGCAGGCAGATCACTTGATGTCAGGAGTTCGAGACCAGCCTGGCCAACAGGGTAAAACCCCATCTCTACTAAAAATACAAAAATTAGCCGGGTGCAGTGGCACATGCCTGTAATCCCAGCTGCTTGGAGGCTGAGGCAGGAGAACTGCTTGAACCCGGGAGGCGGAGTTTGCTGCACTCCAGCCTGGGTGACAGAGGGAGACTCTGTCTCAAAGTAAGTAAGTAAAGAAAGAAATAGAAATAAAATTCTGAAGAAAATGTATCCCCAACTTAAAATTCCACATCAACACTAGCTATAAATCAAGTATAAGGGGAGGATAAAGACATCCTTATATATGCAAGGTTTCAAAAAAATGTATCTCCTGCTCTCCTTTTTAACGCCAACAGAGGGCCAGGCGCGGTGGCTCACGCCTGTAATCCCAGCACTTTGGGAGGCCGAGGTGGGTGGATCACGAGGTCAGGAGATCGAGACCATCCTGGCTAACACGGTGAAATCCCGTCTCTACTAAAAATACGAAAATATTAGCTGGGCATTGTGGCTGGCGCCTGTAGTCCCAGCTACTTGGGAGGCTGAGGCAGGAGAATGGGGTGAACCCAGGAGACAGAGTTTGCAGCGAGCCGAGATCACGCCACTGCACTCCAGCCTAGGCGATAGTGCGAGACTCCGTCTCAAAAAAAAAAAAAAAAAAAGCCAACAGAGGTTACACTCTACCAAAAACAAGGGAATTATGTACAAAAAATGAATGTAGGGGATACAAAATGGGGTTTAGTATGACAAAAGCAAAAACATCTCTAGGATAAGGATGAAAGGAGGTCCCAGGATGCCACCTTTGCAGCAGTGTAGGGACCGCCAGTCCTGCTTGGAGTAGGTTGTTGGACTCTGGAAGGTACCCTTCAAAAGATAAAACTGACGCAGCTGTGTATCTGAATGTGTTGAGAGAAGGCTTGGATGGAGA
This sequence comes from Homo sapiens, assembly GCF_000001405.40. Lineage (NCBI taxonomy): Eukaryota > Metazoa > Chordata > Mammalia > Primates > Hominidae > Homo > Homo sapiens. The sequence goes on from NC_000003.12 coordinate 58,381,534, forward strand.
CTTTCAAGTTGAATAGAAAACCAAAAAAAAAAAAAAAAAAGACTACAAGTTGCTGTAAAGGAAAAGTAAGCATGGCTCTAGCTCAGTTGTGAATATTATTTACTTAAGGTAAATGTGAATATTGTACCAAATCGAATTATAATATAATGATGTCAGGAGGATTAGGGACAGGATGTGTGTGAGATGAGGTTAGGATTGTGAAAGAGAACTTAATCCTCATCTTCCATAATGGGAAATCTACAGATAATGCCTAAAAATGAAAAATCAAGCCATGACAGTATGAGCATTCCCCATTGTCAAAAGATCAGCTGAGAGACTCGAACGTGGCTGTCTTAGGGGAGCAGAGAATGGTTATGTCACCTGGTAGCAGGGGTAAGGGGTGTCATGGGACTGCCAGTAATAATTTAAGAAAGTGAGTTACTCTTGAAATTATGTTTTTATGTAACTTTAGTAAAAATAAAAGCACATTAAAAAAATAAAGTTTTAAAATTACTATGCCTGGCCAGATGTGGTGGCTCATACCTGTAATCCCAGCACTTTGGGAGGCCGAAGCTGGTGGATCACTTGAGGTCAGGAGTTTGAGATCAGCCTGGCCAACATGGTAAAACCCTGTCTCTCCTAAAAATACAAAAATTAGCTGGGCGTGATGTCACATGCCTGTAGTCCCAGCTACTCAGGAGGCTGAGGCAGGAGAATCTCTTGAAGTCAGGAGGTGGAGGTTTCAGTGAGCCAAAATCGCACCACTGCACTCCAGCCTGGGTGACATAGTAAACTCCATCTCAAAAATAAAATAAAATATGCTTAATACAGTATTTTATCAATTCTAAATGCAGTTTTTCACAATTTTTATATCACTGAAATTAGGATGCATCTAAAATCTGCATTGTCTTAGGTTTAATGAAATATGATAGGTCAAGATTTTTGTGTTGATTCTTATTTGTGGATGACATGAGTGTAACTTTTTTTTTTTTTTTTTAAAGATTGCAGGCCTAAGTCTACCTCTTCCTCCCAAAAAATTGATTGGTAACATGGATCGTGAATTCATAGCTGAAAGGCAGAAAGGTCTTCAGAACTATCTCAACGTGATCACAACAAATCATATCTTGTCTAATTGTGAGCTGGTTAAGAAGTTTTTAGATCCAAACAACTATTCCGCAAACTATACTGGTAAGCGAAGGAATCTGTGAATTATGGTCACATGGCTAAAGAGGCACTGTCCCTTGCTGGAGATAACGTATGTGGGAGAAATGTTTTCTCAAAATGGGGATGTGTATACATTTGTTATAGCATATTATGAATTTACTAAGATTTTCTTGATTGTAGTTTACTGTAGATGTATAAGAAGAAAATAAGTTACTTCCAAAATATTTGTAAAGTCTGCACAGAAAAATATGGAAGAGAAATTATTGTATGTATACTTATACTCTTGCCTTTATTGTCTTCCCTGACAGAACAGAGAGTAAGTAATCTACAATAGGCCAGACGCGGTGGCTCATGCCTATAATCCCAGCACTTTGGGAGGCCAAGGCGGTTGGATCACCTGAGGTCAGGAGTTTGAGTCCAGCCTGGCCAACATGGTGAAACCCTGTCTCTACTAAAAATACAAAAATTAGCCAGGCATAGTGGCACATGCCTGTAATCCTAGCTACTCGGGAGGCTGAGGCAGGAGAATCGCTTGAACCCGGGAGGTGGAGGTTGCAGTGAGCCGAGATAGCACCACTGCACTCTAGCCTAGGCAACAGAGCAAGACTCTGTCTTAAAAAGATAATAATAATAATAATTAATCCACAATAACGCATACAGTAATTTTTATATTACTTTTGACCTCTAATCAACACCTTATACATACAATAATCTTAATCTGATTTGTATTTGGCTCTGTTTTTGTATTTACAATATGTTGTGTGTTCTGTTTTTTCTGGGAATTTACTTTAAACACAGCAGTGATTCAGAAGGGTCCTCTCTGTGTCTTCCTATTTGCTCCCTGAGACCCACTCAGTGCAAAGCATAGGAGGTCATTCTCTTCCAAATCTTTCCTGGATCAGGGCAGCCGCCAAGGTACTGTGGTTGAAAGGGCTTCTCTTCCAGTACCGATTACACTCAAAGCTGGCATGAATAACCTAAGCCTGATGTCAGCAGAATGAGAAACTAAATACTTAATACATTCTGGTGTCACTTTGAAAAGAACAGTAGAAACCATTGTTTCACCTGATTTGTTTAAAGAGAAACCATGCTTTAGAGACTTTCTAAGTGGAACTATGGATATTGTTACTTTGCTTGCTAAGAGAATACACCATATCAGATAATTGAGTCCTTAAAACATTGCTTTTGAAGTAATTAGAGAGAGGCATTTTTATTCCTATTTTATTCCTTTTATTTATTTATTCATACCCATTCATTCACCAAAATATTCCTATTTCAGAGAGGGGAAACAGATGTCTACTTGGCAGGCACCAAGTTTTTCTCCACAGTAGAATCACCTGGGGAGCGTTAGAAAAATTTCTCATGCCCAGGCTGCGTGCATGCTGATTAAATCGGAGTCTTGTGGTTGGAGCTTGTAGTCTGTAAAGCTTCCCAAGTGATTCCAATATGGAGCCAAGTTTGAAAACCACAGCCCTTGAGGCTGGTGACTCACAGTGTGGTTCTCTGACCAGCAGCATTGGCATCACTGGGAGCTTGTTGAAGGTGCAGAATTCAGTCCTCATCCCAGACTTCCTGAATCAGGATCTGATTTTAACAAGGTCCCCAGGTGATTTGCACGCACATTAAAGCGTGAGAAGCCTCACGCTAGGATGTACCTGCCATTTCCTAACCGAAGTGCTCTACAGGGCTAAGGAAAATGCCTTTCTAGAGTGTAACCAAGAGAAGGAAAGTTTATTTCAAACTCACACTTACTGTAAGTTACCAAATGGAGCAGTGAGTTGTTACAAGGATTCCATTCCTGCCTTCACTTGTTTTTTTTGTTCACGGAAGAGAAAAGATAGCACAGATAGGACTGGGGCTCTAGGGACAGCTTGAATTCTGTCAAAGTAGCATCTTTTGTGGCTTTCATTTCTCAGTGTTTCACCTTGATTGTTCCCAAAATTGTCAGACAGCAGGCCATCTGGACTGACTTGTCAAATCAGCCCTAACCCAGGCCCACTCAGTGGTTTATCTCCCTCATTCCCTGCGAGTGCTTGCTAATGTTCTCCTGAGGGCAAGCATCAAGGTGTAGTGCACGTGTAATGATGCCATTTATTCAACAAATGTGATGTGTGCTGGGTGTTGGGATGCAGGCACAAATAAATGTGTTCCTTGCTCTCAGGGAGCTGGTACCAGAAGTACATTGAGTCCCATGGGGTCAGAGCTAAAAGGGATCTTAGAGCAGATGTATCATGTCTAACCCTCTCTTTTCATGAATGAGTTCACCTAAGGCCCCCAGAGAGGGAGGGCCCTAGCCAGGATTGCACATTTGTGTGACTTTAGTCTGGTCTGAGTGTTTAAGTTAAAATGCTTTGTAACTCCTAGAAGGTTGTCTATTCTGACAGTTGTTGGTTCTCTGCTTTTTTCTGTACCTGCCCCACATGCTGTTGTTGTCTTTGATCTCTACTCCCCCTCCCCACCCCCAGGCCTCCAGCATGGTAGAGAGTCAGGAGTCCAAAGCAGATGTGGGCAGGGGTATAAAAAGACCACCAGAAACTCCTGCCGGAACCTGTGCTGGCTGCTATTCAGAGGGCACAATCCCGGAATTAAACAATAGGTGATGGATGCTGTTTTCAGAGAGATGTTGATTTATTTCACCCTTTGAATGAAATTTCGGAGTTTGTCTAGCCTCAAGGCTGACATACCAGCCACCTCAGGAAAAGGAAGCATAGGCTGCCACCTCCATGCCAGCTTGACAGGACCATTCCTGAGATTCACAGCATGGCCCACGGAACATACCCTGCACGCCTCTCACCTTGTGGCACTTCTCTAAGCAGGGCCGCTTTCCCTGTTTGTTTTTTGAGCAAGGGTCTCACTCTGTTGCCCAGGCTGGAGCGCAGTGGCACTATCCCAGCTCTGTGCAGCCGTGACCTTCTGGGTTCAAGTGATCCTTGCGCTCCAGCCTCCTGAGTAGCTGGGATTACAAGTGCACACCACCATGCCCAGCTAATTTTTTCATTGTTTGTAGAGAGGGGGTTTCACTATGTTGACTAGGCTGGTCTCAAACTCTTGAGCTCAAATGATCTGCCCACCTCAGCCTCCCAAAGTGCTGGGATTACAGGCATGAGCCACTGTGCCTGGCCCACTTTTCCCTTTTAATGTGGATAATGTCTCCACCTCTTCTCATTTTCCACATGGTCTGCAGTCACCACCCAGCTTCATTTCAGCAGGATTTGAGTTCTGTGTTCAAGTGGTGGCCAGAATCAGCAGAGCACTTTTCCTGGTCCTTGCTCTGATGGAGGGTGAGGGTGTCTTGTTGGAGGGGGACTGTGATGGCATTCTGCTCCCAGGGGATGGCTAACTGGGAGCTCTCAGGACATTGGCAGCTTCCTTCTCTCTTCCCTGGGTCCCCAGCCTGGGACTGCTGAGCCTTTCTTTCTTTTCCAGGTTTTCTCCAGAAGAGCCAATCCTCAGAAAGGAAATGTAGACCCTTGGTCTTCTGTGAGGGAGTTGTGAGGTGTTCATTTGAATTAGAAAGTCTAATTGAGGGCCAGCTGTTGTGCAGGGAAAACAGGTATCTCCTGGTCCTGAGAAGTTTGTGTTGAGAATCTATCTCACACATATATCCCCCTTACTTTTTTTTTTTTTTTTTTTTTTTGAGACAGAATCTCACTCTGTTGGCCAGGCTGGAGTGCTGTAGCGTGGTCTTGGCTCACTGCAACCTCAGCCCCCCAGTTCAAGTGATTCTCCTGCCTCAGCCTCCCGAGTAGCTGGGATTACAAGCACCTGCCACCATGCCAAGCTAATTTTTTTGTATTTTTAGTAGAGATGGGGTTTCACGATGTTGGCCAGGCTGGTCTTGAACTCCTGACCTTGTGATACGCCCACCTCGGCCTCCCAAAGCGCTGGGATTACAGGCATGAGCCACTGCACCTGGCCTACAATATTCATCTTTTTAACAAGGTACTTCTATCATTTAAAAGCCTCACTGCACTGTAGCCATCTTCCTGCCTCAGTCCTTATACCCTCTTGGAGTAAGGGGGTTTTAATGTCCATGCAAAAGTCATTTGAACCAGAAATCAAGAGGCCTGTATCATGGTCCCAGCTTTGTCATTAGCAGCATTTCCTCTCAGTGGGCCCACATCCTGACCTATAAAACAAGAGGCTGGGGAGGGGGAATAGAGCAGGGAGTGCTGAAGTTCCCCTTTTAGGCCTAAAGCCCCAGGAATCCCTTGAAAAGGTAGGAAAGTAGTGGACTCTGGGATATAAAAAGGGAGAGAGTGGGGAAAGAGGACTATATTTAGAACAACAGCAGGGTATTTGGTGAGGTTGCAGGCCTTTCTGCAGTGCAATCTGCTGTGGTGGACTAGGAGTCTGGACCCTAGCTCCAGTCCTAGAGGAGTCAGTGTTTGTTCCCTGCAGTCATTCCATGGGGCTGCGATCCAGGAATTCAATGACTGCTCGCACTGGGGGCGCCTGGTACAACTGAGCTCTGTGGGAAGTACAGGATGGACTTGAAGGCTGTGCTCTCCATTTCCTGTCTCCAGCTTGTTTATCAGCACTTTCTGAGCATGCAGTTTTTCCACATGTGTCAGTCAGTTCCTGTGTCAGAACTAGAGGGCAGATGCCTTCCTTCTCATGGATTTCATGTTCTAATGGGAGAGAGTTTCCACATCTGCTGAACACAATTGAACCCTTGGTTCCTGCTTCATCAGATATTTATTGAGCATCTACTGTGTGCCATGTGCTATGTATGCAGCCAGGAGGAAAGAATAATTTCCCCAGTTCCTACTCCATGACAGTTACACAGGGAGATTGACAGGTGATGGCTGTGGCAGAGTAAATGTTAGGGAGCACCTTGGGGAAGGAGGCGGGGGCATGGATGATCCACACCTAAAGTTGAAGGAAGGCTTCCCAGAAGAGTTCATTCCTACACGGAGATCTGAGGGGTGAGTAGAAGGTAGCCAGGCCGAGAGGCAGTGGCCAGTGCTCTGGGCAGAGCAGCTTGAGAAGATATATCCTGGCTTTACCCTTCCAGCCAGAGCATACAGTCTAGGTGGAAGAGAGTAGCCCTAATAGAGGACATTCACAGGTAATCGCATAAGAGAGGGACACACAGAGCACTGGGAGTGTACAGAGGAGAGAAAGAAGGAGAGAGGGAGAGAGTCCTGGCTAATGGAGCAGAACATCTGGGCTGAGTCTGGGCCAGATGGAAAATGCTGAGGGAGTGGGGGCAGGCCAGTCTTTAGGGGCCATGGTAGGCAAATCTCAGAGTGCAGAGAGACCCCACACACTGTGGGAGATAAAGCCAGAAAGGTAGGTTAAAGCCAGAGGTTGGTTGAACACTCGGTTTATGTTTGGTCTTGATTTGGGCAAGGAAGTGGGGAACCAGTAAAGGCTTCTAAGCAAAGGAGTAGATGTTTAGGACTGAAATGTGTTGCCCGAGTCTGGGGAAGGAGGGGGTTATTATTTGGCACATGATAGTCATGCAGTTTATTTGACAGTAAATCACAGTTCAGTGGGAAGAAATTATCCTTTCTCCAATTCCCTGACCCTAAGTGAAAAAAGCTATTTCACAGTCCTCAGTTTATCAGTGAGAAATCCAGTATGTTCCATCTGTTCACAGCTATTTCCCCTGTTCCTAAAACAATGTATGGCACATAGTAGCATACAGTAGATATTGCTGAATAATGATTTTGTAGGGAATTCCGTGTCACTGTCGGTCTTTTAGAATGACATTGTACACATTAGAGAATTATTTTTCATGCTCCTTCTCAAAGTTGATATGAATGATTTTCACTTAATTTCCTTTTAAGTTTCTTTATGTTCGAGTTACTTTGGAAATACTAAAAACACTTTATATTAACATGAATTATAGAAGAAGTACAAAGTTCCCAGTGTTGATAATGAAAGTCTGTGTGTTTCTGCTGCACCCAGATCTTCCAGATGGTTTGTCACACTCTGGGGTAGTTAGAACAAATGTGAATGGAGCCAGTTTTGTATTTGGTCATCACATATCACATCACATGTTTTCTTCTGAGTAGATGCCAATGACACTTTACATATTGAGTCAGTAAACAAATAGCTAGTAAATTGTTTTCTTCCCTGATCTCTTAACTCAAAATGTACTATAAAATATATCCAAATGATATTGTTTGCCAAGCTCTTGACATGTGAATTCTAAACAAGGTCATTTTGACATATGGAGAGCATTTCTACTGAATCCCTCATGCCTCACCAGTCTGCTTGGAATGTAATTAATGCTAGGCAGAACTGAAATTCCACAGTGCATTTGGAGGATTGCTGTTTGCTTTCAGGGATCTGGAATGGCTTCATTTACTCACTGCAATGAGGGGAAATGGCAAATTACAGATGTTGCTTTTTACAGGAAATGTAAAAGCACAGCTATTTTCATAATTTCTTAATGCAAAGAACTTTAAAGAACTTCCTTTCTCATTGTCTTCTTAAAAGGGGGAAACATTTTCATGATAAATGAACAGAAAAAGAGGATGGATTTTTTTTTCCCAGTAAACAGGCACTCGGAGACTTTCCACAATAGAACCATGTTGTTGCTGTACACTGGCTTTTATTTCTAGTATATATTTAAGGCTAATCACTTTTTTGTTGATGAAAGCTATAATTCCAGATGGGATAAATAGTACTTGGAGCAACATTAAATACTGTTTCCAGCTGACTTTAGAACATGTTTTGAGTTTTGGGCTTGGGTTGTGGTCTGGTGCATATATTGAATTCTTGGCTTAGACCAGCTAGATTACATATTTTAGATTTTCCAGTTTTGAAAAATATACATTTTCACATTATTAATAATTTTTAAAATAAACTTTACATTTTAGAATAATTTTAGATTTACATAGAATTGCAGTGGGCTGCGTGCAGTGGTTCGTGGTTGTATTCCCAGCACTTTGGGAGGTCGAGATGGGCGGATCTCTTGAGCCAAGAGTTTGAGACCAGCCTGGGTGGAGATGGCAAATACCTTGTCACTAAAAAAAACAAAAACAAACAAAAAAAAAAACCACACGCACCAGAAATTAGCCAGGCGTCGGGCAGGTGCAGTGGCTCATGCCTGTAGTCTCAGCACTTTGGGAGGCCGAGGTGGGCGGATCACCTGAGGTCAGGAGCTCGAGACCAGCCTGAACAACATGGAGAAACCCCGTTTCTACTAAAAATACAAAATTAGCTGGGCATGGTGGCGCATGCCTGTAATCCTAACTACTCAGGAGGCTGAGGCAGGAGAATTGCTTGAACCCAGGAGGTGGAGGTTGCGGTGAGCCGAGATCGCACCATTGCACTCCAACCTGGGTAACAAGAGTGAAACTCCGTCTCAAAAAAAAAAAAAAAAAAAAAAAAACAATTTAGCCAGGCGTGATGGCCCATGCTTGTAGTCCCAGCTATTCGGGAGGCTGAGGTGGGAGGATCACTTGAGCCCAGGAGGTTGAGTTTGCAGTGAGCCATGATTGTGCCACTGAGTTCCAGCCTGGGCAACAGAGTGAGACCCTATCTCAAAAAACAAAAAACAAAACTAAACAAAAGAAGTTGCAATGATAGTACAGAAAATTGCCATATACTTCTCACCCAGTTTCTCCTAATGTTAATATTTTATATAACCATGGCACATTTATCAAAACTAGAAGTGAATATTAGTAATGTTACTATTAACTATGGGCTTTATTCAGATTTTACCAGTTTTTCTGCTAGTGTACTTTTTCTATTCCAGGGTCCAATCTAAAATCCCACATTGCATTTAGTTTGTGTGTATTTTCTTTCTTTATTATTATTTTTTTTTTGGTAATTAAGTTTTTTAAAAAGGTCATAGACTATAGGGATTTCATTTACAAGAATAATATCTTCAGCATATGGCCCTTTCCTGATATGTCTGACTAATGGGTTTCTAAAATGTCTTTGCAGAGATTGCCTTGCAACAGGTTTCCATGTTCTTCCGATCAGAACCAAAGTGGGAGGTGGTGGAACCTTTGAAAGACATAGGTGAGACATTGGCACGCTCATTCTGTTAAAAAGACAGATCACAGAACTGGATCCTTAGTCATGCTTTCTGATACGTATCCCAGGAACATGCTTAAATGCAGGTGACTTCTTTTTCTTTTTGCATATCAACTGCTTGAGGATACAGCTGGTAACTTTTAATACTTAATGAACCTTGGTTAAAGCCCCATCAAAGCATTTGGATGGTAATAACTTTCAGAAACACCATTCCTTCTTCATCTATCTTTTTCACTACATCTAAACTGAAGTGCTACTTTCCTGCCTTTTCCGTGAATAATTTCTTCATTTACTGTTTCTTTTTAAGTATAGCCTTTACTATGCCAACGTTATCAAATGGTTCTTTTACTTGTGCCTATGTAGCTGCGAATAATATTGCCAAACTTAATTTTTCTTGATTACCTAGTCAGTGAAACATATCAGTTGTTGCAAAAATTGTGCAGCTCTAAGCACATTTTTGCTTTTATGGCAGGTTGGAGAATAAGGAAGAAATATTTCTTGATGAAGATTAAAAATCAGCCAAAGGAACGGCTAGTGTTAAGCTGGGTAAGCTAGCTTTTTGCTTTGGTCTCCTTCAGTGACTTTAGATGGGTTAATGAAAGCAGATTTGACAAGAGAATTACAAAATTGTACTGTGCTCTTAAGTGATGATGTAAAGGCTTCCTTGGTCCATGTCAAAGAAAAGTCATTTTGAGTCATTTTCCTGTGTATTTGGTTATATAAATGCAATTATATTTGGTCAACTAGTAAACATTTGAAAAGAAACAAGAACAGCTTAAAATAACTCTCTGGAATCTCTTTAGGGTTTATAGTTTTGGAGTTTACTTCCCAAAAAAAAAAATACTTGGGCATTACTTTATCTCTTTGACTTTGAGAGTTTTAGTGATAGATTTGGTTAGTGGAATTAGATAAGATTACAGTTAAGTCTGGTATTTTTACACACTGCTTCTCCAGAAAGGTCTTGAGGCAGCCAGACTTAGTGTTGTTTTCGTCTTTGGTTTCCAGTCATATTTTGGATAATAAAATTAAAGGGAAAGACAAGGAATTTTTCTTTTGGTGACCAAAACAGTACCCTGATATTCCCTTCCATGTTTTCAGGCTGACCTTGGCCCAGACAAGTATTTGTCAGATAAAGATTTTCAGTGTCTAATCAAACTTCTGCCTTCTTGTTTGGTGAGTATACGTCTTTCTTTTATTCTCAGTGCTGATGATAGAGTCACAGTATTTTTTCTGGGTGAACATGGACAGAAAAGCTGGAAAACAGAATGGGGAGATACAGTGGATTTCAGGTCAGACTGAAATTGTGTAGGGCTAATCTCTTAGATCATAGGCTATTTGAAATGGCATTCATGACATCTGCACAACCCATGAAACATAGTAATTTAAATACAGACTTTGAATTTTAAACAAAGATGAGAGTAGGGAAGCAGCTACTTCTCCCAGCCTGTTGTTCTTGGTGAAGGTATTTATCTCAGTGGAACTGAAAGATACTCTTTCCAGCCTGAGAAAACAGAACTAATGAGGAATTTAGATAAGCTGGGTGAAGAAAAGGCAAAATAGCCATTTTTCTGTCTGAGTTACTACCTTCACAGGCTAACCAGATGACCTTTAGGAATACATGATATTATTTACACGACTACACAGCTCTAATCCAGGGCCTTCAGTGCAAAGAACCACGTTGATATATTTCAAAATATGTGCAGAATGTCTTCAGCAAAGACTAATCTGGCCAGGAAATTGAGTTAACATTGACATTCTTTATCTTGTCTGCATGAAGATGTAGTTCCCTGGAATGAATCACTAGCGAACTGAACACAATTACACTGACTTGTGCACTTGGTTTGGCAAGTTTATTTTTGGCCATATAGTGTCTTGTCAAGCTTGCAAACCAAGCTATTAATGAGGTGCAATGTGAGGCCAAAAAGACGCTTTAGTCTTAGAGCTTGATTGGTTGTGTGACATAGGCTGTCAGGACCTAGTTCTAAATTTCTTTTTTTTTTTTTTCAAGGTGGAGTCTCTCTTTGTCACCCAGGCTGGAATGCAGTGGTGCGATCTCGGCTCACTGCAACCTCCACCTCCTGGGTTCAGGCGATTCTCCTGCCTCAGCCTCCCAAGTAGCTGGGATTACAGGTGCATGCCACCACACCCAGCTAATTTTTGTATTTTTAGTAGAGATGGGGTTTCACCATGTTGGCCGGGCAGATCTTGAACTCCTGACCTCATGATCCGCCTGCCTCGACTTCCCAAAGTGCTGGGATGACAGGTGTGAGCCACCGCACCCGGCCCTAAATTTCTTTTAATAGAAGTGCTTCTTTAAAAAAAGAAGCACATAAAAATGGTGCATATTAATTGTAGCAAAGTCAGAAGGCAGATAAGCAAAAATAAGAAAATAAGCCGAGTGTGGTGGCTCATGCCTGTAATCCCAGCACTTTGGGAGGCTGAGGCGGATGGATCACAAGGTCAGGAGATCGAAACCATCCTGGCTAACATGGTGAAACCCTGTCTCTACTAAAAATAGAAAAAATTAGCTGGACGTGGTGGTGGGCACCTGTGGTCCCAGCTACTAGGAAGGCTGAGGCAGGAGAATGGCGTGAACCCGGGAGGCGGAGCTTGCAGTGAGCCGAGATCGTGCCACTGCACTCCAGCCTGGGCAACAGAGCAGACTCCGTCTCAAAAAAAAAGAAAGAAAAGAAAAGAAAACTCACCAGTAATCCCAGTCAAACAGAAGTATGAACCAAAATATTCAGTTGTTACTTTTTAAGAATTTTTATGATAAAAAAGTAAATTATATATGTAGTGCTTTAAAACCTGATTTTTTTTTCATTAATGGTGTACCATGAGCATCTTTAGTTGTTAGTAAATATAGCATCATTATTATGGGCTGTATAGAATTATCATTGGCTATACCTTAGTTTACTCAATCTTCTATTGACATTTAGATCACCTCCAGCTTTTTGCTCTTATTTTTTAAAAAAGAAAAAAGCCATAATGAACAATTTTTGCTAAACATTATACCCATACTTAATTTCTTAAGGTAAATACCTATAATTAATAACCAATGTGTAAGGAGATATTGTGACACTACATATTCTGTTCTTTATGAAGCCCACTAGCATTTTAACATTTAATGTGATTTTCTAACTCTATTATTCCTTCCGTATTTACTTATTAGTTGGCATTCTACTCTAAAGAGCTTCTCTTCTCCCTTTTAAAAAAATTTATATTAGTATGTACTCAAGGATTTTTATTCTACCCATTGTGTTTCTTTTTGGGGTGATGAAAATGTTCTATAATTAGATTGTATGATGGTTGTATAACTGAATATACTGAAAATCATTGACTTGTACAGTTTAAATGTGTGAATAGTAATGGCATGTGAATTATATCTCAACAAAGCTGTTAAAAAGTCAGCAGCAACCATTTTGATGTGATGATCAGGAGAACTTCATGATCAATTACTCTGTTTTCCTGGGTACACCTTTCCACCCCCCAACCTGCTGCATGCCAGCCTCCAAAATCCCTGCATAGCTCAGCTCCCATGGGTTTAAATTTTCATGATACTCCTTTGAGCTAGTGAACATTGTAATACCTGTCTGGACCCAGTTTGTTTCACGTAACCAGAATTCCAGGGAAAAACAGCACTTTCCTTTCACTCATTAAATAATTTGTCTTTTCTCCACCCCAGTTGCTTAATGTCAGTTTCTCCATCTGAGGAGGACACTGTGAATCTTTATGTTGCAGAATTCTATAGAAGGGTAGGAAGATTCATGCCAGCTACTGTGGAAAGGGCTGAGATTCCAGAAGATGCTACTTTTGCCTGTTTTCTGGCTAGTATGCTTCTTGGCTTGGCACCCAAACAGCAGTGTGGAATGTTAGGCAAAGCTGTGAGCAAAGACACATTGATCCTGGTCTCCATTTGGCTGTTCTGAGATTTGGCTGTATTCTTTACTGACTTACAGAGACAGGATATTAACACTATTATCCTCAAAACTCAGACATTTTATCTCTTCCACCACACTTTTGCCTGAGCTATGAGAGTGCACACACCAAAGAGGACCCCTTCACTTGTGGAGTTTACCACATCCATTATCTGTCTCCTGTTTTCCTTTGTTCCTACAGTTTATGTCCCTTCCTCCATCTGAAGAAGGAGGAACTAGCTGGTAACTGAATAACTTGAAAATGCCATGTGTTCAGGGAATATCACTACATTCGTATGCAATTAAACCACCACAGTGCTACTTGACTCTGCATAACCAGATCCTGTATTTAAAAGGACCTAGATCCTGACGCAAATCAATGTGAATTTCTTTTTTGTTTTGACAGCACCCTTACATCTATCGGGTTACCTTTGCCACAGCTAATGAATCCTCAGCGTTGCTAATTAGGATGTTTAACGAAAAGGGAACATTGAAGGATCTGATCTACAAGGTACCTGTGCAAGTTCATGGTCATAAGGAATTCTCAAGTTCCTTTAGAACCTGTTATTGATACTTAGTCTCTAAGACTCCAGAGGCTAGGCCCTGAGGATTTGATGTTAGTTTTGATTTTATTTGGAATTTATTTTTATTCATGCAATAAAAACTCTACTTAGTTTGGTTAAAGAGCATTCCTTTTCCCATGTGAGGAAAGGTTGAACATTTAATAATTATGTCCATTACATGGCAAGCTGTTCTCTTAGGTCAGTTTTTAAGTTTGTGTTTTGCGCTTAACAAAGCAGTTCTGAAGAATTCGAACAATATGCAAGACTTTGGGGTCTGCTAAGGGCAAGACCAGGCACATCTTCACTGGGCTAGAGAAGGGATGGAACCTGGGTCAGCCTCTTTCTATCAACAATGCAGACTGTCGTATTTTAAAAACTCACATCTTGCAGCTGGCCATCTCTGGCGCCCCTAGCCTCTGTAGAATCCTGCCTGGTCAGGGAGTCTGTGTGCAGATATTGGCCCCTCTGCTGCTTTCTTACGTGTTCTTTGTTCTTTTCCAAAGGCAAAACCAAAAGACCCATTTCTAAAGAAGTACTGCAACCCTAAGAAGATTCAGGGCCTGGAACTCCAGCAAATAAAAACATATGGACGGCAAATATTAGAGGTAAGAGGTACTTTTGTTTAAGTTGCATTCAGATTTCATCCAAAATTGCATTATTCACCTGGAAAAGTTCTTAAGTAATATCCAAAATTACTTAAGTTGTCTGATTACTTATAAACTGATTGCATTGTCATATTTTGCCTCAAAAAGTAAATATTTGAGACTAAGGCAACAGTCACTTATGTCTACAAAATTCTTAAAGCTTTAGCTATTGCAATTTAGTGTCTGAGTTTTAAGAACTTTACTGTGTGGATACCAACTTTTATATTATCTTTGGTTGCTCTTTATCCCCATGCCAAGGTTTTTGATTTTGTTATGTCATATGCATAGCCATATGGCTCCCTTACAGAAGTATAACCAACAGTGAGAAGGCTTTCCGACATCACCCTCTAGATCAGGATTCTCCAAGCTTCTGGGATTATGCAACCTTATCAGTAATAACCAATTTAATATCCCAATGTTATGTCTATTTAACTATAAATTATATGCGTGTACTATGCACATACATATATGTGTATGTGTGTATATATATTATATTTGTTTGGATGGAGACAGCATACTAGTAATATATTTTGTATATTATAAGTTAAAAAAATAACATTTTTAAAAAACAACAACTATGAAGAGAAGTTGTAATATTTTCTTCTAGTCCTTAGTGAATTGCTCTGGGCACCCCACTTGCCTATCACTGCTCTAGTTCACCAGGACATTGCAGGGCTATATCTAAGCATCTCTCTTACTGGGTAAGCCACTGATTATTTATATGGCAGCGGAAATATTTACTGCTTTTTCTGGGATCCTGTTGTGTGTTCCTATTAATAAACAGCTAAATATATTTGGAGGAGAGACTGAACTAGAGATGTTTTCTAGTTCAACCCCTTTTTCTGAATTACTGGCAGAAGCACTGATAAGATAGCTTCACTCATCTATGCAGGAGGATCAAGACTTTGCCCTGAAGAGAGCTGGCCTATTGGAATCAGAAAGTGCTTAAAGCAGAGCCTTTTGGCATCAGAGTTATTAATTCCAAGCATATGCAGGCTGCTTCTCTATTCTTTTGAGGAAAGAAAGAACTGATGTTGCATCTCACAGCCTCAAAACTGGAAAGCATTCAGCTTCACTTCCTTTTCCAAACAAATGGGTAGAGGTGGCATTTTTCTTCAGGAATCTTCTCAGTGACCTGTTTGGTTTTGTTTCAAAATATATTGACTAAAAAACAAAGTTTAACTTGTCTTATATCTGAATGAGTTTGGGGAAAATGTAACTTTCCCATATGTTTTGATAGGTACTGAAGTTTCTTCATGACAAGGGATTCCCTTATGGGCATCTTCACGCCTCCAATGTGATGCTCGATGGGGACACTTGCCGGCTGCTGGACCTTGAGAATTCCTTATTGGGCCTGCCTTCCTTCTACCGATCTTATTTTTCACAATTCAGGAAAATCAATGTAAGTTGCTAAAGTAATGAAATAGCAGGTTCATTTTTAGGTGTCAGTTATCCCCATGATCTGCCCATGTAGGAAATATGCACCAAGTAGTGAAAGGTATAGTTGGGACAGGCCTTGCCCGTCAGCCCTTGCAGCGTTGCTGTATCTCTGGGAGGCTGAGTTGAAATGGCGGGTGGGGTAAGGAGGGAGGTGGACTCACTGATTGGAAAACTGTGGAGGGTCGGACCAAGACCTTTGGGATACCTCATGAGGTTTTACAGAAGGCTTTGGAGTTGCATTTACGTTACCAATTAGGAACGGGGCTATCCCTGGGCTTTGTTTCTCAGAGAAGCCTTGGGGCAGGAGCGCGAGGGTCCACAAAGCCAAAGTGAAGGGTGAACACGCTGCTACTCTTTCTTCCACAGACATTGGAAAGTGTGGATGTCCACTGCTTTGGCCACTTACTGTATGAAATGACTTATGGACGACCGCCAGACTCGGTGCCTGTGGACTCCTTCCCTCCTGCCCCGTCCATGGCTGTGGGTCAGTATGGGGTTGGGAAGGGTCTTCTGGGCCCTAGTAGTGTGCAGAGCCACTCATCCCCTTTCCAGAGTCCAGGAAAGACCCAGAGGAAGTTGCTGTCCTCCACAGCCAGAAATTCTTACAAAATTTAAAAGTAGACCAAATTTGAGTAGTTTACTTAAATACACTTCTGTGAAAATTCAGGTGGCTTGTCCATTTGCCAGGCTATCTGAAATTTCTGGGAACTTTTTGCAAAATGCTTTAGAGCTTTGGAAGCAGGAGGATGTAAAGAGAAGTATGGCCTGCATGAGTGTGATGCAGAAGCTAGAGCCAGGCAACTTGAAGCCAGTCTTGAGGACCCAGGCAGGTGTCAGACGTCAGATCAAGACTGAAGTGAGACTTGTAAGAAACAAGAGAGGCCAGGCATGGTGGCTCACACCTGTAATCCCAGCACTTTGGAAGGCCGAGGTGGGTGGATCACATGAGGTCAGGAGTTTGAGACCAGCCTGGCCAACATAATGAAACCCCATCTGTACTAAAATTACAAAAATTAGCTGGGCGTGGAGGTGCATGCCTGTAATCCCAGCTTTTTGGGAGGCTGAGGCACGAGAATTGCTTGAACCCGCCTCTTGGGAGGTGGAGGTTGCAGTGAGCCGAGATTGCGCCACTGCACTCCAGCCTGGGCGACACAGTAAGACTCTGCCTCAAACGAAAACAAAACAAAACAAGAATGCCATAGGCCAGAAGCCTAGTAGATAAGAGCCTAGCAGGCCCAGACCTAGGGCAGGCAGGCAGGAATGCAGACACCAAGACAAATTGGATCCAGGAGCTCTTACAGCATTACCTGCGGGGGCTGAGGGGAGCTGGAGGACAAGTGAGAGCACCTTTAGGAAGGAGGGATGCAGGAACTGGTACAGACTCATCCAGGACCCTTTCATCCCCTCCACAGCCAGGCTGGCACCCACAGCTGGAGCAGAGAGAGGGGAGGGCAGGGTGGCTCTTGGACCCCTGTGCCTTGGAGATACTCAAGTCCACCCTTCACCAAGCGTTATTGTGTCAAAAGAGGCAATTCAAGAGAACAGGCCCTGGGACTATATTGTGTTGAATTTGAACCGCTGAAACTGAACAGTGACCTGTGGGTAGAAAAATCTGGCTGCTCCTGTTAATAGCATCCAAGGTGTTGGATGATGAGATATCAACAATTGGCATTTTGTGTGCTGGTTTTGATGAAAAGCAGGCAAGCAGCAAAATGTCTTTCAAGTTCAGAATTTTACTTCTGTGTAGTGTTTACATCTCTTTCAAGAGAACAAACACTTTTATGAATGATATCTTGAATCCTTCCTCCAGTTATCTTTGAAATATATTTAGCTTTCTGTCAGCATGTAGTTTCTAAACCATTTCTTTTGAGTCATCGGTAACGCCAGTGTTGCCAGCATTCCCCCACCCCACGTATGCCATCTGTCTGTGTGTGAAGATTTTTGACACTGTCCTGATCAGCCCGCAGACAGTTATTGCAAAGTGGTGTTAAACTTTTCATCAGCAAGTGGATTTGCCAGCGTGTTCTGTGGAACTAAAATGTGTATCTGTTCATTTCAAGTGGCCGTGTTGGAGTCTACGCTGTCTTGTGAAGCCTGTAAAAATGGCATGCCTACCATCTCCCGGCTCTTACAGATGCCGTAAGTCAATCATATGCGTTGGTTGTAATCTTGATAACTATGTTGAACACCAGACCACTGTGTCCAAGCACCTGGTACTGTAGTAAAGATTCTTGCGGTCCCTGCAGAGTTGGCGTGGCCTGCTTGCTGATGGGCACTTGCAGCATGATATCCTCACCCTTTGTTTGTGACCTCTGTGCTCTCCTGGTCTGATGGCTATCCTTTAACATCTGTGTCATTTTCACGTGTATCTCCTCACTCAGCGTTAGCATTGTGTGTACGTACATTAGCATTGGGTGTGCGTATGTGTCGCAGCCCCCAGCTTAGGAAATACTGAAGGAGGGCCCTCTCAAGTGGCTCCTTTCTGACCCTGCATCAGCAAACCAGTTGGCCCCCAGCTGTGCATAGTTCACAAGTCACAGGGCCTTGAAGGGTCTGCCCTCCAGGAAGAGGGCAACGTGTTTCTGAGCACCCATGCTTCTGCTTGTGAATTTACTCACTGGGTACTATTTATTAAACTCTAGCATGTACCAGGCACTGTTCTAGGGTCTTGGAGCTCAGAAGACATTTTCTCTGAAACTGGATTATGAGTAGATAACCAGGGCAGCTGAAATAGTGCTGTGGGGCCTTCCCTTCAGGTGCATTTTCTGTTCTTTCATGGAAAGGCAGCAGAGTGGTTAAGAAGGGTGTGCCTGGGGTGGGACAGACCTGGAGGTGGATTCCAGCTTCACCACTTCTACCTGGGTGACCTTAGACAAATTTCCTAACCTCTGGAAGTAGAGTTTTGTGAACTGTGAAATGGGAATGATAATAAGTTCCCACCTCAGAAGGTAGTTGGGAGGATTTAATGAGGTGATTCCTAGTAGGGACCCGGCACTTAATATGTGCTCATTAAGTGTTAGTTATGCTTACTACTGAATCAGCTGATCTTTTTTGAATATCACACACCATGCAGTGTATCTGGTGCTTTGTCTGCACCAGCGTATTATATAACAGATATACTCTGAAAACAATAATATGGGGAAACGAGGCAGGGGACAGCTTGAAGGGCATGTAGCCAGAGTTCAGAGAAGGTAGAGATAACTTCCGGTTCCTGGTTCTTTCTTTCCACAAGTGTTTAGAGAGGGCCTTCTGGAGGCCAGCTGCTGTCCTAGGCACTGTAATGAAAAGAGGAAACCAAGCCCCTGCCCCGTGGATGTGACATTCTACTGTTCCACAGACACTGAAGCGTCTGTCGCCAAACCAGCAACCATTAATAATAATGTAATAATGTGGGCCGGGCAGTGGCTCATGCCTATAATCCCAGCACTTTGGGAGGCTGAGGCGGGTGGATCACTTGAGGTCAGGAGTTCAAGACCATCCTGGCCAACGTGTGGTGAAACCCTGTCTCTACTAAGAAAATATAAAAAATTAGCTGGGCATGGTGGCACACTCCTGTAATCCCAGCTACTCAGGAGGCTGAGGCAGAAGAATCACTTGAACTGGGGAGGCAGAGGTTGCAGTGAGCCAAGATCTCAGCACTGCACTCCAGCCTGGGTGACAGAGCAAGACTCCGTCTCAAAACAAAACAAACAATGTGAATATGGAAAAACAGACCCAGTTTGGAAAACAACTTTCACACAAACTTTTCTAGCAAAATGCACTTGTACTTAGGAAATAGCCTATATACAGGTTGATTTACTTGAGTTTGCATTTACACTCCCCATTCCAAAGCTCTTACATCTTTCTCTCAGTCTTCCAGTCCTTAAGTGAATCCAAATATTTTTTTCTTCACCTAAGTCTTTCTACGATGTGGGCTTCAGCTATGAGAAGAGCTCCTGGACAGGCGTAAACCATGTTCAATTAAAATGTGTCCTCTGGAAGTAAAGAGATGTGTGGCTGAGGGACAGGCGGGGCCCTGAAGAGCCCTGTGGGGAAAGCTAATCCTGTCATTTCTACTTGTGATGAAGTTCCCATCTTTAAAAAAGAGTAATATAGCTGGGCGCGGTGGCTCACACCTATAATCCCAGCAGTTTGGGAGGCTGAGGCAGGTGGATCACTTGAGCTCAGGAGTTCAAGACCAGCCTGGCCAACATGGCGAAACCCCATCTCTACAAAAAATACAACAACAACAAAATTAGCTAGGCGTGGTGGTGTGCACCAAGTAATAATCCCAGCTACTTGGAAGGCTGAGGTGGTAGAATCGCTTGAGCCTAGGAATTTGAGGTTGCAGTGAGCTGTGAACTCACCACTGCACTCCAGCCTAGATGACAGAGTAAGACCCTGTCTCAAAAATAAAACAAAGTGAGGGGCAGGCGTGGTGGCTCATGCCTGTAATCCCAGCACTTTAGGAGGCCAAGGCAGGTGGATCACAAGGTCAGGAGATCCAGACCATCCTAGCTAACACGGTGAAACCCTGTCTCTACTAAAAATGCAAAAAAATTAGCCGAGCGTGGTGGCGGGCGTCTGTAGTCCCAGCTACCCAGGAGGCGGAGTTTGCACTGGAGCGCGCCACTGCACTCCAGCCTGGGCGACAGAGTGAGACTCCATCTCAAAAAAATAAAATAAAATAAAAAATAAAACAAACTGGGGGCGCAGGATATTCAGCCAGGCATACTGGCACATGCCTGTAGTTCCAGCTACTCAGGAGGCCAAGATGGGAGGATTGATTGAGCCCAGGACTTCCAGGGCAGCCTGGACAACATAACAAGACTCCATCTCTTTAAAAAATAGGGGAGGGGCAGGAGGCATATTCAAAGAAAGACTCACTTATAGCTGTTTGGGTGCTACCCAAGCAACCATTTCTATTCTTTGACCTGTTTTACCCAGCAGTTCAGAGTTGTTCATGCTATTGCTTTCCCTCTTTCCCTCTCCTCCTCCTCTCTTCTCCTCTTTTCTTTCCCTCCCCCTCGCACTCCCCCTCCCCCTCTCTCTCCCCCCTTCTTCTTTTTGAGAGTCTTGCTATGTTATGCAGGCTGATCTTAAACTCCTGAGCTCAAAGGGTCCTCCCACCTCTAGCTGTGGAGTAGCTGGGACTGCAGGCGAATGCCACTGTGCCCAGGTCACCCAGTTCATGCTATTGTTTTTTTCTTTTCTTTTCTTTTTTTTTTTTTAGATAGAGTCTTGCTCTGTCACCCAGGCTGGAGTGCAGTGGTGTGATCTTGGCTCACTGCAAGCTCCGCCTCCCGGGTTCAAGTGATCCTCTTGCCTCAGCCTCCCGAGTAGCTGGAACTACAGGTGCGTGCCACCATGCCCGGCTAGTTTTTGTATTTTTAGTAGAAACAGGGTTTTCACCATGTTGGCCAGGCTGGTCTTGAACTCCTGACCTCAGGTGATCCACCTGCCTCAGCCTCCCAAAGTGCTGAGATTACAGGTGTGAGCCACTGCACCCGGCCCATGCTATTGTTTTTAATAATATACTTTTTTTTTTTTTTTTTGGTCACATGGGTAATTTTAAAATCATTTTTTATTATTTTTATTTTTAACTTTTAGGTGTGGGGGTACATGCGAAAGTTTGCTACATAGGTAAACATGTCATGGGGGTTTGTTGTACATATTTCATCACCCAGCTATTAAGCCCAGTACGCAATATTTAGTATTTCTGCTGCTCTCCCCACCTCTCCCCCTAAATAGACCCGGTGTCTGTTGTTTACTTTTTTGCAATAACATACCCTTTTTTTTTTTTTTAAGATGGAGTCTTGCTCTGTTGCCCAGGCAGGAGTGCAGTGGTGCAATGTCGGTTCACTGCAGCCTCTGCCTCCTGGGTTCCAGGGAATCTCCTGCCTTAGCCTCCCAAGTAGCTGGGACAATAGGCACGCACCACCACACCCGGCTAATTTTTGTATTTTTAGTAGAGATGGGGTTTCACCATGCTGCCCACTCTGGTCTCGAAACCCTGACCTCAAGTGATCCGCCTGCCTCAGCCTCACAAAGTGCTGGGATTACAAGACATGAGCCACCGCACCCAGCCAGTAACATATTTTTGAAGAGAGAATTGATTTACTCCAAAAGCTACTACTTTTAAAAATGAAGTATGAGAAATACTTAGAAGAAAATTACTTTCCTGTTAGATTCCAATCAGGACAATTCCTTTCTACTTACTTGAACATTTTTATGTTACTGAACTCTAGAATAAATTTTATCCTCTTCTGAGGCAAGAAAAATAGCAGAAAACTATTCTATTTAGAAATATCTACCGCATATATTATTTGCGATATTTTTGCAAATTAGCATTCGCAAAAGTAATTTCTTAAAAATGCAATATTGCCCATAGCAGGGAAACCCCCTCTAGTACACAGCTGGCCCAGATACCCTAGTAACACAGTGGGAAGGGGGTCACACTGGGCCACCTGCAAATCCCTTTGCATTTGTTAATGAACATGGAATGGTGGATTGGGCCAGGGGCTGGAGGATGTGGTGCAGGGAAGGGAGACCTCATGGGCTAAAGGTGTCTTAATCTGCTTTCATCCTAGTCTGAGAGTGCACGTGGTTCAAGAAAGATTTTTGTTTGTTTCTTTTCTTTACAGATTATTCAGCGATGTTTTACTAACCACTTCTGAAAAACCACAGTTTAAGGTAAAGACAATTATATCGTTTTTTGGTTTGTGACATAACTAAGTTGACTTTGAAAGTTAGCTGTATTTTTAGCCAAAAAAAGAAAAGATATATAATAGGGAAAATTGGGAAATAACCTAAATGTCCTACAATTAGGGGCTAGTTTAATAATTTATGGTACATCTATTTGATAATATAATTAAAAGTGAAATTGATAAAGACATTGTAGTAATATGGAAAATGATTTAGATTTGTGCTTAGGTATAAAAAAATAAGGTAATGTGTAAAACAACATATCTGTCTAGAAACAAGCCTGGAAGGAGGTCTTCTCCTGGGAAGCAGTGGTGTTATGTGTCATGGAAAGAGAATGGGCTTCGGAACCCAAAAAACCAGAATGATATCTTACTTTGTTCCTACAATATTAGCTGTTATCTACAGCAGGGTTTTTCAACCACGGTATTTGACGTTTTGGGTGAGATGATTCTTTGTTGTGAGGGCTGCCTGTGCACGGTAGGATGTGAAGCAGCATCCCTAACCTCACCACTAGATGCCAACGATACTCCTTGCCCCCTCTCCTGCACTGTGACAACCAAAAGTGTCTCCAGACATTGCTAAATGTCTCCTGGGGGGTAGTGTACAAAATTGCTCCCAGTTGAGAGCTACTGACCTATGGGCAAGCACTTAATCTTTGAGTCTGCATGTACTCATGTGTAAAATTGGTGAGTAATGCATGTCTGTTGTCATTAGACAACTGAGGTCATCTACGGAAACTCCTTGTTCAGGCCATGGCTCTTGGCAGTGCTCACTATGAGTGCGATTTGGGTAGGAGGATAAAAGGTAATTCTCCCTCTCCTTTCTATATTCCAAAAGAACATGTAATACTATTAGGATGAAAATAAATTTAGAAAACAAAAAAAAGAAAGAAAACCAAGGGAGGGTTTAGAAGACTGTGTCAGTGAGAGAGGTGCTTTCCTCTGTTCTGTTTTGCCAGTTAGAGGAATTCTGACAATAATAGCTTCTTTGGATCTGAAGTAGGAGAGAAAAAAACATTTAAATTTAATGTCTTCTTCACTGAAGCATCTTAGCAAATTTCTTCAGCCTTGTCAATAAATATATTCTCCTCCAACCCTGACAGTCTGGCCTTTAGGATTCAGGAGTTAGTACTAGACCTCGCTCTTCCCCTAAGCCAGAGAGCCTATGCAGCAAAGATAGTATGATTTTAAAATCCAACATTAGTTCTTGTATGTACACTGACTTTCTGGAAAGATATACAGGAGACTGGTAATGTTGGTTTCCTCCATGGAAGTAGGTGGGAGACTTCACTGTGTATGTGCCCTTTTATACCTTTGGGATTTTAAACCATGTGACTGTATTACCTACTTACAGCTTTTTTTTTAATTTGAAATTTTTACAGAATAATAAAGACAAAAAGTTCAACATGATCTGGGGGTCTTATCTTCCAGGACCAGACTCCTCATGATTTAAAAAGCTAATAAATTAAGAAATGGCCCGGGCGTGGTGGCTCACGCTTGTAATCCCAACACTTTGGGAGGCTGAGACAGGTGGATCATTTGAGGTCAGGAGTTCCAGACCAGCCTGGCCAACATGGCAAAACCCCATCTCTACTAAAAATACAGAAATTAGCCAGGCTTAGTGGCAGGTGCCTGTAATCCCAGCTACTCGGGAGGCTGAAGCAGGAGAATTGCTTAGACCTGGGAGGCAGAGGTTGCAGTGAACTGAGAGCACACCACTGCACTCCAGCCTGGGCGACAGAGTGAGACTCTGTCTCAAAAAAAAAAAAAAGGAGAAATGATGGAGGCAGAGGTTGCAGTGAGCTGAGATCATGCCGGTACACTCCAGCCTGGGGAACAGAGTGAGATTCTGTCTCAAAAAAAAAAAAGAAATGATAGGCTCAGAAACAAACTGGGCTGTTGTTTGGAATGTCTCCCAACAGGGAAAGCTGGGAAAGTTTAATCTTACAAAATTCAGAACATAAATCTCTCACAAAGAAGATATCTCTGAAGTTATAATAACTGGTTGAATTTATGTATGTTCCAATAAGCTTTATATAATTTTTTAAATATTTTTTTTTCTTTTGAGACGGAGTCTCGCTCTTGTCACCCAGGCTGGAGTACAATGGCATGATCTCGGCTCACTGCAACCTCCGCCTCCTGGGTTCAAGCAATTCTGCTTCAGCCTCCTGAGCAGCTGGGATTACAAGCATGCGCCACCACGCCTGGCTAATTTTTGTATTTTTAGTAGAGATGGGGTTTCATTATGTTGGTCAGGCTGGTCTCGACCTCAGGTGAACCACTCACCTCGGCCTCCCAAAGTGCTGGGATTACAGGTGTGAGCCACTGCACCCGGCCAATTTTTTTAATTTTTAATTTTAATTTTTTTTTTTTTGAAGTAGGCGATTTTTTGTTGCCAGGCTGGAGTGCAGTGGTGCAATGACGGGGCTCAGTGCAGCCTCAAACTCCTGAGCTCAGGTAATCCTCCTGCCTCAGCCTGTTGAGTAGCTGGGACAACAGGCGCGTACCACCACACCCTGCTAATTTTTTAATTTTTTTGTAGAGACAGAGTCTTACTGTTGCCCAGGCTAGTCTTGAACTCTTGGCCCCAAGTGGCCTCCCAAAGTGCTGGGATTACAGGTGTGAGCCACTGTGCCTGACCTAATTTTTAAATTTTTAATTGTGATAAAAAATACAATATAAAATTTACTCTCTGAACCATTTTTAAGTGTACAGTTCAGTGGTGTTAACTATCTTCACATTATTGTATAACAGGTCTCTAGAGCTTACAACCTGAAACTCTATACCCATAGAATAATGACTCCCCATTTCTCCCTCCCCACAGCTCCGGGCAATCACTATTCTACTTTGTTTCTGTGATCTTGACTACTCTAGAAACCTTATATAAGTATTTGTCCTTTTGTGGATCATTTATTTCACTTAGCATAATGTCCTCAAGGTTCATCTATATTGTAACATGTAACAAGATTTCCTTCTATTTTTAAGGTTGAGTAATATTCCATTGTATGTATATGCCACACTTTTTTTATCCATTCATCTGTTGATGAACATTTAGGCTGCTTTTACCTCTTGTCTGTCATGAATAATGCTGCAGTGAACATGGGTGTGCAAATATCTTTTTGAGATCCTGCTTTTGATTCTTTTGGATGTATACCCAGAAGTGGAATTCCTCATATGGTAGTTCCATTTTGTAGTTTTTTGAGTCACCTCCATACTGTTTTCCATAGCAGCTGTACTACTCTACATTTCCACCAGCAGTGTACAAGGGCTTCAGTTTCTCCACATTCTCACCAACATTTATTTTATTATTTTAATAGTGGCTATCCTAATGGCTGTGAGGTGATGTCTCATTGTGGTTTTGATTTACATTTCTCTAATGACTAAAGACATTGAGTGTCTTTTCATATGTTTTTTGGCCATTTGTATATTTTCTTTAGAGAAATGTCTATGTCTTTTGCCTCTTTTTAATTGGGTTACTTATATTTTGTTGTTGAGTTGTTGGAGTTCCTTTATATATTCTGGATATTAACCCCTTATCAGACCTATGATTTGCAAATATTGTGTCCCATTTCTTGAGTTGTCTTTTACTCCGTTTTTCTTTGTTGCACCAATGTTTTATTTATTTATTTATTTATTTATTTTTCTTTTTTTCTTTTGGAGACAGGGGCTCGTTCTGTTGCTTAGGCTGGAGTGCAGCAGCACAATCTCAGCTCACTGCAACCTCCGCCCTCCCAGGTTCAAGTGATCTTCCTGCCTCAGCCTCCCAAGTAGATTACAGGCGTGCACCACCACACCTGGCTAATTTTTGTATCTTTAGTAGAGACGGGGTTTTGCCATGTTGGCCAGGCTGGTCTTGAACTTCTGACCTCAAGTGATCCACCCACCTCAGCCTCCCAAAGTATTGGGATTACAGGCGTGAGCCACCTTGCCCGGCTGCACCAAAGTTTTAAATTTTGATGAAGTTTAATTTTTTTTCTTTTATTGCCTGTGCTTTTGGTGTCATATCCAAGAAATCACTGCCAAATCCAGTGTCAAGAAGCTTTTCCCCTGTGTCTTTTCTTTTAGGAGTTTTATAGTTTTAGGTCTTATGTTTAGGTTTTGAATCCATTTTGAGTTAATTTTTGTTTATGGTGTAAGGTAAGGGTCCAACTTCACTCTTTTGTATGTGGATATCCAATTTTCCCAGCACTGTTATTGAATACACTGTCCTTTCCCCCATTGTATGTTCTTGGAACCCTTGTCAAAGATTATTTGACCATATCCACAAGCATTTATTTCTGGGCTCTCTCTTCTTCTTTTCCATTGGTCTGTGTATCTGCCTGCATGTCAGTACCACACTGTTTTAATTACTGTAGCTATGTAATAGGTTTCAAAATCAGGAAATGTGAGGCCTTCAACTTTATTTTTCTTTTTCAGATTGTTTTGGCAATTTACAGCCCTTGAGGATTACTTGCATTACTTGAAACATATCATGTTTATTTATGTTTTAGTTTTATGTGTTCATTGCTAAAAAATGCTAGAGAAGTGAGTGTGTTAGGGATACCAAAAGTGGCTGGGGTAGGATTTGAATGGACAGCTTTAACTGATTTTATTCCAAATGACTCTTTTTTTTTTTTTTTGAGATGGAGTCTCGCTCTGTCACCCAGGCTGGAGTGCAGTGGCGTGATCTCGGCTCTCTGCAAGCTCCGCCTCCCGGGTTCACGCCATTCTCCTGCCTCAGCCTCCTGAGTAGCTGGGACTACAGGCGCCCACCACCACGCCCGGCTAATTTTTTGTATTTTTAGTAGAGATGGGATTTCACCGTGTTAGCCAGGATGGTCTCCATCTCCTGACCGCGTGATCCGCCCGCCTTGGCCTCTCAAAGTCCTGGGATTACAGGCATGAGCCACCGCGCCCGGCCGAAATGACTCTTGATAACCACCTGCTCCTTCATTTACTCCAGGACTTGGAAGTATCTCCAGCCACCTTTTTCAATAGATGATGTACTTTTCTCTCCTTTCAGATCCCTACAAAGTTAAAAGAGGCATTGAGAATTGCCAAAGAATGTATAGAGAAGAGACTAATTGAGGAACAGAAACAGGTAAATTGATAACGGTTCCTCTTTGCCTTTTAGTGTCCCCATCCTCTGCCGTGGTTTTTATAGTGATTGACCTTTGACTGTTCCCTCTGCAAATATTTTAAGCATACTTACTCTCAGCCAGCCTTTAGGCTAAATGCTTCCCTGCAGAGCTGAATACTTGACAGTCCTGCCCTCAGTCCTGCCTAGTCTATGTGGGAAACAAACATGTCCAGGAAGGGCAGTCTGGGTTTCTGATCAGAGCATGCCGGCCGGTGATAGTTGCGGGCATGCATGGTCCATGCTGTCTCACCACATTCTTCTTCTGTAAAAGAGGGAAAGGCAGGAAGGCATTAGGGGCATGAGAAAGGACCTCTTCCTTTGGCATACTCCTCTACCTGGCATCCAGACCCGAGCCAGGAAGTAGACAGCCTGAGCAAGGAAAGATTTTCTTTTATCCCAATAAAATGTGGTTTGCCAAAACATGTTGGAGAAGATTTTCATTAGGAAGCTGCCTTATGTGGGATATGCTTACATCTTATGGTCTTTTAAAGATTCACCAGCATCGAAGACTGACAAGAGCTCAGTCCCACCATGGATCTGAGGAGGAAAGAAAAAAAAGAAAGATTTTAGCTCGAAAGGTAAGCCTGCTGTCTCTCTGCAGTCCCTCTATGAGTTCTTGAGTACATGTGAAGAAAGTTCTAGGTTAATGGTGCCCATTTAATGACAGATGCTGTGCTATATCTCCTTGAAAGCTAAGACTATTTCCAGATGACTGGGGTGCAGTTTTTTTGGGGAAAAAAAAAGAGTCATATGATAATCAGCCGAGAAATAGCCCATGTAGTTTCCTAGCTTGCTGGGCAGATTATGGCGTAATGTAATTGGAGGAAACGATTGGCCTGAGATAGTAAAGTCAGCATTTTTTGTTTTATTTCTGCCTTTAGTTTTGGCTGTGACTTCTTCACTGTGTTAAGTTATGGGGCTGAATATTACCTTGTCTGCAGCTAGTTTAATGGTATGCCTGGAAAATATTTTTATTCTAACTCCCAGCTTCACTGTGTTTATTCTTTGCTTTCCTCTCCCTCCCTCCCCCTTTTCTTTTATTCTTAAAGAAGTCAAAACGATCTGCTCTTGAAAATAGTGAAGAGCATTCAGCGAAGTACAGCAACTCCAATAATTCAGGTAACTGGTTATAGATGGTAGTGGGGCCCAGGACACAGAGATCAGGATCAGGAGTCTCTAGTTGGTCAAGAGGTCTTGAGTTCTGCTGGCCAGAAACTGGGCAATGTAGTAATGACTACAGAGAACAAAATAACTCCGTCTCTAATGAAAGATTGCAACAGTATTCGTAGGCTTACAGCACTCAAATGCTAGAAGGGACTTCTGAGGTAATTGGGTAGCTCACCTTCTTCACTGATGGCAGCACTTGATCATCTAAAGACACAGGAGCATTAGTCATGGAAGGAAAACAGACCTGACTTAAAATGTAAGGCCTCCTGTTTTTTAGTAGAGCCTGCATGAACAGAAATGACCTTAAATCCTGCCCACTGCTCTGGACCCCATGTGATGGGAGGATGTGCTCTCCTGTGTGAATTAAGGAAAGGACTCGATGGTGTGTGGGGATGGCAAGAAACCGAGATGGTACAAAGAGCACTGTCCTGAGTTGGCAGTCCTTGCTGCCACTCCCAGCTGCCCTTCACCCAGCTCTGCTGGCTTTGGGCCATAATGTCCCATCTTTGGAAATCAGAGCCAGATTGAATGATCCCTGGGGGCCTTCCAGTTTTTCTAATTTATGAATCTGTGAAGTAGAGCCCACATAGAGAAGGGAAGGTTTCACCCTAGTTACCAAGCAGTTTTGACTTAGCCCTGAAGGGCCACGGGAATGGGAGATTTTGGGGTTGAGGAATACCTGCTTATACTTTTAGGCAGAGGAAGGACAGAGCAGAGAGGGGGAATTTGAAGATGCAAAAGAGACGGTAACTGGCAGGGGCACCATGGCGGGTAGAAAGCCAAGGGGTTAGCATCCAAAGCCCAGCTATCAGTCTCAACTTTGAGGAAACCCATGCATCTCTTCCTAGCGGTAGGATTTGGTGTGGGCAGGTGAAGAGGCAGAGATGTTTAGAAGGGAGGAAATTGGGGATATTCACAGGTCATGCCTCAGTCTTCTCAGTGAAGTCAGGGAGGAGAATGTCTGCCTGGGGCGGGAGGAGAAAAGTGTACAAGATGATTAGGCTGCAGCCCAGAGGGCTGCATGAGCCACAGCTGGAGAATGCAAGTGGCATGACCAGAGCTGGAGATTGGCAGCCCTGAATAGAGAAAGCCCATAAACTCCAGAAGGAGAGTGAGAGTCACATTGACACCACTGCAGAGTCCAGACTGGAGAAGGGCTCAGGAAGAGCTGCAAAGGAGAGGAAGGAGGGGTGGTCCCAATGAGGACCAGCGCAGGCTCCTTGGGGGTGAATGCTGTTGTGGCTGGTGGGTAGTTTCAGTTGGAAGCCTATCTTCGCCATGGTTGATGGGAGGGACATGGACCGGTCATGGTCATTATTATACTGAGACTCATGATTCCAACCAGCAGTCATTCTGTCCAGTAGCTAATTTTTTATAGAGCAGAGAAAGCCTGACAGTGTGCTCTCTACCTTCTAAGACCCTGCCTGCCTGCAAAGCTGTGTCACATGAAGCCAGGTAGGACTCAAGGACTTCAGGATACCCCAGTGCCCTCAGGAGTTTAGGAAAATGAAGTAGCAGTTGATGGATATATACAGATAATTCCCAAACTTTACTGGAGTCAAGCAGTGAAGCTTCTCCCCATTAAAGTTCATTAGCACTACGAACAGTATAAAGACAGCATGCATTGAGTTTTACCTCCTTTTTCAGTAAAACACCCTCATATTTTATAGGGAACTGAGGGAATATTGCAAGTAGAAAAGCATTAAACTGGAGGGAGGTGTGGTTTAATCAGGACATTTCTCATCATGGCCAGTGTCCATGAGACACCAACATGTCCTGTGGGTAGTGAGGGAAGTGATGGCTGGGGCCTTAACCACACCAGCTCTGGTGGCTTCTCAGGCGTGTGATGGCAGCCCTCTGGGTGTGTGTGCCCATCAGCCCAGAAAGCACCTGACTAGGGAGATTTGGTTAACCTCTCCATAGGATCTCTATGTGTGGGAGGGGGGTTTCTGTGTCCACAGAAAGGCTTACGTAGGAACCTCTGCTCATTGGGCTACTTCATGTCAGCTCAGGAAGATATTTTCTAGGGATCGCCAAGTAATGGGGAGATGCTGAGAACTTGGGAATATTTGAAATATAATAAGGTTACTAGATCCAGAAAAAGCATGCAACAGGTGGGATTCACATTGTTTTAATGTGAATAAGGACATTTACTTATTCTAGATAAGAAAAGGGCTGTGAAATCCATAAACTGAATAGACTGACCCTATCTAGTTGATTCTACCTGCTGATAAAATGGAACTTCGGCAGAATGCGTTACTGGGTGGATGCTGTACGGGGCACTCCCTTCCTTTGGAAGCCCCCAGCAGGCTGCTCTGCACCTCTCTGTCTGCTGTACCACTTGTGGCTTCTGTCATTTGTCATTACCCAGGAGTGGAGGTTGCGTCAGGAAGAGATACTGCAGCCAATTGCCTAAGCTGTTGATGGTGCAAAGTTTCAAACCAGGCAGGCCATGGGGAGCAGTGGGAGGCAAGGAGCTTTTAGTGGCTTGGGGAAGGAGGTGGACCCTGCACCAGAGTAAAAGCCTGTCACTGGGTCCGGTCTCTGAGTTTTTTGTCCCTCATCATCTTGTTTCACAAGGCTCACACACTAAGCCAAATGTAGATTCTCAGACAGCAGTGGGTCCCAGCCTGGGCCAAATTCCAAATGTCTTTCGTTGGTCCCCATGAGGGTTTCTCTGTGTTTTATCTTAGCAGGATCTGGGGCCAGCTCACCTCTCACGTCCCCGTCATCGCCAACTCCACCCTCTACATCAGGTTAGTGATGGAGTAAAGTGACATGCCACCTTCCTGTCCGCCAACAGGAGGAGCGGGCTGTGCCTCTTCCTGCCTTGGCCCAACAATTTCAGGGGTTAGATAGCAGCAGCTTTCTCAAGAGAAATCAGTGGGAGTGCAAATTAGCAGTGTCATTTGGGAGAGCTGAGGGGCTAGATTTCCAAGCTCGGCTTTCACAGGGAATGGACCGGTTTCAGGGCCACTAGCCACCCCCGGGCTCCAGCTTGCTGTCTTTGCTGAAAAGCTTCATGCAGAGCTTCTCAGATTGGAGCCTGTCTTGGTACATGCTTAGCTGAACAACACAAATGCGCCGTGGCCCAGGGGTCCCGTCCTGCCAGGCCTCTCTCCTCAGGGAGCCCGTCCATAGGGTCAGTTTTGTCACAGAGCACAACTGGTAAGATGCCTAGGTGGAGGAGTGAAAGAGTCACTGCGTTTCTGATTTTCTGGCAACGATTTGACTCTGTTTTGCTCTGTAATGTATTTAATTATCTGAATATTTTTCTGTTATTAGCCTTTGCTTCACTTTTGTAAATTAGATACTAGTTTTGATTGAAAAATGTAAAAAGAATTTATCTTGGAGACTGCTTATAAAAATAATCCCCAATTTTGTTGAGTAGCCCCATAATACTATCTTTTATTTTTGAACCAAGATGTCTCTCCTAAAGTCTTTTGCAAGCCCAATAAAAACAATTGGGACACCAGTATCTCCTTTTGCTTCTTAAATGAACCAGTTGTTCCAGATGTGCGAGGAGCTGCTTCTGCCACTCAGAGCTTGCTGGCTGTGCCTGGAAGGGTTCCTACAAGCTGTGTGAAGGGAGAATCATTGGCAGGGAGTTGGTATATGAGTTGATCCCATATTCATTATTAATAACTAACACAGCACCCAGGAGCTGCCAAGAGCATTCTTCAGCTCCACTCAAATGCTTCTAACTGACCCTCCTAAGAAAATGAGAGCAAGGGGACTAGTGTGAATGACTTACTTCTGGCTGAGGGTGGCTACTGGTGCCTTACTGCTGAATGTTCTAGGGCCTGTTTTGGGTAGCAAAGTACCTGGTCCATGGGAGGATATTCTTGTCCTTATCTTTGTCAGCAGATTTCCCAAGAAAGCCCCCAAATGTTGATCAAGACAGAAAATAGGCCTTTTTTGTCTTTTATGGAGATACACTGTTTAGGCTGATCAGAAATGTCTGGTGATCTACTGCCCGGACTATATTAAGCCATTTTCTAGAAGATAGGATATTAATTTAACACCACTTGGGCATATTAAGAAAATTGGAGAAAATTAGTAGTGAGAATCCAGAAATCCTCCTTTAACAAGCAAGGCACTTGAGGCGTCTGTTTAAGGGTTCACAGCCCCTGTCTGTGTGGTTAGATCTGCCCCTGCTCACTTGACTGCCGGTTCTTATCTCTAAATGCCTTTGGGAATTTACAATTTATTTGGACTTTTGGGGGGAATTCTCTAATTTATCTGTGTTTAAATGGGTGCTGTCTCATACAGTAGTAAGTTTGCGTGAGATAAGGTAACTTTTAGAATGAGAGAAAAAAAGAGGAATCTTGTATAATTAGAGTCAATGTTGGGAAAACTTGGAGGTGAGTGGGAGGGGCATTCCTGTGAATTTGATAGCACCCAGCCTGAAGGGGAGTCTTGAGGATTTAGAAGGAAAGCACATGTGAGGCCCCAGCACAATGCCTGGCAGAGTGAGAGTGCCTGGCAGAGATGAGAGGTTCCCAGCAAATATTGGCTCCTCCTTTCTTTTATCTCCTTAATGTTTTGTTGATGAAATTGACTCAGCCTGCAATCTGACCTCTGCTGGGCATTTCCTGTAATGCATCTCATGAAAATGGTAACTAATATTTAGCATTTGCCTGGCAACCTAGCATTTCAGGCCCTAAGCATTTCAACCCAAGGGAGTTTATTCATTTAAGAATAAACATTCAAGGTGCATTTACTGAGAACCTATGGTTTGCTAAGGACTGTGCTTGGCCCTGGGTTACAGAAATGGCTAGACAAGGCCCTAGCTCTCATGGAGTCACATTTCCAGTGCCTCTCAGAAGCTCCAAAATGATAGACACTGTTTAGGAAAAACTCACACTCAAAAGTATTTTTCCCTATTCTGTCACTCAACACAATAATAATCAACACAGACAGACTTCTGTGACCAAATGTCAGGGTGTGGGGGAGTGGTTCTGTCCACCACCAAGTAAGCAATCAGTTTTGCTATGGACACCAGCTGGGTGTCCTCCAATTCAATTCTGACACTATCTACCTGGAGATAGCGTCAGACCCCACAGGTTGGGGCTCAGTCCCCAAAACTACCTGCTCTTTCTGACACCATTTGCAAGGATGGGACTCCAGAACTTTTGACCGGCCAGCTTCAAGTAGGAGTTCCCACCGTTAATTTGCTGGAGCAGCTCACAGAATTCAGGGAAACATGTTTACTGGTTTATTATAAAGGATGTTACAAAGGATACAGATGAAAAGATGCATAGGGCAAGGTGTGGGGGAAGGAGCTTCCATGCCTTCCCTGGGCACATCACCCTTCAGGAACCTCCGCATGTTCAGCTATCAGGAAGCTCTCCAAACCCTGCCCTCTTGGGCCTTTTATGGAGACGTCATTGGATAGGCATGATTGACAACCATATAGAAATGTTGTTATAGAACCCAATTTTGGTCTGCTCACCCAGTGCAATAAAATCAGATACCCACACCAAGGCTGTTGCAGTGACAGAAAGGAAGGCATTTATTGCAGAGTGCTGTGCAAGGAGGACCAGGCAGCAAAATGCTCAAAAATCTGACCTTCCAGATGGCTTACAGGCAAGGATTTTTAACGGTGGGGTAAATTTCAGGAAAACAGAAGCTACAGGCAAAATTATAAATCAGTACACCGAGGTTGCACATTGGTTTAAGCTTAAAAGGGCGGGACATCTTGGGGGTAGGGGGTGCTCACAGGTAGATTCAGAGATCTGACTTGCAGTTGATCTTAGTTGCAGAAGCTCTAAGAATTTTGGGGTCAGTAGAAAAATGCTAACTTGCTAGGGGGAGTGACTTTCTCCAAGCCTCTCAAGAAGAAACTTAGAACAAAGGACGGTGGGATTGATAATAGGTACAGTTTAGTCTTCTTTTCCTCCTAATCTGGGATCTTTGTGGTGAGGGTCTTCAGTGGAGGCCTGAGCCTTTGAAAGACAACTCAGGGACATATGTTAAGATCTTATCTTTAGTTTCTATAGGGCAAGGGAACTTCTCTGGAGCTTTAACTTCCTTGGCTATTGTTCTTAAGCCACTTATTACCTTCTTGTTTACCAAGTTACTTAATTACTTCTAGGGCTAGCTGGATGCCTGGAATTTTTCTTAAAGGAACATTTGGATTTTCCCTTATTTCCATGCCTTGAGGTTTACAGGTCCCTAAAAGTTGGGGGCGGTCCCAGTTTCTATCTCATTGTGATTGGACAAAAAGGGTATGATCTAACCCCAGCAAGGCCTGTTTGTTCAGATTCTGCTTGGCCTCTCTGTACAGCTTTCCTTCTTCTAGGGTATGGGGCGTGTGTAGGAGATGCTTGGCAAATCTTTGATTTACATAGGCTTGCTCTGCCTTCAAGGCCTCTGCAGAGTGAGAGCAGGAGGACTCTGAGCCTAGGGATTACACCATTTTTGTTTTTGAGACAGAGTCTGGGTCTGTCACCCAGGCTGGAATACAGTCGTGAGATCTCGGCTCACTGCAACTTCCGCCTCCTGGGTTCAAGCGATTTTTATGCCTCAGCCTCCCAAGTAGCTGGGATTATAGGCACTCACCACCACGCTTGGCTAATATTTTTGTATTTTTGATAGAGATGGGGTTTCACTACGTTGGCCAGGCTGGTCTTGAACTCCTGACCTCAAAGTGATCCACCCGCCTCGGCCCCCAAAGTGCTGGGATTACAGGCTTGAGCCACTGTGCCCGGCCAGGATTGCAACTTTTGGCTGGCCAGCCCATGCTTAGGCTGTTCTTCCTTGCAGAACTGGAGGTCGGTCTTCTCCTGGGCTCAAGTGATCCTCCTGCCTCAGCCTTCTGAGAGGCTGGGACTATAGGCGTGCACCACCACATCCAGCTAATTTTTAAATTTTTTGTAGAGACAGGGGTCTCATCATGTTGCCCAGGTTGGTATCAAACTCCTGGGCACAAGCACTCCTCTCACCTCAGCCTCCAAATTGCTGGGATTATAGATGGGAGCCACAGCACCTGGCCTCACAGTTCTTTCTAATCAAGCACACTCTAAATCCTAAATCCACTGTGAACTCTGGCCTTTGGCAGTTTGCTCAGCAATAGATCAGCAGCAATAGATGAGCTTAGGTAAGTTGAATTCAGCAGCAGTGCCTTTCTTTCCGAAAGCATCGGTTGTAAGCACATTTATGGCAGCTAAAGGTGGTTTTAATCTCAGTTTCTAAGTGAAGGGGTCTTACCCTTATGAGCCCTTTCTAGCAACTATGTAAGGGTTGGGGCCCCTCCCTTTTCTTACTGTAGCTTCTTCTCTGGGGGCTCCTTCTTGAGGTCCTTACCAAGCTGATGGGAGAAATATCCTTTCTTTAAGTCTGCTGGCAGTTCCATTGGGTGGGGTGGGATTCTCTAATACTCTTTTGCTGAGACCCCTGTTTTTTCAGTAAGAACATTCCTAGCACTGTCTTTTCTGCAAAAGGTTGTTTTCTGCCTCAGGAAGGTCACTTTTTCCAGGACTTTAAAATTCTTTATCCTGGTTTATTTCATGGTAGTATCACCAACTAGTATTTATACTCTATTCATAGAACTGATTGGTTTTAAAGGTCCCAATTTACACACACACAAATATTCCCTCCCACCCTCCTTTGGGATTAGACAGGCCTGTTGCCTTGCTATCTGTTTTTTTGAGACAGGGTCTCTCTCTGTCACCTTGGCTGGAATGCAGTGGTGCAATCACGGCTCACTGCAGCCTTAACCTCCCACCTCAGCCTCCTGAGTGGGACTACAGGTGTGCACCACCACCCTTGGCTAATTTTTATATTTTTTTGTAGAGACGGGTTTTGCCATGTTGCCCAGTCTAGTCTTGAGCTCTGGGGCTCAAGTGATCTGCCCGCCTTAGCCTCCCATAACAGTGGGATTACAGGCATGAGCCACCCACACCCAGCCCTTTTTTTAAAAAATGGGTTTGTAAGAGTATTTTGGGAAAGCTGAGTAAGCAGAGGACCCTAAATTGTTATTTAAAATAATTATATGTAATATATTTGAAGCACTTATTTTGTGCCAGGCACTGTTGCTTTATGGTCACTTGTTTCAGTTAATCATCGTGAATACCTTCTTATCCAGTGTGAGTGGACTCCAGCTTAGGTCCATTTTACAGTTGAAACTGACACTCTAGTAGGATTAAGAGACTTTGACCGAGGTCACACAAGTTAGGGCGGTGCTAGAGCCAGGAGTGTAACTTGTTCTGTATTTGTTCATTTACCCCATTGATGTATTGAGTGCCTGCTTTCTTCAGGGTGCGCTGCAGGGCCCGTGCTCTTAAATACTGTTGTTGGCTGGTGTGAAAAGAACCCTGAATGTTGAGTCAGTAAACCAGGGCTTGAGTCCTAGCTCTGCCACATTCCCGCTATGACCTTGGACAAATAATTTCTGTTCTTTGAGGCTTTTAAAAGACGTCTCGCTCTTTATTAGATAGATGGCATACATGGCGAGGCTTTATAAGCGGTAAAGCACTATCAGGTATAAACTACGAATGTCTTGCAATCAGATAATTCTAGCTGTTCTTGCTTGTAGTTTATGTTTTAACCAATAATTTTGAGGTGAGAGAGCTGGCAGTTTGTAGAAAACCCAGTTTGCAAGAATGAGTGGAGAGAAAGGGAAGTTTCAAATCTGCAGAGGAAGAGGTGTGGGAGCCCGCCCTCTGAAGGTCTGCTTAAAATTCAACTCGCAAAACAGATGAATAAGAGAAAAGGCATACAAGTTTATTTAATAAGAGAAAAGGCATACAAGTTTATTTAATATGTATACACAGGAGCCTTCAGAATGAAGACCCAAAGGTACAGGGAAAATTGTCCATTTTTATGCTTAGGTTCAACAAAGTATGGACAGCTGTGTGGAAATATGATTGGAAGAAAAGGCTATGATCTAATGCTAATAGGCTGAGTGGGGAAACCCAGCAAGTCTGTCTGTCTAGATTCTTCTCAGCCTCTCTGAGCAGCATTCCTTCCTTCTGGGTATGGGCAGGACTCTCTCTGGAATGGGGGTCTTACAACCTATAGTCAGACAAGGTAGGTCAGGTGATTTCTTTTCTTTTTTGAGATGGAGTTTCACTCTTGTTGCCCTGGCTGGAGTGCAATGGCTCGATCTTGGCTCACTGCAGCCTCTGCCTCCTGGGTTCAAGTAATTCTCCTGCCTCAGCCTCCCAGGTAGCTGGGATTACAGGCGCCCACCACCATGCCCAGCTACTTTTTTGTAGTTTTAGTAGACACAGGGTTTCGCCATGTTGGCCAGGCTGGTCTCGAACTTCTGGCCTCAGGTGATCCGCCCGCCTTGGCCTCCCAAAGTGCTGGGATTACAGGCGTGAGCCACCACACCCAGCCAAGTTATTTCTTTATGGACAGTTTTTACACAGAAAGGTGGAGGGAGAGTAATATTTTTAGGTATGATGGCTTGCTTTGGGGAAAAGGGGTTCTGTTTCTGTGACCCACCTTGGAGAAGGAGGGATTCAAGTTTCTCTGGCTAGCCTTGGGGAACAATGGTACTGAGAAGGCTGGAGGGCCTCTTTTCCGTTTCCCAGCCCCTTTCCAGGAAAAGGCTGTGGGGCAGAGTTGGTTCATTAGGAACTCTGAGATTTACCAAAGCATGATCCTTCACATTTAGCTGGGGATCTAGTCAGTTTAAAAGAAGACAAGAAAAACATTTGCCTTGCTTTCCTTTTTAAAACGGCTTTATGGCCTTAAGTAAGTTTCACTGCCCAATTCAGCCTCTAGGGAGGGGCTCACAGGGCCTCAGGGAGGGGCCCAGTGCTTCCGCCTTGAGGATGCTTGCCCAGGATCTCTGGCCTTAGGCCTGCTCACACTCCTCCCAACTTTAAAGAGACAAATCTATTGTAGACTCTAGAAGACTTGCTTGGAAAAAAGTTATGGGTTTTCATTTTTCTCCCATCTTGATCAACTGTCCTTGTTTAATAATAGAACTAAGCACACTCCTCATATCCATTCTGCTCTTCAGAGGTAAAACCTTCATGGCTTTTCTGAAGTGAGCGTCATGCTTGTAAATAAATAAAAATAGTATCTAACTGGCTCAGAGGACAAAGAACATGAAGAAAGTGACTCATTAGGTGGCTCAAAAAGCGACTCATTGGTTATTCTATAAATACGTTTGCCATGTTTTAAAAGGCTCACAATCGTGTTTACAAACCAGTGCTGTGGTTAATTTGAGTATATCCTAGTTTCGAAGTGAGAATAATCAGCTTGTGATTCAGACTAATATTTTACTGTCTGTTACTATTTGATTAAATGACACTAAAATCTGAATAATGACTTGTGTCCCCCCTTTCTCTCTCTCTCTTTGCTGTTTTCAGTAGAGCATGCACCATTTTGAACGTGAATTTTCGGTAAAGTAAACTATGCTGATTTCTCAGACTTTAAAGATGCTCTGTTTCTGTGTGTGAAATAGGACCCAAAGTGTCTCGATTGCTGAAGTGATGAACAAGTGGGAAAGCAGATTTGAGACTATTTCCTTATCTGAATATTTAAATGAAATACAGCATCTTTAAAAAGCACCCAGTGACTTCATCTATATTCATTTCATTTTCATCATGACCTTCAAAATCTTCAT
Source organism: Homo sapiens (assembly GCF_000001405.40). Taxonomy (NCBI): domain Eukaryota; kingdom Metazoa; phylum Chordata; class Mammalia; order Primates; family Hominidae; genus Homo; species Homo sapiens. Next base: position 58,420,793 of record NC_000003.12, read on the forward strand.
TTTCACTCTGATTTCAGTTTTAAAATACAGCTCTAAAACCTGCAAATCAACTGCATGGCATTTTGGTATATTTTAATTTTGGAAACCATAACTCTCAAAGTCCCGTTGCTGCAAAAATGTTGATTCCTAGTTACTCTGATGAAGAGGAAAGAGTGTTAGGCACTTGAGCTCTTAGTTACAGGGAGACAACTTACTGGCTTTTATAACTGACGGTAGGGAAAAACAGTTCTTTTGTAAGCATCCTTTATAATTCTCGAGCTGTGACAGGAGTACAGCCTCCTCACCTGCCTGAAGCCAAAGGAGAAGGTGGTTCTCCCGAGAGCTGGGGGCTTGCCTGCTTCGGTTCTCTCCTGAGGGTGGCTGGTAAGTCTGGTGTTACCCTAGTGTGGTCTCATGGCCACTTGGCCTCCCTTCCTGTATGTGACCACAAAGGAGCTCAGAATTAGAGAGACTGTAGATTACCCACTGCTGGCTGCTAACATGGGCCTAAGAGTCGGTGGGGAAGGGAGCCAGGCGCAGTGGCTCACATCTATAATCTCAGCACTTTGGGAGGCTGAGGCGGGCGGATCACAAGGATCAGGAGTTCAAGACCAACCTGGCCAACATGGTGAAACCCCATCTGTACTAAAAATACAAAAATTAGGTGGGCATGGTACCACGCGCCTGTAATCCCAGCTACTCGGGAGGCTGAGGCAGAGAATCACTTGAACCCGGGAGGCGGAGCTTGCAGTGAGCCGAGATCGCGCCACTGCACTCCAGCCTGGGCAACAGAGCGAGACTCCATCTCAGAAAAAAAGGAACTGGAGGGAGGGACCCTCAGACATCCTGTCCACAAGGCTGTCAAGGGGGTTTCTGGCCTGGCATTCCTCCCTAGATCTGACCTACGCTCTCCCTGCAGCATTCTCTGCCCTCTGACAGGGCCTCTGCTGGACTGCCAGGTTCCCGTGTGGTTTGGTGGAGAAGATTTTGGGGTGGGTAGAGTAAGTAGTTGGCTCTCAGGGATTTTGTCTAAGAGAAAGTGAGATGGGAGAAATCGGGACTGACCTGGTCGTAACTGAAGGTAAGCTGTTTGCAGCATCCCCCTTCCTGGGTGCAAATTCAGGTATCATAAGTCTAACATGGAATCGGTCTGCTCTCATATGTGGCCTGGAGATAAGGGTATTGGAGGTCTCTTGGCAGGAAGGCCTCATTCACATCTGAGGGGTGGAGAGCGCGCAGGCAGCAGGCAGTTGTTCCCAGGTTTGTCACAGGCCAAATGGTAACTTTCATTTGGCCCTTGTTGCCCCTGCCCCCTCTTCCTCCATTGTTAGCCATGTGTTGTAGCTGAAGCCCCAACGGACCTTTCAGGAAGCTTGTGGACCATGGAAAGGGCCAAAAGGAAAAGCCAAAAACAATCAATGGGGCAGACTGAGTGAGACCGAGTCCCAGGTCTGTGTTCCTGCCTCCTCCAGTTTCCACCTTCTGACCCCTAGACCTCCTCTCCCCTCCAGAGTGTTCCAAACTGGCAAGCTGGGTCTGGCCTTCCTTGCCCTGGTTGTACATAAGAGCCACCATGGTTGTTGTAGGCCCAGTGAGGAAAAGTGGACTTGCTGGGACATCAAGCCCCACCGGACTGCTCCAGCCTGCTGAGGCCACATCAGGGAGATCCTGCTGCCTGTCCTTTCGTTCCATCTGCTTTACTGGAGCCCTGGAGCCCTTTGGACAGTGTATTTATTGACACCACCTACATTTTCAAAGAGACTCATTTAAAGTGACAGTGGAAAATCCATGTCCATTTACTTGGACAGTGGAAAATCCATGTACTGAACCCCACCCTCAACTCCCAAACTCTGCGGTGGTGCATTTGCACTTCTAATTTTGAGGGCCTGGTAATGACGCCAAAACCAAGGGTTGGTTCTCTGTGAGGCCAAGCAGTTTTGTTCTGTGCCAAGATGGCAGCCCCTACCCCTCAGCCCAGCCCTGAGGCCCGTCTCCAGCCCCCCAAAATCCTTGCCTGGAGGGCTAGTCAGTCTCTAGATGGCCAGTGCTGAGCCTTTAGTAGAACTCCCAAGTACCGCCGCAGCCGAGAGCCTGTCCTTAACTGCACAGTGATTCTTCTGCCGGGGGTCAAAGCACAAACCTGGGAGGCAGAAACCCTGGAGCTCCTTCTGTTACACTACGTGGCCCTGAATATCAAGTCCAGATTCCACTGCCCTTTTCTGGCTATTGGGTGGGAGGGTGCTGGGGAAGGGCACTGGCACCTACTTACCCCCAAGTGGGCAGAGCTCACTCCTTCGGGCCCACTTGGTGTTGCAGTCAAGAGACTCAGTTCCAAAAACCTTCAGCAGAGGTCTCCCCTCCTCCTGGTATTTCACTGGTTGCTCTCCAGAAGTCCTCTTCAGAGGAATGCTCATCACACATGCTTATTCTCCGTTTTCCCACTTCAACAGTTACTTCAGGTTTAAAGTCCTTTTTATCTCTGTAACCTGGTGACATAAAGCCAGGAACATTTTCCCACAATCCACCTTAGCATAAAACATAACAATTTCATTCATCAGTTGTTATTGTGTAGAACCAATGAACATGTTGGTCATTTGTCTGTATTTAGTCTTTATTTGTATTGCTATCTTTGAGCATTCCAAGATTGCAGAGCATGAGCGTGTGTATTTGTGTGATTCTTTAATTTCAGCTGCCTTAGGTTTGAGTAAAAGATGTAAAGAAAGGTAAGTGATTTTCTATTGTAAGACTTTAACCCATACCTGTCACACTTGGTGAAAAGGATGTACTTACCTGAGTATTGTGTTGGTGATTCTGAGCCAGTCGTCCATACAAACTTAAGTAGGGTAGCTTTACCTGTTACTTATCACAACTCAGTAGCAGTGTAGGGGAAACCACCTGGCAGAATGTCTCCCTGGAGTAGCCCTGGGAGGGACAGAGACAGCATCTGACAGAGTCTCAGAGAGCTGCAAGGTCACAGGAGACGAGGCAACTAACTGTGGCACAGGAACATTCTTTAAGGCAAGGCTTTTTCTGAACTCGGGTGTTTATTCTGTCCTGAGAGAACCATTCATTGATTCTAAAATATAAAATTCGAGTTGCAAATGTCCATGTGCCTGGAAGCTGAGGGAAGTTTTAGACACCTGCCCAGTTTCCCTCTCCTTGCCCACTGCGGTACAGCACGACATTCTAGTTTCTCCTGATGCTTCGTCAAAGACATTTAGTGCAGTTATGTCCTGTTCCTTGGTTGGGCCACAATGGAGAGAACAGTACTTGAGAAGGATTTCTCTGTAAGAATACCATGGCAGAGAGACCCCTCTGCCCCCTGCTTTGCATTGCTAACAGTTATTAGCATTTTATATTTCTTTAATGCAACCTAATAGGAAATTATTATTCGAGACAGACTCCTCTGGGAAATGCATAACCCAGGAGGCACTGATTCCTTGCTGAGAATCCTGAGTGGTCTGTCATTTTACATAAGATCACATCCTTCAAACATTGTGTATGTTGGAGCAGCGAAAGAACTGTTCACCCCTTATGAATAACTGACATTCAGGAAGCCCAACTCCATCATGCAGATGTCTATCTTTAATTGCTAGCTCAGAAGCAGACAGAGCTTCCTGGGACCTGGCTAAAGTAACTGATAGATGGAACTCTTCTTTGGGGACTATTACTTTGCAAATGGGGTCAGAGCCTCATCTATGCAGAGAATGTCACCATATGTGGTTTCATGTAATCTGTAATTATTTGTTCCAACAGCCTTTAACATGACTATTGTTTGAGAAACATGGCAACTTTTAATTCCCCTTTGATGCTTCTAGCTTTCTTTAGTATTTTAAGAACTCATACAGTACTAGGTATGTTGGTCCCTCTGAGAAAAACATGTGGACTCTCACCAGTCCGTTGTGCTCAGGACTGAGCAGCAGCGTGTGTGCAGGGCAGCTGTGGAGGTGAATACTGATTGTCCCCCTTTTCCTCCACAGGGATATCTGCATTACCTCCACCTCCTCCACCTCCACCACCACCAGCAGCTCCCTTGCCTCCTGCGAGCACCGAGGCACCTGCCCAGCTCTCGTCTCAGGCTGTGAATGGCATGAGCCGAGGGGCCTTGCTCAGCTCCATCCAGAATTTCCAAAAAGGAACTTTGAGGAAAGCCAAAACCTGTGATCACAGTGCTCCGAAGATCGGCTGAAGCTTCCTGTTTACACTTGGAGGGAAAAGTTCTTTTTTATTCCTACTCACCCCTACCCCCCAAACTACCCTCTTCCTGGGAAAGTAATTGCTGAGCCAGTACAGCCACAAACAGTACTATTTTGCAGATGCTCATGTAAGCAGCTTTTCGAGAGAAATAATTCTTTAAGCAGAATAAAGTTAGGCTGGCATTGCTCCCTTAAGATCTTGCTCCTTTATTAACCCTGTAAAGGAGTCTTGTTTATCCTCTAATGGCCAGGCTTTTGGGACAGCAGCATATTGAAATATTTTCACCAACTAAAGGAAATAGACAGAAAAACAATGACAATATTCAATCACAGCAGTAAATGGCCTTTGTGTTGCAATCCCTTCTACCCCATCAGACAGCTCCTAGAAACATTCCTCTTACAGTTCATTTCTCTAAAGCATTTTCTGATTCTTAGATAACTCCAATTTTTGCTACCTTTATCTTAGACATTAACACTATAGCCCAAAGCATAGTTACTTTGCTAAATCAGAAAGCAACTGAGTTCTTTGTTTTCTCCTCAAATAGAATGGGGAACGTTCACAACATTCTCTTAAGTTCTAACAGGAATACCATTGTGGTTATAGAACTCAGGGCTGCTAAAGCAACTACTCTAGACCCATAGTTCTTTTTAGTTAGATGTATTGAAACAGACAAAAATATTAACATCAGAAAAAGCTCTTGCCAATTAGAGGATCTTCTTAATCCTCAGCAATTAAGTTTGGGGTTTGAGGGGGGCAGGTCATTGTTACAACAGAAGTAAATTTGGCATCTATAGAAATCAATTATGATTTTTGAAAGATTTATCTAAATATATCAATATAGCATCTCTTTAATGTTAGTCATTTATTAGAAAGATCCTTTATCCTGATTTGCTTAAACCTTTCAATAAATTGCACTTTAAAGGATTATAAATAATCCATTTAAAAATTCAAGTACACACATCAGTGTTGGTTACTATGCAGAGAATGTCATTGTGTATAGTTTCATGTAATCTGTTATGTCAGCTGTATTTTTTATTAAAATCATGTCAAGAAAACGTGTTGTCTGTAGCTTGACAAGATATTTCAAATGAGAACTTTTTGTAGCGTCTGTTGTTAGCAAAGAATAGATTCACACAGTCTAAGGTTTCCTTCCTACCTATCCTGTCTCTTATTCTTTTGTGTCTCACTTTTCCTCTAAGAACTAAAAATCCTGCCTTGCTACTTAAATTAGGTACCACCTATATGCTTCTCTAACTAATTTAAACCCATCTTTTCCATCTCAGCTTCTGGAGGGCAGTATTTGACAGAATATCTGATCTTTGGAAATGGGAAAAACAACTGATATAAACTTTGCCATAATTTTAAAGAGAATGCTATTAGAATTAGGCATTTGGAGAGTCTGTGGAGAAGTTCCTGTTTCAAGTGTGATGCAACCTAGGTGATTACCTGATGGAGGCTTGTGAGGCCTGAGTCCTTCTGAAGTCAGTTTTGCTGACTATTCTGGATAGTTCAGATATATGAATACAAACAGGTAATGGTCTTGTACAGTATCAGCTTATTTTCCACATGGAACTAATTTCTTTTGTTGTTATTTTTAAGACAGGGTTTCGCTCTTTCACTCAGGCTGGAGTGCAGTGACCCAATCACAGCTCACTGCAGCCTTGACCTCCCAGGGCTCAAGCAATCCTCCTATAGGCACACCACCAGATACCTGGGTTTTTTGTTTTGTTTTTTTTGTTTTGTTTTTGTAGGCAGGGTTTTTGCAACGTTGCCCCAGGCTGGTCTCAAACTCCTGGGCTCAAGCAATCCCTGCCTCAGCCTCCCAAAGTGCTGGGATTATAGGCATGAGCTACTGTGGCCTGGCAGCACTAATTTCTTAATAAATAGAATTTCAAGTTTTCTACCCACATTGACTTTTTTTTTTTCTATCTATCTTTTCTTTGTAGAGATGGGGTTTTGCCATGTTCCCCAGGCTGGTCCTGAACTCCTACACTCAAGGGATCCACCCACCTCGGCCTCCCAAAGTGCTAGGATTACATGTCTGAGCCACCACACCCAGCCAATTCTTTTTTTTGAGACGGAGTCTTGCTCTGTTGTCCAGGCTGGAGTACAGTGGCGCCATCTCTGCTCACTGCAACCTCCGCCTCCTGGGTTCAAGCAATTATCCTGCCTCAGCCTCCCGAGCAGCTGGGTCTACAGGCGCATGCCACCATGCCCGGCTTTAGTAGACAGGGTTTCACCATGTTAGCCAGGATGGTCTTGATCTCCTGACATCATGTTCTGCCCGCCTTGGCCTCCCAAAGTACTGGGATTACAGGCATGAGCCACCACGCCCAGCCCAGCCAATTCTTTCAATATAAAAATACAATAGTCATGGCCAGGTGTGGTGGCTCATGCCTGTAATCCCAGCAGTTTGGGAGGGCCAAGGCAGGTGGATCACCTGAGGTCAGGTGTTCAAGACCAGCCTGGCCAACATGGTGAAACCCCACCTCTACTAAAAACACCAAAATTAGCCGGATGTGGTGGCTAATTTCCTACTGAGGCTGAGGCAGGAGAATCACTTGAACCTGGGAGGTGGAGGCTGCAGTGAGCCAAGATTGTGCCATCACACTCCAGCTTGGGGAACAGAGCCAAACATTGTCTCAAAAAAAAAAAAATTAGTCATGTTAGAAATTCCTTTATTCCTTATCAAAACAAACTAACAGTAAATGTATATTATATGCTTTAATTTTATACATATAAGTTATCTTGTTTGGATACATCTTTCATGAGGACTCTGCCACATCCATACTTTGTCCTTGTGGTGAGAGAGGATAAAATGTTATATAATTTGTTATTCAAAGAACATGGCAACCGTAACAGACAAAAGGAAGCATGGCATCTAGGGGAGGAGAGTGGAGAGTTTTCCATACACAAACACATTTAAACTTCCCTGTACAAAAATACCTGCTGTTGCTTTAGAAATCGTTTTCCGTTATGAATAGTCAGGTCTTGCAGTACAAATCCAGGTGCAGTGCCAGCAAGTATTTCAAATAAATTTCAACGACTTGATATTCAAGTCCAAACTAAATATTTAATGTTTTCTTTATTGCAAATATGATGTCTTTGACCTGAGGTATAGAGTTGTCCTCTAGAATCTTTGCATAAGGCATAGGGACATCAGCACCAGTGACACGAACAGCAGGAGCATCCAGGAAATTGAACGCAGGACCTAGGAGAAGGAAGGCTCAACTGAGAGAGTGCAAATGCCAGCTGGGCACTACCACCTTGGCACAGAGGTGTGGCTGACCAGGAAGAGAAAATGTAAGGAATGCTAATTATGGGGAACCGCTTTCTGGATTTGCTTTTAAAAATATCTGCCTGAAGAGAAATGCCAAACTTACAAGTTTAAAGTTGAAGTCGTTTGGCCACTCCTAGCTTTCAATCTCTTTATCCTGTACGTATTCAGGTACATGATGTTTACTATAGCTTGACTGTATTCTAGAACCAGTTTCTTTGAAATACCTTCCATGATCCTGGCACAGATTTCAGCTCCTACTCCAAACTGTGGCCAGCCTCCTTCCACAGTTACAAGATGATTTGTCTTCATGACACTGGCTTCTATGGTTTCCATGTCCATTGGTCTAATGGTACGCATATTTATCACCTAAACAGGTAATATAATCAAGTTTACAGAGCTATTGCAGCACAAATAGAGCCTTATCCCCATAATACCATTTCCTTTTTTGTTTCCTGTTAATCTTTGTATCTAGGAAAATCTAATCTGCCTATGAATACCTATTCATGAATGTACAAACTGTAAAAGGAAAAATTTTAATTAAAACAAAGATCTGTATGTCTACCACAAGCAGCTCTGTGCAGTTATAGGATTCATTTATCTTCCTTCACTTTTTTATTTCTTTTGGGATGGAGTTTTGCTCTTGTTGTCCAGGCTGGAGTGCAGTGGCGTGATCTCGGCTCACTGCCACCCCCGCCTTCCCAGTTCAAGCCATTTTCCTGCCTCAGCCTCTGGAGTAGCTGGGATTACAGGCATAGACCACCACGCCTAGCTAATTTTTGTATTTTTAGTAGAGATGGGGTTTCAACATGTTGGCCAGACTGGTCTTGAACTCCTGACCTCAGGTGATCCACCACGCCCAGCCAATCCTCCTTCACTTTAAATTCCCTCATCAAAATGAGTTAACAGTTAACAGCTGAGTGCCCATCATGTACCAAGCACTACACTAAGTGTAATTCTCACAACAGCCCTATGACGGGACAGTATTTATATTATCCCTGTTTTATAGCTGATGAAACAGATTTAGAGTATATAACTTGCCCAAGTATAACTAGCACATGGTGAGTTTCTAAAAGATCCAGAACCTCAGAAGGGTGAGGTGGGAGCATCACTTGGGCCCAGGAGTTCACGGTTACAGTGAGCCATGATCCAGCCACTGCACTTCAGCCTGGGCAACAGAACAAAAGCCTGTTTTTTTCTCTCTCGGGGGGTATCACTGAGAACCAGAAGAGGTTCAGAGAGCTCCCACTGTCTCTCAAAAAAAAAGATCCAGAACCTAAGTGACCTGAGTGGTAAAAAGCTAAGTATGTGAACTGCAGGCAGGTTCCCAGCTTTAAGCAGAGACAGAAATGAGTGACAAAGCAAGGTTTTACATCTAATTAACCTGTTACAGAACTCTTCTGGGTCTTAAATCTAAAAGGAGCCCTTCTAATTCTTTAAGAACAAGTAAATGTCCACTCACCTCACATTCAACTCCTTCTTTAGATAGCACTGCTGCAGCTTCTAAGCAGTGGCCCACAGGTCTTGAATGGGAAACCACAGTTATATGTGTTCCTGAAAACAGAGTGGTCACAGATCAGAGATCAGGTTGAAACTGAAGATGCTACACCACTGTGCCGCCAGCTGTGGCTCTTGTTCATTCATAAAGTCTTCAATTCAACTTCATTCCAGTGAGCTGAGGAATGTGGCAGCCTTCCTAGAAATGAAACACAAACCTACCAGACTGAGATCTAGAAAAGCACAACTGAATGAGAAATTGGGGCATCTTGAGCTCATCCTATAATTTTTCAGTCAAAGTAAATGACAGTAACTTCTAGATTAAATTTTACCAAAATTGAGGGGCTGGATTAAAAATACTGTTTATATATCTTAGTTTTCTTACCTTGCCTTTCTATTTTGGCTTTTCCAATAGGAATCAGAAAATCTTTTGACTGAGCTTCCGGAGGAAATTCAAAAGGAACCCCATACATCAATTCATTCTCTAGCACCACCACTGAAAAACATAAATATTTAAACAAAAGTAATTAATCACATCCAGAATGACTAAAACTGCATAGAAAGCAATATCATTCATCTTGTGAGAAGTTTCATTGTGCTGATTAGCCTTATCTCTACCATGACCAGCAGCCTTGAGAGCAGTTTAGGTACTTAAATTTGTAGTGGTCAATATAATTTTATCTATCAAACCAGTATTGTGGGTGTGCAGTAAATGTCCCCTTTACCTAGCTGGCCCCCTTATATTCGGAAATAGGAAAAGCAAGCACATTCTTTACTATCTTTACTATATAAAGTATTAACATTCTATACGATATATCTAAGCCTAACTAAAAGACTTTAATGGTTTCCTCTGTGCAAATATATCATTTTAGTTTTTCAATCTTCAAAAAAAACCAAAGGGTCCCTGTGCTGACCTGGATTGTTATCCCGAATGGCTGATTTAATAAGTCCTTTAGCATCCTCTGAATTCCAGGGACTGACCACCTTTAAGCCTGGGCAGTGCCCATACCAGGCAGCAAAGCACTGTGAGTGCTGGGCAGCTACACCTGCTGAGGCACCATTGGGCCCTCTGAAGACTATAGGCACAGGCTGAAGGCCACCAGACATGTAGTAGGTCTTGGCAGCTGAGTTTATAACCTGGTCAATGGCTTGCATGGAGAAATTGAAGGTCATAAATTCACAAATGGGCCGCAACCCAGCCTGTAAAATCAAAAACGTGGATGTTAAAAAGACTAGAAACAGCAACAAACAGTAGCAAACAAATCACTCCAAGTCTTCCAACATTCAAATAATGTTTTTATTTTTTATTTTTATTTTTTATGGACAGGGTCTCACTGTCACCCATGCTGGAGTGCAGTGGCACACATCATAGCTCACTGCAGCCTCTAACTCCTAGGCTCAAGTAATCCTTCCTCAGCATCCCGAGTAGCTGGGACTGCAGGCAAGCACCACCACATCTACCTACTTGGTATTTTTTTTTTTTCCCAAATGATGTTTTTAAAAGGTGATGTTAAATCTCTTTGGGGATGGGCACAGTGGCTCACGCCTGTAATCCCAGCACTTTGGGAGGCCAAGGCGGTCGGATCACTTGAGGCCAGGAGTTCAAGACCAGCCTGGCCAACATGGTAAAACCCCATCTCTACTAAAAACACAAAAATTGGCTAGGCACAGTGGCGCGACCTGTAACCCCAGCCACTATGGAGGCTGAGGCAGGAGAATTGCTTGAACCTGGAAGCTGAGATGGTGCCAGTGCACTCCAGGCTGGACAACAGAGTGAGACTCTGTCTCAAAAGAAAAAAAAAGAAAACAAGAAATGTCTTTGGATAAGTTTCATAAAGAGTATTACATACCATAGCTGCACCTACAGCAATTCCAGCAAAGCCCATCTATAAAGTAAAATATAAACATAAGTGAAAATCCATAAAAATGAGGATAATGGACACTAACAGACATGCCCTCCAGGGTCTGCTTCCCACTGGAAGGCTTACCTCTGATATGGGAGTGTCAATAATCCTCTTGTCTCCATATTTCTTCCACAGCCCTCGACTAACCTACAATTAAGAGTTGATCCCTTAAGTGTATCTGGGGGTAACAGTGACCTCAATTTTGTATAACTTTCATATATTTTAGTTACCTTGTATGCCCCATCATACTGGGCAACTTCTTCTCCAAGCAGAAATACCTTCTCATCTCTTTCCAGCTCCTCATCCATACCCTGATTTATAGCATCACGAACTGTCACCTGTCACAGGTATGCAAAAACAGTCAATACAGAATTGTTTGGGATTCAACTAAGATTTTCTTCCTTTATATTTACCTAGGCTGCCCACAGCATACAATATAAAAACACTAGAACAAGCTTCTCTCTAAAAACTCAAAGAATTCTAAAAGTAACATTTCTATTACACATAGTTGGTCTTTGCATGTGTTAATGTACTGAGTGCTCACTAGGTGCCAAGTACTGCCAAATACTTTGCATCCAGAATGTAGGAGTTGCTCTTTTAATATAATGAATGGTAAAATCTAGTTAAAAAAAGGAAGGAGAGGAGAATTAACATACAATCCATCAATTCCACTTCTATGTATATGCCCCAAATAATTGAAAGCAGGGATTCAAGCATATACTTGCACATCAATGTTCACAGCAGCATTACTCACAATAGACAAAACAAGGCCAGGCACGGTGGCTCACACCTGTAATTCCAGCACTCTGGGAGGCCAAGGCAGGTGGATCACTTGAGGTCAGGAGTTCGAGACCACCCTGGCCAACATGGTGAAACCCATTCTCTACTAAAAATACAAAAATTGGCCGGGTGTGGTGGCGGGTGCCTGTAATCCCAGCTACTCGGGAGGCTGAGGCAGAATTGCTTGAACCCAGGAGGCAGAGATTGCAGTGAGCTGAGATAGTGCCACTGCACTCTAGCCTGGGCAGCAAGAGCAAAACTCCGTCTCAAAAAAAAAAAAGAAAATGTCGGGCTGAGCGAGGTGGCTCATGCCTGTAATCCTAGCACTTTGGGAGGCCAAGGCAGGCAGATCACTTGAGGCCAGGAGTTCAAGACCAGCCTGGGCAATATGGTGAGACCCTGTCTGTACTAAAAATACAAAAATTAGCCCGGTGTGGTGGCACCGGCATCTAATCACAGCTACTCAGGAGTGTGAGGCGCGAGAATCCCTTGAGCCCAGGAGGTGGAGGTTGCAGTGAGCTGAGATCGCGCCACTGCACTCCAACCTGGGTGACAGAGGGAGACTATCTCAAAAAAATATACATATATATATTATTCAGCCTTAGGAAAGAATCAAACTCTGACGCATGCTACAACATGGATGAACCTTGAGGACATTACGCTGAGATAAGCCAGACACAAAAGGACAAATGATGCCACTTATAAGAAGTTCTAGAATAGGCAACCTCATAAAGACAGAAAAGTACAACAGGGGTTACCAGGGGTTTGGGGAAGGGAAATGAGGAGTTACCGAGTAATGGACAGTTTCTGCTTGGGATGATTAAAAAGTTCTGGAAATGGATGGTGGTTAATGGTTGTACAACATGGTGAATGTACTTAATGCCACTGAATTATACACTTCTAAAAAGTACATTTTAAGTTAGGTCTATTTTGCTGCAATTTAAAGAAAAAAACATGGAGTGAGGGAGGAAACGCCTAGTCTTAGTTTTCCCCCATTGCCCAGCCAGCTGTGAGGTGGTGACTCGCCGGTGTGCTAATTGCCAGGCGGCGACAGAGGCAGCAGGAGCTCCACGGAGGATGCTGGCTCCGCAAACCCAAGGCCCACGGCGCCGGAAGGCCACAGCGCAGGCGCGACTCCGGCCTCCTTCCCGAGAGAAGGGGGGACCCTCCCCGCCCTCGTCCGACGAGCACCCGCGCCTGTTACCTGCAGCGCAGCCGGCGCGGTCCAGTGAAAGCGCCTCTTCAGCAGCCCGGAGACCTGGCAGGGAGAGAGGAAGATGACGGCGGGACGCAGGGTGGGCAGGGGTCGCGTGGGAATACAGGCCGCGCGCTGCTGCCTACCTCCCGAAGGGGTCTCCGCACCAAGCCAGACACCGCCGCCATCTTGGTCGTGTCCTCTATCCGCTGCCAAACGACAACAGAGGGGCCGGCAGACGTGAGCAGGCCCCGCCTCCACCGGCGCGGGCCAATGGCAAGGCGCGCCGGCTGCGTGACCCGCCCACCCGCCCACCGGGTGAGGGGCCGCGGGGCCGGGCTGAGGTGGCGTGTGGGTGGCCGTGCCCCTCTGCCTGGAGCCGCCTCAAATCAACTTTATTGACAGTAGGCGGTGACCGACAGGCGGGGTGCACGCTGGGCACACGTGCCTGGTCGGTGTTACTTGAAGCGTGGGGACTAGAAGTCAGACCCTGAGGAGCATGATCTCTGGAAGCTGGAGAGACCTTAAGAGTTAGGCCAACCTGTTGTGGGTGCTGGAATCCTTTGGGCACCAAGAAGTGCTTGCACACGCTCTACTGATGGGGAACTTAACACTTCATGAGTGAGTCTAGTCTTCCCTGGACAGTGCTGTCTGTTGATTCCTTATAATGCACATCATAGCTTTCATTGATTGCATTAAGCACCTACTGTGAGCCAAGCATTGAGATATGTGCTGTATAGCTCATTCTCACAGTACCCCACTTGGGTAATTAGTGTTATTATTATCTCCATTTTGAAGACGGTTAAACTGAAGCAGAAATTGATTAAATGAGCCGATATTTTAATTTAGGACTGTCTTGACTCTAAAGCATGGTCTTTTTCCCACTGCTTCCTAAAGCAGAAGTGGATTCCTGCTTGGGGGAAGGTTACAACAACTTTAGAGAAGGGCGGCCCTATGGATGTAGCAGGACAAGCCGCAGACGAAACTCCTCAGACACCGAGTTAAAGAAGGAAGGGGTTTATTCGGCCAGGGGCATGGGCAAGACTCTTGTCTCAAGAGCCGAGCTCCCTGAATGGGCAATTCCTGTCCCTTTTAAGGGCTCACAGCTCTAAGGAGGTGTGCGTGAGAGGGTCATGATTGATTGAGCAAGCAGGGGGTATGTGACTAGGGGCTGCAAGCACCGGTAATTAGACTGGAACAGGATAGGGATTTTCACAGTGCTTTTCTATACAATGTCTGTAATCTATAGTTAACATAACCGATTAGGTCGGGGTCGATCTTTACCAGGCCCAGGGTGTGGCACCAGGCTGTCTGTTTGTGGATTTCATTTCTGCCTTTTAGTTTTTACTTTTTCTTTCTTTGGAGGCAGAAATTGGGCATAAGACAATATGAGGGGTGGTCTCCTCCCTTATGGGGAGGTGCCAAACACTTGGCCATAGGGACAACCTCTGGAAGCTCATTAGTCTTAATTTGGCCCTTGGGGGTCAGATGGGACAATTGAGCACCCAGTCTCCACCCATCCCCAAGACATTCCAAACATTCCCTTCTATGGATCACAGCTGCAGGCTGCCAAATTAGGAATTTGCAACTTCCAGTAGGTTGCTGACTGGGAATGGGAGGGGGTGGAGGCAAAGGCAGAACAGGCGGATGCTGGGAAGTCTGTGGCAGCAACAGAGGCAGACTAGGAGGCAACTTCCAGATGGAGAGGAGGGGGACAGTTTTGAGATCTATTTGGGCTAGAATCAATAGGAATGCTGTAAGTGCTAGGGAAGAGCAGAGGAAAATTTTGGATTTTTGTCATTGCTGGATGGATAGATGGGGTAAGGGAGGAGCCTGGGGCAGTGTAAGTGCCAGGAGCTGGGGAAGTAAGAGTGTATTTTTGTTTATTTTTTGAGATGGAGTTTCACTCTGTCACCCAGGCTGAAGTGCAGTGGGCCTCACTGCAACCTCTGCCTCCCAGGTTCAAGCTATTCCCCTGCTTCAGCCTCCCGAGTAGCTGGGATTACAGGCACCTGCCACCATGCCCGGCTAATTTTTTTTATTTTTAGTAGAGATGAGTTTTCACTATGTTGACCAGGCTGATGTTGAACTCTTGACCTCAAGTGATCCACCCGCCTCAGCCTCCCAAAGTGCTGGGATTACAGGCATGAGCCACTGCAGCCAGCCTTTATTCTTTAGATGACTGGGACATACCCAGGTTGCCTGGAGCCTAGGGCCTAGTCAGGGCTAAAGGTAGAAATTTGGGGACAGCTGCATAGAGATGACATTTACTCTCTGGGACTGTTTCATCTGTAAAATGGATAGAAGATCTTCAAGATATGGAATCAACACCTTCTGAGTCTCCCTCACCTGCCACCATCGTCTAGTCCCAACTGTCCCTGCCAGGGCCTCAGGAATGGCCAGCACTTCCTAGACTGCCACAGCATCCCTGAGAAACTCCTGAACTTGAGATTTCAGCCCCCAAAAGTTTGTGGGTGGTGCTCAGAATGAAAAAGTGAATCAGTCCTTCCCACCTTTCCCACAACCTAGCACCAAAAGATTTCAGGATCAGATTTGCCAAGCAAAAGGAGATGTTACAGGAAAGCAGTCCCGATCGAGATCCCAAGAGAGAGTTCTTGGATCTCACACAAGAAAGAATTCAGGGCAAGTCCACAGTGCAAAGCAAAAGCAAGTTTATTAAGAAAGTAAAGCAATAAAAGAATGGCTACTCTATAGACAGAGCAGCCCTGAGGGCTGCTGATTGCCCATTTTTATGATTATTTCTTGATTTTATACTAAACAAGGGGTGGATTATTCATGCCTCCCCTTTTTAGACCATATAGGGTAACTTCTTGACATTGCCGTGGCATTTATAAACTGTCATGGCGCTGGTGGGAGTGTAGCAGTGAGGATGACCAGAGGTCATGCTCATCGCCGTCTTGGTTTTGGTGGGTTTTGGCCAGCTTCTTTCCTGCAACCTGTTTTATCAGCAAGGTCTTTATGACCTGTATCTTGTGCTGACCTCCTATCTCATCCTGTGACTGAGAATGCCTAACTGTCTGGGAATGCAGCCCTGTAGGTCTCTGCCTCATTTTACCCAGCTCCTATTCAAGATGGAGTTGCTCTGGTTCACATTCCTCTGACATTTGCCTCCTCCCTATTATGAGAGAAACTTTAATCCTAAAAGTTTCGGAGGGATGAAGATGCATCTTCTGTAACTTCTTCAGGCTGAATAGGGGTGATGATATTCCTGCTTAACTATTAGGGTCCCTTATGTTCAGAGTAGAGAGGAGCTCAGAAAACATCAGTATAGTGAGGGCCATTCATAACTCCAAGTTCTGACAAAAGGTGATATCTGGAAGATTAATAAGTATTCAGTTTAAGAAAACATTCAGTAAGCTTATCCTGCACTCCTACACAAAGAGTACAATAGCAATATATTCCACAAGAGTAAAGCAAAATAAGTAAAATTATCCCAAGTAAACTAAATTAGAAGGCTTTCCATGAACTGGGCAACTGTTGGAACCAAGCTGATGTGGGGTTGCTAGCTGATTCCAGTGTGTTCAGAATTAGAATATCGATTCAGATTTTTACATTACCCATCTTCCATGCGCGTCCATGTGAAGAGACCACCAAATAGGCTTTATGTGAGCAATAAAGCTTTTTAATCACCTGGGTGCAGGCGGGCTGAGTCCAAAAAGAGAGTCAGCGAAGGAAGATAGCGGTGGGGCCGTTTTATAGGATTTGGGTAGGTAGTGGAAAATTACAGTCAAAGGGGTTTGTTCTCTGGCTGGCAGAAGTGGGGGGTCACAAGGTGCTCAGTCGGGGAGCTCCTGAGCCAGGACGAGCCAGGAGAAGGAATTTCACAAGGTAATGTCACCAGTTAAGGCAGGAACCGGCCATTTTCAGTTCTTTTGTGATTCTTCACTTGCTTCAGGCCATCTGAATGAATACGTGCAGGCTTGGGCTCAGAGACCTGACACCATCACTCTTGTTTGTTTTGAGCAGCAGTCAGAGATCACTGGTTGGTTCACAGGAATAAGCTGGGTTAGCCTAAATTGCAGAAACAAACTTAAAAACAACTGATGAGACTAGAATCTAATAACCAGTGTACCATAAGTTCTTGAAACATTATATTTCTCTCTCCAGTTTCCCATTTTTACTAAAGGCAAATCTTGGTAAGACTGATTTGCTTTGTTATACTTGGCCTGATTATTTATATAAAGTGTAGCAAGAATAATTATTTTTCACATAAGCTCTTTTTATTATTTATTTATTGAGATGGAGTCTCACTCTGTCACCCAGGCTGGAGTGCAGTGGTACGATCTTGGCTTACTACAACCTCTGCCTCCTGGGCTCAAGCGATTCATCTGCCTCAGCCTCCCAAGTAGCTGGGATTACAGGTGCCCACCACCGTGCCCTGCTAATATTTTTGTATTTTTAATAGAGACAGGATTTCACCTTGTTGGCCAGGCTGGTCTCGAACTCCTGACCTCAAGTGATCTGCCCACCTTGGCCTCCCGAAGTGCTGGTATTACAGGTGTGAGCCACCACAGCCAGCCACATAAGCTCTTTTTAAATTGGCTTTCCTGGAACTCTGTTCCAAAGAAGGAATCTTAGATAAGACTTTTTGCCATGGGTTTGTACCCTCAAATACGTATGAGTTGGGTAAATTCCTCTCTTCTTGAGGTTCCAAGATAACTTGGAGTTCCTGGGTCTGTTAGAAAGTGACATTCTTTACTTACCACAGGTCAGAAATCCTGTACAAGGACTGTGTAGGCAAGGTATGAGGCCAGTTCCCCAAGGGGCTTCTATTGGCTCTATAAGTTAAGTTTAATTCCTTAAAAGAAAACATGCCATTCCAGTCAAAGCCTTGATAAAATAACCAGTTTCTCCAATTGTGTCCTGTTGCAAAAGAAAACAGATACTTATTTGCACTTATGCAAATAACTATATTGCATAAATTAGGAATACTCAATTAGTTTGACCATAGGTAAGATTTTCATAAACCTTTTATTAACCCTTTACTTTTTTTGTGAAAGAGCAGATTAGTGTTCTAAGAAAAACCTGTTGTACTTTTAGTCCAATGCTTAATTTATGGAAAAACTGAATAATACCCCTTTAACTTTAGCCAATATGTTCACACAAAGAATTTCTTTTTACAAGATTCATTTTTTATAAACTTTTCATAACTTGCTCAAACCTTTAGCTTTATCCTGTTTAACTTAAAACAATCCTTTAACCCTTTAGACAAGAAAATCCACATTCCCGTGACTTCTTATAATCTTTTACTAAAAACACATTTCGCTTTCCCTACACGCCTTACGTGTAGAAGAACTGTTTCTTTAGTAGTCTCAAATACATGTTACAATGTTAACTCTTAGCAACTTTTACTTTTGGTGAAAACCTTGGTAAGTAAGGGGTTTGGGTCCAGGGTTTCCGCACTGTAGTCCCTTCAGTGGTCACCAGAAAGATGTTATAGGAAAGGGGTCCCGATCCAGTCCCCAAGAGAGGGTTCTTGGATCTCGCACAGAAAGAATTCAGGGCGAGTCTACAGTGCAAAGCAAAAGCAAGTTTACTAAGAAAGTAGAAGAATAAAAGAACGGCAGCCGGGCGCGGTGGCTCACGCCTGTAATCCCAGCACTTTGGGAGGCCGAGACGGGCAGATCACAAGGTCAGGAGATCGAGACCATCCTGGCTAATACAATGAAATCCTATCTCTAGTAAAAATACAAAAAAATTAGCCAGGCATGGTGGTGGGCGCCTGTAGTCCCAGCTACTTGGGAGCCTGAGGCAGGAGAATGGTGTGAATCTGGGAGGCGGAGCTTGCAGTGAGCCGAGATTGTGCCACTGCACTCCAGCCAGGGCGACAGTGCGCGACTCCGTCTCAAAAAAAAAAAAGAATGGCTACTCCATAGACAGAGAAGCCTCAAGGGTTACTGGTTGCTCATTTTTCCAGTTATTTCTTGATTATATGCTAAACAAGGGGTGGATTATTCATGCCTCCCCTTTTTAGACTATATAGGGTAACTTCCTGATGTTGCCATGGCATTTGTAAATTGTCATGGCGCTGGTGGGAGTGTAGCAGTGAGGATGATCAGAGGTCATTCTTATCGCCATCTTGGTTTTGGTGGGTTTTGGCTAGCTTCTTTCCTGCAACCTGTTTTATCAGCAAGGTCTTTATGACCTGTATCTTGTGCTGACCTCCTATCTCATCCTGTGACTGAGAATGCCCTAAATGTCTGGGAATCCAGTGTTAAGGGGGTGGTGGGGGGGCTTGTTCTTAGAGCTCCCAAGATGGTGGCACGCTGCTTCCAAGATGGCGGCAAGCCTCTTGTTCTCTGACCTGGGGTTCTTGGCCTCACGGATCCAAGGAATGGAATCTTGGACCATGTGGTGAGTGTTATAGCTCTATTAGAAGCCGTGGGTCACGGAAGAGAACCGTGGAACCCAGCAACTAGTGTTCAGCTCGATTAAGATGAACCCGGGCACTTAGCCGTGCAGGAACAATGGCAAGCCTTTAGCCCGATCGGGAGCGGCAATGGGTGCCTCGCTGGATCAGGAGCACAGCGGACACCCTGCCGGATCCAGAGGGGTGGAAGTCAGCAGCGGGTCTGCAACGGTGGCAAACAGCAGTGGTGGACGGTAAGCAAAAGCTCAGTTCGAGCCATAACAAACATGGACCAGAAGAGTGTGCAGTTGCAAGATTTAATAGAGTGCAAACAGAGTTCCCATAAAATGGGAGGGGACCCGAAGGGGGTTGCCGTTGCCAGCTTGAATACCTGGGTTTATATCCCGATTGTTGTCCCTCCCCCTGTGCTCTCAGGTGATAGATGATTGGCTATTTCTTTACCTCCTGTTTTTGCCTAATCAGCATTTTAGTGAGCTTTCTTTTCTACCTGATTTGTCAGGTGCGAGCTAAGTTGCAAGCCCCGTGTTTAAAAGTGGATGTGGTCACCTTCCCAGCTAGGCTTAGGGATTTTTAGTCGGCCTAGGAAATCCAGCTAGTCTTGTCTCTAACCAGTAGGTCTCAGCCTCATTTTACCCAGCTCCTATTCAAGATGGAGTTGCTCTGGTTCACATACCTCTGAGAGAGACATCAAGATGAAGGAATGATAGCCCAAAGAGAAGCCAGGATCTGGACCGTGGTCTAAACAAAGGACAGTATTCTTGAGATATATTTAATACAGAGATCCAGAAAAGCCAGGAACGCTGAGTCTGTGTAGCTAATCTGGAAGGCAATGTGAGTCACAGGCCCCAGCTGAGAATGTTCTTTTGAAATAATGACTGTGGACATTTTAGACACATTAGAAGTTTCATGCGCGTCTGTGTGAAGAGACCACCAAACAGGCTTTGTGTGAGCAATAAAGCTTTTAATCACCTGGGTGCAGGCGGGCTGAGTCCGAAAAGACAGTCAACGAAGGGAGATGGGGTGGGGCCGTTTTATAAGATTTGGGTAGGTAAAGGAAAGTTATAGTCAAAGGGGGGTTGTTCTCTGGCAGGCAGGAGTGGGGGTCACAAGTTGCTCAGCGGGAGAGGTTTTTGAGCCAGGATGAGCCAGGAGAAGGAATTTCACAAGGTAATGTCATCACTTAAGGCAAGGACCGACCATTTTCACTTATTTTGTGGTGGAATGGCATCAGTTAAAGCAGGAACAGGCCATTTAAATATCACTTCTTTTGTGATTCTTCAGTTACTTCAGGCCATCTGGATGTATACGTGCAGGTCACAGGGGATATGATGGCTTAGCTTGGGCTCAGAGGCCTGACAAGAAGTATATTCATTAGTACATGTGCCTTTCTTTCAAACTCAAACTGGCCAGTTTGGAAAGGCTGGGTGGAATTTTCTGTTTGAAAGCTGTTAACGAAAAAAGTCAAACTGTAAAATATTTAAAGAAGTTTATTCTGAGCCTTATAATTTAGTGACCTTGGCCCAGGACACAGCCTCAGGAGGTCCTGAGAACATGGGTTCAAAGTAGTTGGGTTACCATTTGGTTTTATACGTTTTACGGAGACAGGCAAAGACATACAGGCAAAGACATAAATCAACACATGTAAGGTATACATTGGTTGAGCCAGGAAAGGTGGGGCATCTCCAAGTCGGGGGTGGGATGCTTCCAGGTTATACATGGATGCAAAGATTTTCTGATTGGCAGTTGGTTGAAAAAGTTAAGCTTTGCCTGAAGAGTTGAAGTCAGCATAAAGAAATGCTTGAGTTAAGATAAGAGTGGTTGTGGAAGCCAAGGTTTTTGCTAAGTAGATGAAGCCTCTGAGTGGCAGGCTTCAGAGTAAATAGATGGTAAATGTCTCTTATCAGACCTTCAAAGGTGTCAGACTCTTAGTTAAATTTCTCCTGGATCAGGGAAAGACCTGGAAAAGGAAGGGGATTCTCTACAGAATGCAAATTTCCCCAAGGCAAGGCTTTGCAGGGCCATTCCAAAATATGCCAAATAAACATATTTTAGGGTAAAATACTTGCATTTCCTTTAGACCCTGTTATCTGTCATGTGATGGTATACCAGAGTCAGGTTGGAATTTGGTATCTTACTGCTATAAAGAGTCTGTTTTGTCAGTCTTAAGAAATGTATTTTAATGTTAATGCTGGTCAGTGGCACCTAAACTCCAAAGCGAGGAAAGTATACTGAGGGTATCCTACCTGCCTTCCCATCTAGTGGCCTGAACTTGTTTTTCAGGTTGTCTTGGGGAATCCCCTTGGCCAAGGGGGTGAGGGTCCATTCAGTTGATTGAGGGTCTTATAATTTTATTTTTAGTTTACAGAGTAAAAAACACAAAAGGTCAAAGTGGTGAATTTTAAATCCATAATCTTTTAAAAATGACTGCATCTCTATGCTCACTAGATTTTCCTAAAAGAGATTTCAAGGTGTAAATTGGCCAACTAGTCTTCTCTCGGAACTAAATCTTTTCAGGGTTACACGGAATATTTGCCCTTAAGAACATTTTGGGTTCTTTGTCAGTTGTCAGAAAGTCCTTCATTCAAGGTTTTTGGGCCGGGTGCAGTGGCTCACGCCTGTAATCTCAGCACTTTGGAAGGCCAAGGCAGGAGGATGGCCTGAGGCCAGGAGTTTGAGAGCAGCCTGGGCAACATAGTGAGACCTCATCTCTATTAAAAATAAAAATAATAATAAGATTTTCTGTATACCTTTTCCCAGTTATAATATATAGCCACAGTTATCAAAACCCAGTAACTGACTTTGGTACAACTATACTGTTAACTCCAGGAGAGACTTTATTCAGATTTCATCAGTTTGTATATGTATTTGTGTGTGTGTGTATGTGTGTGTGTGTGTGTGTGTGTGTGTGTGTAGTACTGTAGAGTTTTATCACATGTACATTTTCATGTAGCTACCACCACAATCAGAATACAGAATTGTTCCCTCGCCATAAAGAAACTTCCTTGTTACCTCACAGTCACATCTACCCCAACTCCTAACTCCTGGCTACCACTGATCTATTCTCAAGTACTATAATTTGTTATTTCAAGAATGTTCAATATGTATGATTTCAAGAATCATACGATACGTAGCTCTTTGAGATTGGTTCTTGTCATCAACTGACATGCCCTCAAGATCCATTCAAATTATGTATCAATTTTTTCCTTTTTTTTTTTTTTAATGAGACAGAGTTTCGCTCTGTTGCCCAGGCTGGAGTGCAATGGCATCATCTTGGCTCACTGCAATCTCCACCTCCCAAGTTCAAGCGATTCTCCCGCCTCGGCCTCCCAAGTAGCTGGGACTATAGCCACGTGCCACCACGCTCACCTAATTTCTGTATTTTTAGTAGAGACGGGGTTTCACCATGTTGGCCAGGCTGGTCTCGAACTCCTGACCTCAAGTGATCCACCTGCCTCAGCCTTCCAAAGTGCTGGAATTACGGGCGTGAGCTACTGTGCCTGGCCAAATTTTGTTTTTGTTTTTGTTTTATTGCTAAATTGTTGTATGGCTGCATTAATTTACCCTCTCACCCATTGAAGGACATTTGGGCTATATCCAGTTTTAGCTATTACCAATAACGCTGTTATCAACATTGGTTGTAGGAAAACAGCCTGCTGCATGGCAAGATTACACCATTTTGAAGCGAAACTGCTGTGATGACTGATGTCTGCATACCAACTCGTTCCCATTCCCACAACAAGGTCAAGAAACAATGCCCGTAGCATCCAACTCCTCATAGAGAAACAATGCCTGTACATAGATAACCCCTCATAAAGATACTTATCTAACTTCCCCAGTGGTCCCTAGTTGTTTCATAAGAGGGTCTGAGACATGACCAGCTGCACATGTTTTACCAAAAACAGCTTGCTAATTAAAGAATATTTTCCAGAAAGAAGGTTGGTTGTGGGCATCCACCATCACTTGGCTGCCAGAGATGCCACTTCTGTTTGTAAGTCCCTACTAAATGTTTCCTTCTGAGAAACTGGATTTTTCACCCTTTGTCTTCAGCCTCTCACCTCCCTTTGTCTTTGGGGGTTTACGTAGACCTGCTTACCACAGAACATTGACTTATAGGTTTAGGGGTGAGCATCAGCTTTCATTTCTGCAGGAAATCGTAGATTGTATGATTGTATGGTAATTGTATGATTGTAATGGTATGTGTATGTTTAAATTTTCAGAATATGCCAAACTCTTTTTCCAGAGTGGCTGTGTCATTTATGTTATGTCCCCAGTGCATGAGACATCTGGATCCTTTCCAGCACTTGGTAATATTATTAGTATTATTATTGGAGAGAGGGTTTTACTATGTCACCCAGGCTGGAGTGCAGTGGCACAATCACAGATCCTTGCAGCCTTGCTGTCTGGGCTTAAGCGATCCTCCCACCTCAGCTTCCCAAATAGCTGAGACCACAGGTGTGCGCCAGCACACCTGGTGAATTTTATTTTATTTTTGTAGAGACAGGGGTCTTGTCATGTTGCTTGGACTGGTCTCGAACTCCTGTCCTCAAATGATCCTTGCACCTTGGCCTCCCAAAGTGCTGGGATTATAGACATGAGCCATTACCACTGTGCCCAGCCCGATCATCTTTCCATGTGCTGACTTGCCATCCATCTTTGGTGACAGGTCATCCTCTGTGGTGAAAGTGTGTGTTTACATCTTTTGACCATATTCTAATTAGATTGTGTTTTAAAATTGTGATAAAATGTGCATAACATAAAATTTACCGTTTTTAGTTGTGCAGTTCTGTGGCACTAAGCACATTCACACTGTTTAGCCACACCACCATCCATCTCCAGAACTGTTTTATCTTCCCCAGCTAAAAGTCTACCAATAAACAATAACTTCATTCTCCCCTCCCGCCACTGTTGGGAAAAAGCTGAGTGTAGGGAGGGAAACTGAGGCAGGGCTTGCATAGTGTCCTTTGGAATGTGTCTAGACTTGCTGGCTGCTTGCTTCTAGCCCTCCTAGGCTCCTGTTCCCATTATCTCAAGTAGCAGGACATGTTCCATATAAATGCTAAACCATCACAGCTGTAAATCATGTGCTTAATGGAACATGTGGAGGTGTTGACCTCCACAGTCTCAACACCTGTTTCTTTGTTGGATTACCAATAAATACCGTGGGCTCTCAGAGCTCGGGGCCTTCGCAGCCTCCATACATAGTGATGGCCCCCTGGTGTCCCACCTTTTTCTCTCACTGTCTTTTTCTCAATCCTTTGACTCTGCTGGACTTTGTCACCCCCACGACCTGGTGTTGGGTCTGATCACCCCAACACTCCACCCCTTGGCAGTCGACATTCTGCTGTCTCTATGAATTTGACTAAGTACCTCATATAAGTGGCATCGTCCAATATTTGTCTTTTTTGTGTCTGGCTTATTTCACTTGGCATGTCAAGGTTCACCCATGTTGTAGCACATGTTAGAATTTCATTTCTTTCTAAGGCTGTATAGTATTCCACTGTATGCCTACACCACATTTTGCTGATCCATTTGCCTGTTGATGGATACTTGGGTTGCCCCCACCTTTTGGATTTGTGAATAATGCTGCTATAAATATTGGTGTACAAATATCTGTCTGAATGCCTGCTTTTACTTCTTTTGGGTATACAAGCATACCTTGGAGATATTGCAGGTATGGTTCCACATCACCACAATAACACAAATATTGCAATAAAGCAAGTCACACAAATTGTTTTGTTTCCCAGCACATATAAAAGTTATGTTTACACTATATTGTAGTCTATTAATGTGCAATAGGATTATGTCTAAAAATGTGCATACCTTAATTTAAAAATACTTTATTACTAAAAAATGTTAACCTCATCTGAGCCTCAGTGAGTTATAATCATTTTGCTGGCCCAGGGCCTGGCCTTGATGTTGATGGCTACTGACAGATCAGGGTGATGGTTGCTGAAGGTTGGAGTGGTTGTGACAATTTCTTAAAATAAGACAACAGTGAAGTTTGCCATGTCAATTGACTCTTTTCACAAAGGTTTCTCTGTAGCACATGATGCCATTTGATAGCATTTTACCCCCAACAGAACTTCTTTCAAAATTGGTTAGTCTCCTCCAATCTGTCACTGCTTTATCAACTAAGACTATGAAATATTCTAAATCCTTTGTTGTCGTTTCTTTTTTAAAATTAATTTTATTTTTTCAAAACGTTTTTAGTAGAGATGACATCTTACTATGTTGCCCAGGCTTGTCTCAAACTCCTGGGCTCAAGTGATCCACCTGCCTTGGCCTCCCAAAGTGCTGGGATTATAGATGAGCCATTGTGCCCAGCCCTTTGTGGTCATTTCAAAAATGTTCACAATCATCTACATCAGGAGTAGATTCCATCTCAAGAAACCACTTTCTTAATAAGCAACTTCTCATCAATTCAAGTTTGATCATGAAATTGTAGGAATTCAGTCACATCTTCAGGGTCCACTTCCAATTCTAATTCTCTTGCTATTTCCACATCTGCAGTTCCTTCCTCCACCGAAGTCTTGGACCCCTCAAAGCCATCCGTGTAGGTGAGAATCAACTTCTTCCAAATTTCTTTTTTTTTTCTAATTTTTAAAATTATTTTTATTTTATTTATTTATTTTTGTTTTTATTTTTTTTGAGACAGAGTCTTGCACTTTCACCCAGGCTGGAGTGCAGTGGCGCGATCTCGGCTCACTGCAAGCTCTACCTCCTGGGTTCACGCCATTCTCCTGCCTCAGCCTCCCGAGTAGCTGGGACCACAGGCGCCTGCCACCACGCCCGGCCAAACTTCTTCCAAACTTCTGTTCATGTTAATATTTTGACCTCCTCCCAGGAATCACAAAGGTTCTGAATGGCATCTAGACTAGTGAATTCTTTCTGAAAGGTTTTCAATTTACAAGATCCATCAGAGGAATCACTATAGCCTTATGAAGTGCATTTCTTCTTCTTTTTTTTTTTTTTTTTGAGTCTCATTCTGTCACCCTGGCTGGAGTGCAGTGGCACGATCACAGCTCACTGCAGTCTCAACCTCCTGGGCTCAAGCAGTCCTCCAGCCTGAGCTTCCTCAGGTGTATGCCACCTCAGGACCACAGGCATGCACCACAACACCTGGCTAATTTTTAAATGTTTTGTAGAGACAGGGTCTCGCCATGCTGCCCAGGCTGGTCTCAAACTCCTGGGCCCAAGCCATCCTCCTGCCTCGGCCTTCCAAAGTGTTGGGATTATAGGCGTGAGCCACCTCACCCGGCATGAAGTGTATTTCTTAAATAACAAAACTTGAAAGTTGAAATTATTTCTTGAATGGCTGCAGAATGGCTGTTGCGTTAGCAGGCATGAAAACAACATGTTAATCTTTTTGTACGTCTTACAGATCTCCTTGGGTGATCATGTGCACTGTCGATAAGCACTAATCTTTTGAAAGGGATCTTTTTTCTGAGCAGTAGTTCTCAACAGTAGGCTTAAGATATTCAGTAAACCATGCTGTAAATGGATGTGCTGTCATCCAGGCTTTGTTTGTCCGTTTATTAAAGCACAGGCAGAGTGGAAATTTTTTAAAGGGTTCTAGGATTTTAGGAATGGTAAATGAGCATTGGCTTCAACTGAAAGTCACCAGCAGCATTAGCCCCTAACAAAGGAGTCAGCCTGGGCTGGACATGGTGGCTCATGCCTATAATCCCAGCACTTTGGCAGGCTGAGGCAGGAAGATTGCTTGAGCCCAGATGAGACCAGCCTGGGCAATGTAGGGAGACTCTGATTCTACGAAAAACTTTTTTTTTTTTTGAGATGGAATCTCCCTCTGTCACCCAGGTTGGAGTGCAGTGGCATGATCTCGGCTTACTGCATGTTCTACCTCCCAGGTTCCAGTGATTCTCGTGCCTCAGCCTCCCAAGTAGCTGGGACTACAGGTGCCCGCCATCACGCCCGGCTAATTTTTTGTATTTTTAGTAGAGACGGGGTTTCACCGTGTTAGCCAGGATGGTCTCGATCTCCTGACCTCGTGATCTGCCCGTCTTGGCCTCCCAAAGTGCTGAGATTACAGGTGTGAGCCATCACGCCCAGTCCAAAAAATTTTTAAAAAGATAGCTGGGCATGGTGGCATGCACCTGTGGTCCCAGCTACTTGGGAAGCTGAGGCAAGAGGATCACACTTAAGCCCAGGAGGTCAAGGCTGCAGTGAGCCATGACTGCCACTGCACTCCGGCCTGGGCAACTGAGTGAGACCCTGTCTCAAAAAAACAAAAACAAAAACAAAAACAAAAAAAAGTCGGCCTGTCCTTTGAAGCTTTGAAACCAAGCATTGATTTCTCCTCTCTAGCTATGATAGTCCTAGATGGCATCTTTTTCCCAACAGAAGCCTGTTTCATCTACATGGGAAATCTGTTGTTTAGTGTAGCCACTTTCGTCAAGGATCTTAACTAGATCTTCTGGAGAACTTGCTGCAGCTTCTGTATTAGCACTTGCTACTTCACCTTGCCCTTTTATGTTATGAAGACAGCTTTTTCCCTTAAACCTCATGAACCAACCTCTGCTGGCTTTCAACTTTTCTTCTGCAGCTTCCTCACTCTCTGAACCTTTATGGAATTTAAGAATTGCTCCGGATTAGGCTTTGGCTTAAGGGAATATTGTGGCTGGTTTGATCTATCCAGACCACGCAAACTTTCACCACATTAGCAAAAGGCTGTTTTTGCTTTCTTGTCATTTGTGTGTTCACTGGAGTAGCACTTTTAATTTCCTTCAAGAGCTTTTTCTATCATTCATAACTTGGCTGTTTGATGCAAGGGACCTATCTTTCACCCTATCTTGGCTTTTGACATGCTTTCCTTACTAAACTTAATTATTTCTAAGTTTTGATTTAAAATGAGAAATGTGTGACTCTTCCTTTCACTTGAACACTTTTGAGACTATTTTAGGGTTATTATTTGGCCTAATTTTTTTTTCTTTCTTTCTTTCTTTTTTTTTTTTGGGGGGAGACAGGATCTTGCTTTGTTGCCCAGGCTGGAGTGTAGTAGCACAATCATGGCTCACTGTGGCCTTGGCCTCCCGGGCTCACACAATCCTCCCACCTCATCCTCCCAGAGTGCTGGGATTACAGGTGTGAGCCACTGCACCCTGCCTGATTTCAATATTGTTGTGTCTCAAGGAATAGAAAGGCCCGAGGAAAGAGAGAGAGAGATGGGGTGGACTGGTTGGGGTAACTGGTCGGTGGAAGAGTCAGAACATACACAATAAAAGCTTTCAATTTCTCCACATCCTCAACAACACTTATTTTCTGTTTTGTTGCTTTGTGTGTTTTAAATTTTTTAAAAATTAATTATTTATTTTTTGAGATGGAGTCTCACTGTGTTGCCCAGGCTGGAGAGCAATGGTGTGATCTTGGCTCACTGCAGCCTCTGCCTCCCGGGTTCAAGCAATTCTCATGCCTCAGCACCCCCTCCCCCAAATAGCTGGGACCACAGACATGCGCCACCATGCCCGGCTAATTTTTGTATTTTTAGTAGAGATGGGGTTTTGCTATGTTGGCCAGGTTGGTCTCAAACTCCTGGTCTCAAGTGATCTGCCTGCCTTGACCTCCCAAAGTGCTGGGATTACAGGCATGAGCCACCGTGCCGGGCCATGTATATGTTTGTTTTAGATAATAGCCATCTTAGTGTGTTTGCAGTGATATCTCATTGTAATTTTGATTTTAGTTTCCCTAATGATTAGTGATATTGAGTATTTTTTCATGTGCGTATCGGCCATTTGCATATCTTCCTTGGAGAAATGTCTATTCAAGTCCTTTGTCCATTTTTAAATAGTTTTTTTTTCTGCTGTGAATTGTAGACGTTCTCTCTCTATATATTCTAGATATTAATCATTTATCAGATATAATTATTTTCTCTTATTCCTTGGGTCGCATTTTTACTCTGTTGATAGTGTCCTTTGTTGCACAAATTTTAAAATTTTGGTAAAGTCCAATTTAACTATTTTTTTGTTTTATTGTCTGTGCTTTTGGGGTCATACGTGAGAAATTTTTAAGTTAGATGTCATGGAGCTGCTCCCGTATGTTTTCTTCCCAAGGTTTTACAATATTAGCTCTTATATTTAGGTCTATGATACATTTTGAGTTGATTTTTGTATTTAGTTGGCCCTTGAACTTGAATAATTAGGGGCATTGATCCTCCTTGCAGTCAAAAATCCATGTGTCGGCCGGGCGCAGTGGCTCACACCTGTAATCCCAGCACTTTGGGAGGCTGAGGAGGGTGGATCATGAGGTCAGGAGATCGAGACCATCCTGGCTAACAAAGTGAAACCCAGTCTCTACTAAAAATACAAAAAATTAGCCAGGTGTGGTGGCTGTCAGGCCTCTGAGCCCAAGCTAAGCCATCATATCCTCTGTGACCTGCATGTATACATCCAGATGGCCTGAAGCAACTGAAAATCCACAAAAGAAGTGAAAATAGCCTTAACTGATGACATTCCACCATTGTGATTTGTTTCTCCCCCACCCTTAAGAAGGTTCTTTGTAATTTCCCCCCTACCCTTAAGAATGTACTTTGTGAGATCCACCCCCTGCCCACAAAACATTGCTCCTAACTCCACCGCCTATCCCAAAACCTATTAGAACTAATGATAATCCCACCACCCTTTGCTAACTGTCTTTTCAGACTCAGCCCGTCTGCACCCAGGTGAAATAAATAGCCTTGTTGCTCACACAACGCCTGTTTGGTGGTCTCTTCACACAGATGCGTGAGACAGTGGCGGGTGCCTGTAGTCCCAGCTACCTGGGAGGCTGAGGCAGGAGAATGGCGTGAACCTGGGAGGCGGAGCTTGCAGTGAGCCGAGATTGCGCCAACGCACTCCAGCCTGGGTGACAGAGTGAGACTCTGTCTCAAAAAAAAAAAAAAAATCTATGTGTCATTTTTGACTCCCCCAAAGTTTAACTACAAACAGCTTACTGTTGACTAGAAATTTTACAGTAACACAGTCAATTAACACATTTTGTTTATCTATTATATACTGCCTTTTTTTTTTTTTTTTTTTGCGATGGAGTCTCACTCTGTCACTCAGGCTGGAGTGCAGTGGCACAATCTGGGCTCACTGCAAACTCTGCCTCCCAGGTTCAAGCGATTCTCCTGCCTCAGCCTTCCAAGTAGCTGGGATTACAGGCATGCGCCATCACGCCTGGCTAATTTTTGTATTTTTAGTAGAGACAGTGTTTCCCCATGTTGGCCAGGCTGGTCTTGAACTCCCAACCTCAGGTGAGCCACCCGCCTCGGCCTCCCAAAGTGCTGGGATTACAGGTGTGAGTCACTGCACCTGCCCTATATTCTTAATAGAGTAAATTAGAGTAAAGAAAATGCTATTTAAAAAATTGTAAGGAAGAGAAAATACATTCACTGTTCATTAAGTGGAAATGGGTCATCACAAAGGTCTTCATCCTCTTCACTTCCTGTTGAGTAGGCTGAGGAGGAGGAAGAGGAAGGGTTGATTTTGCTGTCTCAGGAGTGGCAGAGGCAGAAGAGGTGGAGGAGGTGGAAGGGGAGGCAGGAGAAGTGGGCACACTCAGTGAAACTACAGAAATGCAATGTAATTTATTTCTAACTTTTTTATTCATTCCTCTAAAAATATTTCTATATGATAGCAATCCCTTTTCTACCATTTGCTATAGTTTTAGTGCCCATATCATGGAAGGGTCCATGTAAAAGAAGTAAAAAGCAGGCATGAATAATAAGAACCCTTCTGTCAGACTGTCTAATGTTAATTTTTTTTCTAGTAACGATTCTTTTATGTCTTCTTCCTCATGGTCTGGCACTGGTTCAGAAGCACTCATCTCCATCAAGTCATCTTCTATTAATTCCTCTGGTATGGCTTCTATTAGCACTTTAATTTCCCCAAGATCCATATCTTGAAACCCTCTACCCCACACCCTCCCACATTTTTTGTTTTGGGCTTGATGGCTTTCACAGCTTTTAATTTTTATTCAGTTAACTTATTTATTTATTTATTTAGGCTTTAACAGCTTTTCCATAACAATGATGGCATGTTCAATGGTGTGATCCTTCCTGACTTTCATGATAGTCTCTCTATCTGGGTTTTCTTCCATAGCACTGACAATCCTTTCCATAGACTGTTGTGTGTAATGAGCCTTGCAGGTCCTTATGACCCCCTGATCTAGAGGCTATATTAGAGACCTCATGTTTGGGGACAAGTAGACAACTTCAACGCCTTCAGTGTTGAACTCATGGGGTTCTGGGTGGCCAGGGGCATTGTCCAATATTAAGAGAACTTTAAAAGGCAATTCCTTACTATCAAGTTACTTCCTGAGTTCAGGGACAAAGCATCAATGAGACCAGTCCAGAAAAAGGGTTCTCATTGTCCATGCCTTATTGTTGTACAAACAAAAGATGAGCAGCTGGTGTTTATTCTTTCTGTTCAAGGCTCAGAGGTTAGCAGCTTTACAGATAAGGGCAGTCATGGTCATAAACCTGACTGCATTTGCACAAAGCAGTAGAGTAGAGCTCATCCCTTCCTACCTTAATTCCTGGTGCTCCCTTCTCTTCCTTACTAATAAATGTTCTTTGTGGCATTTTATTTTCCAGAACAGGGCACTTTCATCTGCATAAAAACCTGCTCAGGCAGATATCCTTTCTCATCAGTTCTTTTTTTTTTTTTTTTTTTTTTTTTTTTTGAGATGGAGTCTTGCTGTTACCGAGGCTGGAGTGCAGTGGTGCCATGTCGGCTCACTGCAACCTCTGCCTCCCAGGTTCAAACAATTCTCATGCCTCAGCCTCCCAAGTAGCTGGGATAACAGGCATCTGCCACCACGTTTGGCTAATTTCTTGTGTTTTTAGTAGAGACAGGGTTTCACTGTGTTGGCCAGGCTGGTCTTGAACTCCTGACCTCAGGTGATCTGTCCACCTCTGCCTCCCAAAGTGCTGGGATTACAAGCATAAGCCACCACACCCAGCCTCAGTGGGTTTCTTAATGGCATCTGGGAGCTTATCTGCTGCATCTTGGTCAGCAGAAGCTGCTTCTCCTGTTATCTTGACTTCCTTTTTTTCTTCTTTGGAGATAGGATCTCACTCCGTTGCCCAGGCTGGAATGCAGTGGTACGATCACAGCTCACTGCAGCCTCTTAACTCCTCAAACAATCCTCCCACCTTGGCCTCCCAAAGTGTTCAGATAACAGGTGTGAGCTACCATGACTGGCCTTATCCTTTTTGATGTTATTGTAAATCGAATTGTTTTCTTAATGTTCATTTTAGATTGTCTATTATCAATGTATAGAAATACAACTGGTTTTTGTGTGTTGATTTCGTATCCTGCAACTTTGCTAAATTTGTTCATTTGTTCTAACAGAATCACTTCTTGGCCTTTTGGCCAAGATCAAATGTAGTTCTAATAGGTGTGTGTGTGTGTGTGTGTGTGTGTGTGTGTGTGTGTGTGTGTGTAATCTTTAGGGTTTTCTACATATAAGATCTTGTCATGTGAGGAAAAAGGCAATTTACTCCTTCATTTCCAATTTAGATGCGTTTTATTTCTTTTTCTTGCCCAATTGCTTTGGCTAGGACTTCCAATACTGTAGCCTCTGCCTTTTGGGCTTAAGCAATCCTCCTACCTCAGCCTTCCAAGTAGCTGGGACCAGGCACATGCCACCATGTCTGGCTAATTTTTGTATATTTTGTGGAGATGGGGTTTTGCCATGTTGCCCCGGCTGGTCTCAAACTCCTGAACTCAAGCAATCTGCCCACCTCAGCCTCCCAAAATGCTGAGATTACATACATGAGCCACTGCACCCAGCCTAACTTTTAAGGAATTATCAAACTGTTTTTGGAGTGGCTACACTATTTTGTATTCTCCCCAGTTGCTCCACAACTGGAACTCTCATCAGTATTTGGTATTATCATTTGTTTGTTTTTGGTTTTTGCCTCTCTAGTAGGTGTGTAGTGATATCTCATGGTAGTTTTGAGTTGTGCTTCGCTAATGGCTAATGATATTGAGCATCTCTTACTGTGCTTATTGGCCGTTTGTATATCATCTTTGGAGAAATATCTGTTCAAATCTTTTGCCCATTTTTAAATCAGTCATTTGTTTTCTTACAGCTTCCTACAATTGATATCTATCTACCTATTCTGAATACAAGCTCTATGTTGAATATGTGATTTGCAAATATTTTCTCCCAGTGTGAGATGTCTTTTCATTCTCTTAACAGTGCCTTTTGCAAAGAAAAAAGTTTAAATTGTGATGAAACTGAATTTATCACTTTTTTTTTATGGATCATGTATTGGTGTCATATCTACAAACTCCTTGCTTACTGTCAGGTTGCAAAGTTTTCTTTTATTTTTTTTCTAAAGTTTTATAGTTTTACATTTAGATCTATGGTCCACTTTGAGTTAATTTTTGTTTAAGGTGTGAGGTTTAGATCCGAGTTTTTTTGGCATCTGGTTGTTCAGTTGTTTCAACATCATTTGGTGAAAAGACTATCTTTTCTTCATTGAATTGCCTTTGGGCCCTCGTCAAAATCAATTGGCCATTTTGAGTGGATCTATTTTTGGACTCTGTATTCTGATCCATTGATCTTGTGTTTATCCCTTCTTCAATATTATTCAGTGTTGATTACTGTAGTTAAATAGTAATTTTGATAATTAGAGTGAGTCTTCCAACCTTGCTTTTTTTTTGAGACAGAGTCTCACTCTGTCACCCAGGCTGGAGTACAGTGGCGTGATCTCAGCTCACTACAATCTCTGCCTCCCAGGTTCAAGTGCCTCAGCCACCCAAGTGGCTGGGATTACAGGTGTGTGCCACGAGGCCTAGCTAATTTTTATATTTTTAGTACAGATGGGGTTTCACCATGTTGGCCAGGCTGGTCTTGAACTCTTGGCCTCAAGTGATCTGACTGCCTTGGCCTCGGGGATTACAGGTGTCGGCCACCACACCTGGTCTGCTCTTCTTTTTCAAAATTGTTTTAGAATCAGCTTATCTGCATCTACAAAAAAAATCTTGATAGAATATCTATTAGAATAGTGTTAAATCTGTAGAACATTTTGGGGAAATTGTCATCCTAACTATACTGAATGAATGTTACCATTCACAAGTGTAGTCTTTTCTTCATTTGCTTAGGTGTTCTTTGATTTCTTTCATCAGTGTTTTATAGTTTTCAGTATATCGATTCTGCACATTTTATTAGATTTCTGCCTAAGTATTTTGTTTAAGGTTTTGTCAATACTGTTTTAAAAAAATTTCAATTGAATTCAGATCAGAATCCAGTCAGTTACTGCTACTATTTTGAAACACAATTGATTTTCACGTGTTGATATTATGTCCTACAGTCTTGATGAACTCATTTATTATTTTTAGGAGCTTTTCTATACATTCCATGGAATTGTCAGCATAGACAATAAAGTTGTCTGTGAAAAACACAATTTCTGTCCTTCTAAAATGCATGTCTTTTGTTTGTTTTTCTTGTCTTATTGCTGGTCTTCTAGTACAATATTAAATAGGAGTGGTGAGAATGAATAACCTTGTCTTGTTCCTGATCTCAGAGGGAAAGTGTTCAATCTTTCAACATTAAGTATGATGCTTGTTTTTGTTTTTTTTGCAGATGCCCTTATTCAGGCTAAGGAAGCTCTCTTCTGTTCCTAGTTTGCTGAGTCCTTTTACCAGAATGACCACTGAATTTTGTGAGATGCTTTGTCTACATCAGTTTATTTGATTGATTTTTTTCTTTAGATTTTTTTCTTCTTTAGTTTTTTTTTTTTTTTTTGAGACAGAGTCTTGCTTTGTGGCCCAGGCTGGAGTGCAGGGGTGCAATCTCGGCTCACTGCAACCTCTGCCTCCCAGGTTCAAGCAATTCTCCTGCCTCAGCCTCCCAAGCAGCTGGGACTACAGGCACCTGCCACTATGCCCAGCTAATTTTTGTATTATTAGTAGAGGTGGGGTTTGACCATATTGGCCAGGCTGGTCTCAAACTCCTGACTTTGTGATCCGCCCACCTCAGCCTCTCAAAGTGCTGGGATTACAGGCATGAGCCACCGTGCCTGGCCTCTTTAACATGGTGGATTACATTAATTGATTTTCAAATATTGAACCATCCTTGAATTCTTGGTATAAACCTTGCTTGCTCATGGTAAGATATGCACACATGCATGTATATTGGTGGATTTAATTTGCTAATATTTTGTTGAGATTCATGTCTATGTTCATGAAAGATCTTCGGTTTGGTTTTTTTTTTTTTTTTTTGAGATAGAGTTTCACTCTTGTTGCCCAGGCTGGAGTGCAATGGCAAGATCTGGGCTCACCGCAACCTCCTCCTCCTGGGTTCTAGCGATTCTCCTGCCTCAGCCTCCCGAGTAGCTGGGATTACAGGCATGTGCCACCACACCCAGCTAATTTTTATATTTTTAGTAGAGACAGGGTTTCACCATGTTGGTCAGGCTGGTCTTGAACTCCCAACCTTAGATGATTCGCCCGCCTCGGCCTCCCAAAGTGCTGGGATTACAGGTGTGAGCCACCACGCCCGGCCAAAAGATCTTTGGTTTGTAATTTTATTGTCTTGTCTGATTTTGATATCAAAGTAATGTTGGCCTCACAAAATGAACTGGGAAGTGTTCTCTCCTCTTTTGTTTTCTGGATGAGATTGTGTAGAATTGGTGTTATTTCTTCTTTAAATGTTTGTTAGAATTTGTGAGTGAAACTACCTGGAGATGTCTTTTTCAGGGGCTTTTAGCTACAAATTCAAGTTCTTTACCAGATAGAGAACTATTCAGGGTATCTATTTGTTCTTGGGAAAATTGAGGTCATTTGTATCTGTCAAGGAATTGGTCCACTTCTTCTAAGTTACCAAGTTTTTATGCCTTGGTTTGTCATAATATTCACTTATGAGCCTTTTAAAGTGTCGAGGAAGGAATCTGTAGTGATATTTCTTCTTTCATTCCTGAATTTAGTAGTTTCTGTCCTTTCTATTTCATTGTCAGTCTGGCTAAATAATGTTGATTTTTTTTTTTTTTTTTTTTGAGATGGAGTCTTGCTCTGTCGCCCAGGCTGGAGTGCAGTGGCGCAATCTCGGCTCACTGCAAGCTCCACTTTCTGGGTTCACACCATTCTCCTGCCCCAGCCTCCCGAGTAGCTGGGACTACAGGCATGTGCCACCATGCCCAGCTAATTTTTTGTATTTTTAGTAGAGACGGGTTTTCACCATATTAGCCAGGATGGTCTCGATCTCCTGACCTAATGATCTGCCCATCTCGGCCTCTCAAAGTTCTGGGATTACAGGTGTGAGCCACCGTGCCTGGCAGATATTTTTTATTTTAGCAGGTAACCTAGAAGGTGAAATTCAGGTCAGAAATTTCAACTGGCTTTGTGTGAGCTGTGATTCCAAGTAAAGCTTTGAAAGTATTTGCAGGGCTATTCAGATCAGTCCCACCTGTGTGCCCCCAAGTCTGGCCAAACTATAATTGGCTTCTACTAAATTGAGGTCATTCAGTGACCTGGGCGGAGAGCTGCCTGCAACAGAGTTCACAAAGCCTGTGGTATTCTGTTTGGGGTGAGATCCATACTTGCAAGCACGGGGTGAACCCCATGAGTTCATACACAACTATTTGGGATGTCTCTCTTGATCTCCCCCAATTCTGTGATCTTCCCAATACTTTCTGATCACATTGGCTGCAACTACAGATCCTTTCAGAAGGCATGGAGCAGCTAAGGACTCTGAAAAGCAAATTGTAGCCAGTGGATTGGGGAAAGAGATGAGAATTCAAAGCTCCGCCTGGGCACGGTGGCTCACGCCTGTAATCCCAGCACTTTGGGAGGCTGAGGCAGGTGGATCACTTGAGGTGAGGAGTTCAAGAACAGCCTGGCCAACATGGTGAAACCCCCGTCTCTACTAAAAATACAAAAATTAGCTGGGTTAGCTGGGCGTGGTGGCACACCCACAGTAATCCCAGCTACTCGGGAGGCTGAGCCAGGAGAATTGCTTAAACTGAGGAGGCAGAGGCTGCCTCTGAGACTGCGTCACTGCACTCCATAGCGAAATTCCGTCTCCAAAAAAAAAAAGTTCCATCAAAATGGTGGAAAGTTTACATATTTTTTTCCCCTGCAGTATTGCCCAGCCTGGACTCAAAGACAGCTGCCGGAAACTCAGAAGCCTGTAGTAGGTCCAGACGGGAAGCGTTCCAAGAGAAGCCTTCTCTTTTTCATCTGGGGAGTGTGTGTGTGTGTGTGTGTGTGTGTGTGTGTGTGTGTGTGTGTGTGTGCGCGCGCGCGCGCGCCCCCGCGTCTGCTAGGGAGCGGCAGAGAGAATCCCATTTTGGTTTTTGCTTTCTTTTTCTATTTTCCTCTGCCCCTGCCAGGAGGCAATACCTTGGAGTTGGTGGCAGCAGCGAGTGGGCAGGCACTTAACATTATGGAGGGATATTTGTCACTAACCAGAGGAGCTGTGGTCCAAGAGTGCGTGCGCGGGGGAGTGGGTAATCCCCGTTGCCTTTTTCTGTGTTCTCTATTGTTCCAGATTCAGTTCCGTGGGGAAAGTGTGCACCAGGACAGGGAGACTAAAGCTCCACTGTGGCCTGAATTTTGCCCCCTCCCCACACAGCCAAATTTATATATTTAAATGGAAACAAATTCAATTGGGCTGCTATCACCACATTCATATGGTAATAGATAGAGGATGTGTTTACCTTCTCTGGAGTCAGACCCTAGACTTTGGCTTGAATATTAGCCTTGAAAACACACTTATGCTCTGTGCTTTGTATTTTCATTACAAATACATCTTGGAGGACTTTACTTCAGTACCAGTATGTTTCACTCATTCATCTTCACAGCTTTATAGTATTCCAGAGTGTGGCTGTATTATAACTCATTTAACTTATGTCCTATTTTTTTTTTCGAGACAGAGTCTCGCTCTGTCCCCCTGGCTGGAGTGCAGTGGCGTGATCTCGGCTCACTGCAACTTCCCCCTCCCGGGTGCAAGCAATTCTCCCTGCCTCAGCCTCCCCAGAAGCTGAGATTACAGGCACCCACCACCACACCCAGCTAATTTTGTTTGTTTGTTTTTGTATTTTTAGTAGAGACGGGGTTTCACCATGTTAGCCAGGATGGTCTCAATCTCCTGACCCGGTGATCCACCCTCCTCGGCCTCCCAAAGTGCTGGGATTACAGGCGTGGGCTACCACACCCGGCCTAAGTTTTGTATTTTTTAGTAGAGATGGGGCTTTGCCATGTTGGCCAGGCTGGTCTTGAACTCCTCACCTCATGTGATCCACCCACCTCAGCCTCCGAAAGTGCTGAGATTACAGGCGTGAGCCACCATGCCCTGCCCTGATGTCCTATTAATCATCATTCTGGTTGCTTCTAGCCTTTACTAATACAAACGTGGTGCAATAAGATGACTTGTCCATATGTTTTCATATGCATATAAATATCTGTGAATAATTTCTAGAGGAAGAATATCAAGGTCAAAGTAACTACTGCATATGCATTTTAAATTGTGTTCAATATTGTCACATTGCCTTGCAAATTTGCCCTCCCATAAGCAATACCTGAAAGTGCCTATTTCTCCACGCCCTTGCCAATATACTTCATGTGCACATGTTCCCACTTTGAGTCACCTCCATTACATTTCCACTGGCAGAACAGGCATCCCACTTCTACCACTCATTAGCTGTGTGACTTTGAGCTTATTGCTTGTGACTATTATGGGAATAATAGTAGTGCTCATCTCATAGGGCTGTGATGAGGGCTCAGTGAGTTAATGTTTGTAAAGCTGCTCACTCGGTGTCTGCCACATAGTAAGTGCTGTATAAATGTTAATTGATTAATTAATTTTAAAACATGAATTAAGGTCTCCCAAGAAGAACTCACCAAAAAAAGCAGAACTCAAGTCAGGGAAAAATGCCTGCTTTGTAGAGGGGTTGAGGTGATCAGGTTAAATTTGATAACATATTTTTAGTATTTTAAGCCAGGTGCAGTGGCTC
Organism: Homo sapiens; assembly: GCF_000001405.40. Taxonomy (NCBI): domain Eukaryota; kingdom Metazoa; phylum Chordata; class Mammalia; order Primates; family Hominidae; genus Homo; species Homo sapiens. The sequence continues at coordinate 58,459,973 of NC_000003.12, forward strand.
ATTCCTGTAATCCCAGCTACTTGGGAGGTAGAGGTGGGAGGATTATTTGAGTCCAGGAGTTTGAGACCAGCCTGGGCAACATAGTGAGACCCCATCTCTTAAAAAAAAAAAAAGTATTTTGCACAGTGCCTGGCACACAGTGAATGCTCAGCAAATGCTCTTATTTTTGTTAGGGTTTCCTTGGTTTTCTTTGTGGGCCCTTCCACAGCAAGTGGCTGTGAATTGTTACCGAAGGATGATGCATCTGGGGCTGCTGTGACCCTGCATGAGGGAACTCTTCTCCTCTAGGAACGGTCACACGTGGGCAGGGACAGGCCCCATGGAGCAGCCGTCTGGTGGTGGAGAAGGCACACATGGCTTATAGGGATTTGCTCTCCCTGGTGCCCAGTGTGGTAGCAACAGAACCAAGGCAATGGAAAAACAGGGCCTTTGAGGGGCAGAGGAGTTCCCTAGTTTTCTCTCCCCAAGGACTGGAGTAAGGTCTGGGCTTATGCGCAGTTGCCAGAAAGATCTGAGACCCCAGAGTCACATTGGATGTGGCTAACAGAGCAGGTGGTGACTCAACTGGTTTACCTTGAAAAATAAGAGATGGGACTTAGGGCCCTGGATGGGTGGAGGGTGAGTCTGGCCAAACATAATTCAGTACATGGTTAAAAACCAAGTCGTTAGAAATGTTAACTAGATCTGTAAACATATCTATATCTCATATGTACCATACTGTGTATGTTAGTATGTGTATATACATATAATATACTACAATGTTGTTATTTATACTAAGAAATATATTTTGGGCTGGGCGCGGTGGCTCATGCCTGTAATTCCAGTACTTTGGGAGGCCGAAGCGGGCGGATCACGAGGTCAGGAGATTGAGACCACAGTAAAACCCGGTCTCTACTAAAAATACAAAAAATTAGCTGGGCGTGGTGGCGGGCGCCTGTAGTCCCAGCTACTCGGGAGGCTGAGGCAGGAGAATGGTGTGAACCCGGGAGGTGGAGCTTGCAGTGAGCCGAGATCCCGCCACTGCACTCCAGCCTGGGCAACAGAGCAGGACTCCGTCTCAAAAAAAAAAAAAAAAAAAAGAAATATATTTTGGTCTTCGACCCAGTTCCTGGCACAGAGCTCTGAAAACCCTTGTAATTTCCTGAGCGATAGAGGTGCTAGGTGTATCTTTTGTTCTAATATTTGGTCTTTGACCCCAGTTCGTTCCACAGAGCTCCTAATCCCTTGGAATTTCCTGGGTGATAGGAGCATCTTTTGTCCTAATGAGGTGACTCTTGGTGGGTTCCTGGATGGGGGCCGGTCTCCAGAAAGACCAAGCCATGATGAGAAGTTTGGAGCTTTTAGCTCCACTCCCTATCCTCTGGGAAGGTGAGTGGGCTGGAGATTGAGTTAATAATTGATCATGCCCATATGATGATGCCTTTATAAAACTGTGGGCTTTGGAGAGCTTTCAGGTTGCTGAATGGGTGGAAGTGCTGGGGTATGGTCACCCAACACTTTGCCCTATGTACCTCTTCATCTGGCTGTTCATCTCCATCCTTTGTGATATCCTTTATAATAAACAGGTAAACATAAGTGTTTTCGGAGTTCTATAAGCCACCCTAGCAAAGTGTCAAACCTGAGGAAGGGAATCCCGATTTGTAGTTGGTTGGTCAGAAGTACAAGTGACAACCTGGGACTTGCAACCAGCATCTGAAGTGGGGGCAGCCTTGTGGGACTGAGCCCTTAACCTGTGGGGTTTGCACTAACTCTAACTGGTGTCAAAATTGAATTAATTGTAGGACACCCAATTGGTGTCTGCCAGAGAATTGATGTGTTGGAAAAAACCCACACATCTGATGTCAGAAGTAAAGTACTGAGGGTGTGAGTATATAGAGTAAAAAGAGTTGCTTTTTCCTATGATACATATACATATGTGTGATAGATAGCATATGTAATATAATATACACATATGTAACGTGTTATATACATGTTCTGTATGTTGAATATACATGTGTATAGAGAACAAGAAAGAGAGACATAGCATAGCATCTCTACCTTTTTTTTTTTTTTTTTTTTGAGACAGAATTTCACTCTTATTGGCCAGGCTGGAGTGCAATGGCGCGACCTTGGCTCACCGCAACCTCTGCCTCCTGGGTTCAAGCGATTCTACTGCCTCAGCCTCCCGAGTAGCTGGGATTACAGGCACCCGCTACCACACCTGGCTAATTTTGTATTTTTAGTAGAGACGGGGTTTCACCATGTTGGTCAGGCTGGTCTTGAACTCCCGACCTCAGGTGATCCACCTGTCTCAGCCTCCCAAAGGGCTGGGATTACAGGTGTGAGCCACCACGTCTGGCCGAATCTCTACTTTTTTTTTTTTTAATTTTTACCACATATTGAATTATATTGTATATTTATGTTATATTATGTGATGAAACATAGATATGTTAACACATATTATGTGTAGTGTAGTATATTAATATATGTATATTATACTGCACATACATATTATATGATATATTTAGAGATACAGTTAGCATCTCTTCTTGGTTTTTACCACATACTTACATTTTATATTTTATATATATTATTTATTTATTTATTTATTTTGAGACAGAGTCTCACTCTGTCAAACCTGTGCCGCCCGGGTTCAAGTTATTCTCCTGCCTCAGCCTCCCGAGTAGCTGGGGTTATAGGCATCTGCCACCGTGCCCGGCTAATTTTTGTATTTTTAGTAGAGACGGGGTTTCACCATCTTGGCCAGGCTGGTCTTGAACTCCTGACCTCGTGATCCACCTGCCTCGGCCTCCCAAAGTTCTAGGATTACAGGCGTGAGTCACTGTGCCCGGCCTTATTTTATATTATTTTAATATTTTGTACTTATGTATTTCTGACATCAGAAAATTGCCAAACCTATTACAAGAGAGGCCATGAGAAAGGGTGGCTATTTGTAGGCATGAAGCCATTTTCTAGGAGCAGCCAGGGAAGGGTTAAGAGTCATGGCCGCCTAGGCCTCCTCCAGCCCAGTGGTCTGCCTGTAAGTGTTGTCTGGAGGCCCTGCCGCTTTCCTGCAGGGTGTGATGATCCCTTTTACTCTGCGCCTGCCGGGAGCCATAGAGAAGTTGAGAGAGGGGTGGAAAAGGGGAAAGAGGGCTGGCTTGGGGAAAGAGGGCTGGCTTGGGAAAAGACTCAGATGAAATCAAAGGTGCTGAGTTTACTGTGGGACCTAAGAATGAATGAAGGGAAATCTGAGAGCCACCACAGCATTTCTTGAGCAATGTGCTTGGCGCTGCGCCAGGTATTTTATGCCCTTCTCCTCATTTAATTTAACCCTCCCTCACAACGCCTCTCAGAGGTGGTTACTATTAATTATTAATAAACTTATTTGGATAGATGACATACACACAGTATACAGTTGAAAGGGTCCAAAGACTTTACTGTGAAAGGTGAGTCTAAGAGAAGTCGGACAAACGAGTATAGAGATAAAGCAAATACAAACATGCTAACCACATGAAATCTAGGCGCTGAGTATGCGGGAATTTATTGCACTATTCTCTCAACTTTTCTGTTTGAAAGTTTTTCATAATAAAAGTTGAGGGGAGGGGAAAGTGAGTTTCCCTGCTGTCCCCATCTCCTTTATGCGGTTCCCCTCCCAGGAGGCCAGCACGGATACTAGTTTCCTGCTCCTACTGATACTCAGTTTATATGGGCATGCACGCATGCGTACACACGCAGGCACACACATGGGTCCATTTGGTTACTTCTGGTACCTTATTGATAGAATTTCATTTTTGAAAGCTTTAGAGGCGTAGCTTTTTAGAAAAGGGAATTCCTAAAGGTGGATCCCCACATTCGCTTTCCCAGGGGAAGGTGACTATTTTGTTGCCCAGGCTCACCCCTAGAGGTCGCCTCTTCGCTTGACTGGCAGCTGCTAGGGCAGAAGGTGCACAAACCACGGTCGGGGCTGCTCCCATGTGACTCATGAGATGCGCAGCCTTCCAAAAGTATTCACACTTATGTTTTCTGGCCTTAGCCACGTTTCTTGTGGGTTGCAATACTCAGACACAGAACCCACATTTTGGCTTTGCAGAGGCAAAAAGCTGACAGAGGGACAGGTTGTCCAGAAAGCTTCGCCCACACACTGTACTGTAAACTTCCAGAGGATGAATAAAACACCTATTTCCAGGCACAAAAGAGACACTTCTCAGTGTCCCAAACATTTCGATGCTGATTACTTCACTAGATTAAAAAATTTTTTTTGACTAAAGGAAAGCCGTTTTATTAAATACATTAGAACTGACTTATAGCATTGGTGTTAATGTCTCTCTGAACGATTATACCAGTCTTATGTTTTGTTCTTATATTTAGGGAGGCAAGATTTCATCACATTATCTCTGGGTGTGTGTGAAAAAGAACTATATTATAATAGTGTGTATATTCCTTTTTAAAAGTAATTGAATCAATGCCAATAGATAAATGACTAGTTTAAATTAACCACACAGAAATGTTATTTGATTTTTTAAATTTATTTTAAGATAGGGTCTCACTCTCTCCCCCCCAGGCTGGAATGCATTGGCACAATTTTGGCTCACTGCAACCTCCACCTCCTGGGCTCAAGTGATCCTCCCACCTCAGCCTCCCAAGTAGCTGGGACCACAGGCACGTGCCACAACTCCTGGCTAATTTTTTCTTTTCTTTTTTTTTTTTTTTTTTTGTAGATACAGGGGTCTTGCCATGTTGCCCAGGCTGGTCTCCTGGGCTCAAGCGATCCACCTGCCTTGGCCTCTCAAAATGCTGGGATTACAGGCATGAGCCACTGTGCCCAGCCAGAAATGTTATTTTATTAATGTTGAACATGTACAGTAACTTGAAGCAGACTATTATTCTGTTTTCATGCTGCCATGAAGACATACCTGAGACTGGGTAATTTATAAGGAAAAGAGATTTAATTAATTCACAATTCCACGTGGTTAGAGAGGCCTCAGGAAACTTACAATCACGGTGGCAGGTGAAAGAAGTGAATGCTGAGCAAAGGGGGAAGCCCCTTATAAAACCATCAGATCTCGTGAGAACTCACTCACTATCATGAGAACAGCAAGAGGGTAACTGCCTCTGATTGAATTATCTCCACCTGGTCCCTCCCATGACATGTGGGGATTATGGGAACTGCAATTCAAAATGAGATTTGTGTGGGCACACAGCCAAACCATAGCAAGACTATTTTTGCCATTTAATTATTTAAAATTTTTTTGTTTTATATGTATTTTTTGAGACAGGGTCTCAATCTGTCACCCAGGCTGGAATGCAGTGGTATGATGTTGGCTCACTGCAACCTCCACCTCCCAGGCTCAAACAATCCTCCTGCCTCAGCCTCCTAAGTAGCTGGGACTACTGGGGCATGCCACCATGCCTGGCTAACATTTGTATTTTTTGTACAGACGAGGTCTCCCTATGTTGCCCAGGCTGGTCTGAAACTCCTGTGCTCAAGTGATATGCCTGCCTTGGCCTCCCAGAGTGCTTGAATTATAGGCATGAGCTACCGTGCCTCGCCCTCCCTCTCTCTTTCTCTCTCTTTCTTTCTTTCTCTCATTCTTTTGCCATTTAGAATGTAGATATAAATATCTATTTTAGGAATTTTGAGGCTCTTTGAAAAAATGTATATAGTGGCTTAAAACACAGATAAATATGACAACATAGCATAGCTGTTAAGAAAATCAGTTTTGATTTCAGGAATCTGCAAACACAGTCACAAAAACAATGAGTGATAAGATGATTCATGTCAACTATGATAATATTTATAACAGCAAAAAATGGAAATAACCTAAATATTCATGGGTTAGGGTCTGAATTTAGAAATACCTGGCACAGTCATGAAACAGAAAATTATAAAGATGTCAAAAGAATAAGGGAACTTTCTGTATATGAAAGGCATATCCATCTTTGCACTTCACCGGAATCTCTGCAAATGTTTATAAAGGGAAATCGGAGAAACCAGGGGATGCTTGAACCACAATTTAAAAAAAAAACTTTCTTTTTTTTTGAGACAGAGTCTTGCTCTGTCACCAGGCTGGAGTGCAGTGGTGTGATCTTGGCTCACTGAAACCCCACAACCCGGTTCAAGCGATTCTCTTGCCTCAGCCTCAAGAGTAGCAAGGATTACAGGTGCGCACCACCACGCCCAGCTAATTTTTGTATTTTTAGTAGGGACAGGGTTTCACTATGTTGGTCAGGATGGTCTCGATCTCTTGACCTCGTGATCCACCCGCCTTGGCCTCCCAAAGTGCTGGGATTACAGGTGTAAGCCACTGAGCCCAGCTAAAAAAAACCTTTCTATTTTGAAATAATTATAGATTCACAGGAAGTTACCAAGAGAGTACAAAGAGGTCCTGTGTGCCCTTCACCTAGTTTCTCCAATGGTTGCAGCTCAGGTAACTATAGCACAATATCAAAACAAGGCAATTGATATTGGTACAGTGTGTGGATAGTCCTATGCTATTTTGTGGCACGTATGGAATTGGGCAACCACCACAATAAAGATGCAGAACTAGCCAGGTGCAGTGGCTCACACACTTTGGGAGGCCGGGGTGGGCGGATCATGTGAGGCCCGGAACTCAAGACCAGCCTGGCCAACATGCTGAAACCCCGTCTCTACTAAAACACAAAAAATTAGCCGGGCATGGTGGCTCGCGCCTGTAATCCCAGCTACTTGGGAGGCTGAGGCAGGAGAATCGCTTGAACTGGGGAGGCAGAGGTTGCAGTGAGCAGAGATCGCGCCATTGCGCTCCAGCCTGGGCAACAGAGCAAGATTTTGTCTCAAAAAAAAAAAAAGAAAAAAAGAAAAAGAAAATTAGCAGGGTGTGGTGGCCCACACCAGTAATCCCAGCTATTTGGGTGGCTGAGGCACGATAATTGCTTGAACCTGGGAGGCAGAGGTGGGAGTGAATTGAGATTGCACCACTGCACCCCAGCCTGGGAGACAGAGTGAGATTCTGTCTCAAAAATAAATAAATAAAATAAAATAAAATAAAATAAAATAATTTGTATGTGTCAGATGAAGCAAAAAAGAGAGGTCAAGGCTAACCTTTTGTTGGAAAGCTACAACATGTTGAACAGGCCACCTGTTGTACTCTTGGCCTCTGTCCCTAGCTTGTTCTCTGTCCCAAGGCTCGCTCATTCTGGAATGTTCTACTCTCACATTCCCAATAATAAAGGCATTTAGGGTTCATAGAGAGCCATTTCAGAACCATCCCACGGATGGATCGCTGTACCTACACACCCACCCTCAGTCCCCCAACTCTGAGCCTCACATTAAAATAATGTTTTAATCCATCTATCATCCTCCCCTGCTTCCCTCTAGGGCTTTACTTGTTAGAGCACAAGGGTGAGGTCACACTCACCTGCGTTAGGAATGCAGGCTCCAGGGTCATGCTGCCCTTTCTCTTGTTCTTGGGCAAGTAACAACTCCTAAACCTGAATTTCCTCACTTACACACTTGAGGTGATAGATAACAACAGTACCAGCCAACAAGGTCACTCAGTTATTCTGAAAATATAGAGCATCTACTATGAGCCAGCTGAGAATATGCTGGGGAGGAAAGACAAGGCCCTGCTCTCAGGAAGCACCACAAACAGAGAAAACAGGAGTACACAGCTCAGCCCAGTCTTCAGCACGTGGCCAGCCTTTAAAAAATGTTAGTTGTTTTAATTTTTATTATATATATATTTTTTGTTGAGATTGAGTCTCACTCTGTCACCCAGGCTGGGGTGCAATGGCAGGATCTCAGCTCACTGCAACCTCCGCCTCCTGGGTTCAAGTGATCATCCTGCTTCAGCCTCCTGAGTAGGTAGGACTATAGGCGCGTGCCGCCATGACCAGCTAATTTTTGTATTTTTAGTAGAGACGGGGTTTCACCATGTTGGCCAGGCTGGTCTCGAACTCCTGACCTCAAGTGATCCGCCTGCTTTGTCCTCCCAAAATGCTGGGATTATAGGCGTGAACCACTGCGTCTGGCCTGCTTTTATTATAAATATAGTCACACACAATACTTATTTATGGACTGAAATGGAATATGAACCCGGTATCACACACTTGGCCTAGTATATTCTTATTCATTATCAGACATTAATTATGGTTAGCTGCTAAGAGCTGTGCTGGTGTCTCATGCCACCATGAAAGTCAGCTCAGTTGCTCACCAAGAGCACTCATTTAATGTTTAAAATCTAGGATAATTTTCTGAATTTAATATCTTGAACATCAGACTCAGTAAGGGTCTCTTGCTGTAAACATACAACTTTGAAGAAAGAGTCTTTATGTAAACTTACAAAAAAGTATCTTACAGTTTGTCTGAAGGTTGATATATTATCAAAAGACTCCCACACAATAAATAGCAATTTCATTGCTTAGAATATACATTTCATAAATAATCAGAAATATGAGATTTAGCAGGGGAAAAGCCCCTTAGAGGAAGTTAATTTTTTAAATCGTTAAAAATGCCTAAAATGTGACTAAAAAAATAAAAAAGAATAGGGCAGCTGAATAAATGCAAAAACTCTCAAAAGAGGTCTGAATTCAAGGCAAACTGTTCATTATGCAAATTAGTCAACAGGTGAACTGGTCACCTGGCAAATTTATCATTAGAATACCTGGCTCTGGGGCCGGGCGTGGTGGCTCACCCCTGTAACCCTAGCACTTCGGGAGGCCGAGGCAGGTGGATCATCTGAGGTCAGAAGTTTGAGACCAGCCTGACAAACATGGTGAAACCCTATCTCTACTAAAAATACAAAATTAGCCAGGCATGGTGGTGCATGCCTATAATCCCAGCTACTCAGGAGGCTGAGACAGGAGACTTGCTTGAACCCAGGAAACGGAGGTTGCAATGAGCTGAGATTGCATCACTGCACTCCAGCCTGGGCAACAACAGCCAAACTCCGTCTCAAAAGAAAAAAAAAAACAAAGAATACATGGCTCTGGTCACAGTAGTCTGTTCCTGGGGCAGGACCAACGTGGCGGTCATGGGCAGTTTGGGCATGTTGGGAAAAAAAAATTTTTCCTCAACTTTCCTAAGTTCTTAGTTGGAAAAGACCCCTGTAACAAAAGAGATTAACAAGAGAAAAGCAAAGCAAACAGGAGTTTATTAATGTATGTATTTTATATATGTTAGAGGAACCCCTGCTTACCAGGCCTCTGGTTTAATAACACATGACCAGAATGACTCCCTCTTGAAGTGAGTAACTGGGCACTCATAAGACACTTAAAAGGTTAATATTTAGGACCTGAAAATAGCCACACTCTAAGCTGACCACCAATTATAATTACAGAATATTTATGGCCCTACAGAGCAGCTCCCACTAAGCCTGCAGAATGTCCAGATGTCCTAAGCACGGAGCGAATGTACTTAAAGATAATGATAATGAGCAGGCTTCGATTGAAGGATTAATGGTCATTGACAATACTAATAGCCACTACCTTTAGCGAGCACATCTGCACATTTCAAGTTTAATTATAGCTCCTTATAGTTTCTTATAAGTAGAGATGCTAACCAAGGATGGCATGTTCCTCCTCCTGCTTTCTGAGGATGCTCTACTTGACTCTGTAACAGGGTGGTTTCCAATAAACTTGCTTCTTTCACTGTGGTCTGTGGCTCTCCTTGAAATTTTTTTTTTTTTTTTTTTTGAGATGGAGTTTCGCTCTTGTTGCCCAGGCTGGAGTGCAATGGTGCGATCTTGGCTCACCGCAACCTCTGCCTCCCAGGTTCAAGCGATTCTCCTGCCTCAGCCTCCCGAGTAGCTGGGATTACAGGCATGTGCAACCACGCCTGGCTAATTTTGTATTTTTAGTAGAGACGGGGTTTCTCCATGTTGGTCAGGCTGTCTTGAACTCCCGACCTCAGGTGATCCGCCCACCTTGGCATCCCAGTGCTGGGATTACAGGCGTGAGCCACCACGCCCGGCCTGCCTTGAATTCTTTTCTGCATTAGATCCAAGAACCTGTTCTTGGGGTCTGGATCAGGACCCTCTTTTCCAGCAACATATATACATGGGGGATACCCAGGGAATGAGTCGTTCTCCAGGAATTCCAGCTTATATAGCATCTCCAACAAAGAACAGTGAATGTTTAGAGAAGTGACAAGACGGGAAAAGAACTTGAGTCTCCAGGGGCAGTAACTTGTGGGAAGGCAAGTAATTGGCAGATAAAGGCCAGTGAGTGAAGCTTGTTCATGTCGATTCCTCTGGCGTCATCTCCAGGGGCCCATGAAGGTCTCAAGTTGTCTTCAGTGGTTAGCCTTTGTCCTCCTTTTTTTTTTGGGACGGAGTCTCGCTCTGTTGCCCAGGTTGGAGTGCAGTGGCACGATCTCAGCTCACTGCAACTTCTGCCTCAAGTGATCCTCCTGTCTCAGCCTCCCAAGTAGCTGGGATTACAGGTGTCTGCCACCATGCCCAGCTAATTTTTTTATTTTTTGTTGAGACAGGGTTTCACCATGTTGGCCAGGCTGGTCTTGAAATCCTGACCTCAGGTGATCCACCCGCCTCGGCCTCCCAAAGTGCTAGGATTACTGGCGTGAGCTACCACGCCCAGCCCCAACCTTTGTCCTCTTTGGTAGGAGGGGGTACGGATACCTTTTGTCTTCGTAATCTATGTCCTGCTTTTAGGCAAGTAGAGGAAGGGCAGAGAGCTTTCCTGCATCTGCATCTTCTCAATTGCCTTCAGCTCAACAGTGCTTATAACAAAGAGGCGTATTTAGGGGGTCGTATTCTGATCTCCCACAGACGTTGCAGGTGGAGTGTCCTGATGGCAGGGTGTGGATCACATCTCTGCTCTCAGGAGGTGGGGAGAGGGGATCTGGGGCCTCCTCGACTTCCATAGGGGAGGTTGGGCCTGCACTGTCCACCATGACCCATACAACCACAGACAGAAGTTCCTTGGTAGTAACCAGCATGTGTTCATTACAGTGAATGAAAAGACCAGAGCAGGTAGCATGGATCTCAGCCGCAGCTCATGGACCACCCAGCGCTGGGAATTGCAGAGGTTCCCTAACCTTTCCTAAGCCTGAGTTTACTCATGCAGAAAATGCCAGGGTGGACTTGGAGGGTAGCTACAGGCCCTGTGAGCACTAAGATTTCCTGAGACTTCGCTGCTGTCCATGCCCCTCCCCTGTTTTGACCTTTCCAACAGACTGGAGGCTAGAATGAAGATAAGGAGTACCATTTTTTTGTTAGGCACTGGGAGACGGCCCAGACTTTGATATAGCAAAGGTTAATGTTCTGTCATCTCAAAGATCCATTTCCCCAGGCTGTCGGAATGTAAATGTTAAGGTGATGAAAATAGTGAAGCCTAGGTTCCGGCTCATTTGAGTCAGAGCCCCTCACCCCTCACAGTGCAACCCTGGTGCACAGGGCCTCCTCTGTGGCCTGAACCTTCATAAACTTGGGTTTAGGTTGTCAGCACTGATTTAAAGAGATTTGCTTTGTTCAGTTTGCTTCTGGGAAAGAACTGACATTCACAGCAGGGTTTGGGGGTTAAGAATGAAACCTGAGCTGGCTTCTTCCCCACTGGGTGTGTGCAGAGTGAGTCAGATGTTTGCACAGAAGGCTGTGGTGTCAAATCAAATCCACAAATTTGCAGGCCTTATGCCTTTACCACTTCAAACCGGAAAGGTGTTGCAACATAACAGTTTTAATTGCTAAACCCTAGCTGCAAACCCAAATCTCTGGATTTAATAAGAATTGGGTGTGAAAGACTGTGAACAGTGGCAGTTTTCTGCCAGGTGAGTTTATTTGTTCCTTCATTCCCTCATTTGCTTCCTCGTTGGTGCCCAAGCCCACACCAAAGGCCTCTGGCCAGTCACTGCCTGCGCGCCCTCCTCCTGATGATGGACCTGTGGTCTCGCCTGTAGGTTTACCTTCTTTCCTGCTCTTGGTTGAGATTTGCGGACCTTTGTATCCACTGTGGTCTCCTTGGAACAAGCAACTGGAAATTCTTCACACCAGCTATGGCTGGTAGGAATTTCGGGCCACAACTCAGGTAGACAAAAAATAAAGCTTTCTTTTCTAGAACTTGACTCTGGGTTCAGGTCTTTGCTGTGCCAGACTGGTATAAAACCTCTAACCATGGTCTTTGCCGGGCACATACCCACTTCCCCAGCAACACGTATTCACTGAGTTGCCCACCATCCTTGGGGCTGAAGTAAGGCCATGATTAGGGAGGGAAATGAATCTGGCTCTGTGTCATTGGTCCACATAGTTGGTCAAGGGATCTGTTGGTCTTGCTAAGTGGCCCCTTTTGCTTCAGGGTCCTCTGCTGCTTTCCTGCCATTCTGGGGCCCTTTCTGAAGTTACCGTAATGGCTGGTTGTACCTTCCACAGGCTTCCAGACTCTGGACGGTATTCCCAGAGTCAGCTCCCTTCTGAATTGGGAGAAAGAGAGAAAGGAAAATACAAGAAGACCCAACCATGTGGATTAACACCCTATAGCATGATCCAGGCCCACAGCCAGCTCTGTGTTTCCAGGTGGGAGATTACAGACATCTACTTTTTCAAAAGGAATAATAAACGGATAAAAAGTAATATTTTCTAACATCTGTTAGATACAAACTGGACCTGGCACAGTAGCCTTTTGAACTGAGTACTATTATTATTTCCATTTCACAGATCAGAAAACTAAGGCTCAGTGATATAAGAAGCTTGCTCAAGGTCATACTGCAGTGGTAGAAGAGGTTTTAATACCAGTTTTCCTGACTCTAGAGTCCAACAACTTATTTATAATCAGTGCTCAGCTGTATCTTAGATACTTAAAAAATGCTGAACCTATAATCCTGAGAGAGGATTTTTTTTTTTTTTTGGAGGCAGAGTCTTACTCTGTCACCCAGGCTGGCTAGAGTGGAGTGGCGGGATCTCAGCTCACTGCAACCTCTGCCTCCCAGGTTCAAGCAATTCTCCTGCCTCAGCCTCCCAAGTAGCTGGGTCTACAGGCATGCGCCACCATGCCCGGCTAGTTTTTGTATTTTTACTAGAGATGGGGTTTCACCATGTTGGCCAGGCTGGTCTCAAACTCCTGACCTCAAGTGATCTGCCACCTGAACCTCCCAAAGTGCTGGGATTACAGACGGGAGGCACCGCACCCTGCCTGTGAGGGGATCTTTAAACTACATTTTTATGATTATTCTCATCTTGTCCTGGAGTTTGTACTATAGTCTGGCCCCTCTCTCAGTGGGACTAGAAAACACAGCGCCCAGCAGCTATGGTGGCTGCCAGGCTCATGCTATGAGCTCCATAAATACTTGGTGACTGATGGATTGTACATCTGACACGTGATTTTGCATTTTCACATACTTTTGTGTCTGGTTTAGATGTGCCAGAAAAAGTGAGAGGTTGCTGGTAGCGTTGTTTTCTCTAAAAAATAGAAGAAGTCCTTCTAGTTTTGCTTAAAAAAAAATTTGCCTATTGATATTCCTTCAACTCTTCCTTCATTTTGCCTTCCCAGTTAGTTCCCAGTCTAATCCACTCAGGGTGAAACCCCCTGCAGGGATCTGACAAGACAGATAGACCTGGGTTTTAAACTCCAGCTCTGATGCTTGCTGTTCATGTGACCTGAGCTGGTCACATACCTCCCTGAGCTTCTGTTTCCTCCTCCATAAAACAGGGGCAATAATGCAACCAACTTTAGGGATATTGTGAATGTAGGCAGTAGGCACTCAATGGCTAATTCCTTTCTCTGATAATTAAATCAACCTCATCATCAATTTGAACTTTAAACTTGAGGTCCTCCTGAAAACTCTTTAAGAATGCCATCCCTTTGGATGGATTTAGGAATTCATGTTTACCAATACAGCTAAAAGCTGATGTATCAGTAAGATGTTTGTAGTTGCAAGGAAGAGAAAATACTGACCCAAACTGGCATAAACAGTAAGAAAAGACATTATTCAAAGGTGTGAAGGTTGATTCACTGGCTCAATGGTGGCAATTGAGACTCAGTCTTGAACTCCTGGGCCTGAGACCCTCCCGCCTCAGCCTCCCAAAGCGCTGGGATTACAGGTGTGAGCCACTGCTCCCAGCCTGACCCAGGCTTTTCCATCTGTTTTCCAGTTTCCTCTAGAGTAGGCTGCATATGCTCATGGCCACAAGGTAACTGGAGCTGCAGGTGAACACATGGTGTTTAGACATAGCAACATACAGAGATAGAACAGGGGCCTTTATTTCAGTGTCCCCTTCTCAGGAGTCAGGAATTCCTTCCCAGAAACCTCCCATCAGATATATCCTCGGGTTTTAATGGGCAGAACTGGGTCACATGCTAGAGTCTGATGGTACCACTAAGAAGGAATAAAACCAATTAGGATTTATCTCTGAGCTAGGGATGAAGCGACCATTTTCTAAGTCATGTTGTGGGGGATGGCCCCTTGAACAAAATCCAGGTTCTATCAGCAAAGAAAAATGGAGAGGATTATTTTGATTGCCTCCTCTTCATCCCATTAGTGAGGGAGGGATTCCTAGCTAGGGTTATGGGGGTGACCGAACACTACACTGGCCAGGTGAGATTGAGACAGCTTACTCATCACATATACTCACAGCCCAGGGGAGGGGGACACAGGACCATATGGAGGTTGCACCCAGGAACAGAGTAAACAATCAGGGGCTCTGGGAGGCAGGCTTTGTAGTTTTAAGAGGGTGAAGTGCTCTTTAGTCCCTACAGGAGGAAGTGATTGGCTTTTGGAATAATTCTGTGGGCTGGCAGGAAGTGAAACCTCCTACTCAGTGATAAGCAGGAACTGTGCCTTGTCCCTTAAATAAGGAAGGTTATTTGGCCAGGGGACCATATCTACAGGAACATAGTGGGGAAGAGGACTTGTTTGTTAGGCCATTTGAGGCCCTTTCATTTTACCAGGTGTCAAGACAGCACATAATATTGAACTTTAATTTTAGGTCTTACATACACAGGCAGGGATGGATGTGGGCTACATATGCACAATCTCCCTTCCTGCATTCCTTCATCCATCCATTCGTCCATCCATCTATCCAACCATCCATCTATCCATCCATCCATACATCCACCCACCCACCAACCCACCTATCTATTCTGTAGAGATTCCACAAATGATTGATTGAGGCAGCCTAAACATTCTGACTACATCTCTTGTTTTTCATGAGTCCTGGTCATAGCTGTTTGTGGGTAGTCAACATTGGAATCAGCCCTTCTGACCTGTGGCCAACTCTTCACCCTTTTCAACTCTGCACTAGTCCATAGGTCAGCTCATTGACCCTAGCATATGCTTTTCTCTGTTCTGCTTCTGATTTTGCTGGAACCATCGCTTTCTTCTTTGCCTGTCTAAATTCTACCCTTCCTTGAGCCAAATCCCTCATCATCCATACACACTTTCACTCCCCGTCCTGAATTCTGAATCTTCTTGTCAGCCCAAAGCCTTTGTGACAGCTGCTGTATGCAAACACATAACCATGCACTACTGTGTGTCACTGCATCTCCTGGGGATTGATCTTTCCTGTTTTGCTGCCATTTCTCATTTTATTGCTATGTTTTCTCTCCAACCTCATCGTGAACTCTCTGAGGGTCAGGGCTCTATCCTGCACACCCCTGCACCCCCTTCATTGCATGGGAGTGGGGAAGGGACAGCACAGCACCTTCTTATGCTCCTAAACCTCCATAGACATTTTCTGACTTAATTTGAATCATCGAATTCCTTTTAAGAATATTTTAAATGTAAATACAAAAAGCAGTTTGAGTAGAATCTCTAAATGAACATTTATCTAGCATCTAGCACATAGAAGGCACACAATAAAAAAAGTGTTGAAATGATGAATAAAACACCTCAATGGCCATGAACATAATTTTTTTTCTTTTTTTTTGAGAAGTAGTCTTGCTGTGTCACCCAGGCTGGAGTGCTGTGGTACGATCTCGGCTCACTGCAACCTCCGCCTCCTGGGTTCAAGCGATTCTCCTGCCTCAGCCTCCCAAGTGCTGGGATTAGAGGGATGTGCCACCACACCCAGCTAATTTTTGTATTTTTAGTAGAGATGGCGTTTTACCTTGTTGGCCAGGCTGATCTCGAACTCCTGACCTCAAGTGATTCACCCGCTTCAGCCTCTCAAAATGCTGGGATTACAGGTGTGAGCCACTGCGCCCGGCTCTTGTTATTATTTTTTAAAGGCTAAATATTGATGGATATGCAGAATTTCAGGGCTCACAGAAACTATTTCTCTCTATTAATCTAAGCTACTATTTTACTGGCTTCAATCCTTTGCACATATCTTTATATTTTTTTTGTTATCTATGTTATCTTGTGTTATTATTAATGTTTCTTTTTTGTTTGTTTGTTTTGTTTTGGTTTTTGTGACGGAGTCTCGCTCTGTCACCCAGGCTGGAATGCAGTGGTGCAATCTCGGCTCACTGCAACCTCCACCTCCTGGGTTCAAGCGGTTCTCCTGCCTCAGCCTCTCGAGTAGCTGGGATTACAGGCGCCTGCCACCATGCCTGGCTAACTTTTGTACTTTTAGTAGTGACAGGATTTCACCGTCTTGACTAGGCTGGTCTTGAACTCCTGACCTCGTGATCCATCCGCCTCAGCCTCCCAAAGTGCTGGGATTACAGGCGTGAGCTATCGTGCTGGGCCTAATGTTTCTTTAAATTGATTAATTTTTAAACTTAGCCCAGATCTAAGCAATAGTATTTGTGACATCATTGCCATGATGTGCTAGTTATTTTCATGTATCTAATTAAAAATACACAATTAAGATAGCAAATGGTTATCTATACACACAAAATTCTTCCTTTCTTTTTTTTTTTTTGCTCTTGTTGCCCAGGCTGGAGTGCAATGGCACGATCTCGGCTCACTGCAACCTCTGCCTCCCTGGTTCAAGCGATTCTCCTGCCTCAGCCTCCCGAGTAGCTGGGATTACAGGCATGTGCAACCATGCCTGGCTAATTTTGTATTTTTAGTAGAGAGGGGGTTTCTCCATGTTGGTCAGGGTGGTCTCAAACTCCCGACCTCAGGTGATCTGTCTGTCTCGGCCTCCCAAAGTGCTGGGATTACAGGCGTGAGCCACCGCACCTGGCCAATTCTTTCTTTCTTAAACATGATGTGTAATGGTTGTATATATTCTGGGGCTACATATGATATTTTGGTACATGTATACAATGTGGAATGATCAAATTAGGGTAATTGGGGTATCCATCACCTCAAGCACTTAACTTTTCCTTGTGTTGGAAACATTGTAATTCTTCTCTTCCAGCTATTTTGAGATACACAATAAATTATTGTGTGTGTGTTTTTTTTTTTTTTTTTTGAGACAGAGTTTTTGCTCTTGTTGCCCAGGCTGGAGTGCAATGGCACCATCTCGGCTCACTGCAACCTCCACCTTCTGGGTTCAAGAGATTCTCCTGTCTCAGCCTCCCGAGTAGCTGAGATTACAGGCATATGCCACCACGCCCAGCTAGTTTTGTATTTTTAGTAGAAATGGGGTTTCTCAATGTTGGTCAGGCTGGTCTTGAACTCCCGACCTCAGGTGATCCGCCAGCCTTGGCCTCCCAAAGTACTGGGATTACAGACATGAGCCACTGCGCCTGGCCTGTAAATAGTTTCCTGATACAGAGTTTTTTTTTTTTTTTTTTTTTTTTTTTTTTTTTTTTGCTCTTGTTGCCCAGGCTAGAGTGCAATGGCACGATCTCGGCTCACTGCAACCTCCGCCTCCCGGGTTCAACCGATTCTCCTGCCTCAGCCTCCTGAGTAGCTGTAATTACAGGCATGTGCCACAACGGTGGCTAATTTTTGTATTTTTAGTAGAGATGGGGTTTCTCCATGTTGGTCAGGCTGGTCTTGAACTCCTGACCTCAGGTGATCCACCCGCCTTGGCCTCCCAAAGTGCTGGGATTACAGGCATGAGCCACTGTACCCAGCCAATAAATTATTGTTAACTATAATTTCCCTACTGCACTATCAAATACTAGAATGTATTCCTTCCATCTAACTGTATTTTTGTAACCATTAATCAACCTCTCTTCATCCCCCCTACCTTCCCAGCCTCTGGTAACCACCATTCTACTCTCCACCTCCATGAGATCCACGTTTTTAGCTCCCACATATGAATAAGAATATGTGGTATTTGTCTTTCTGTGCCTGGCTTATATGAACATAATGACCTCCTCCAGTTCCATCCATGATGCTGCAAATGACAGGATTTCATTCTTCTTTATAGCTGAAGAATATTTCATTGTGTATGTATACCATATTTTCTTTATCCATTCATCCATCGATGGACACACAGGTTGATTCCATATCTTGGCTGTTGTAAATAGTGCTGCAACAAACATAGGAGTGCAGATATCTCTGACATACTGATTTCCTTTCTTTTGGGTATATACACTGCAGTGGGATTGCTAGATCATATGGTAGTTCTATTTTTAGTTTTTTGAGGAACTTCCATACTGTTCTCCACAGTGGCTGTACTAATTTACTTTCCCACCAACAGTATACAACTGTTCCCCCTTTCCCACATCCTTGCCAGCATTTGTTATTTTTTTGTTTTTTTGATAACAGACATTTTAATTGGGGTGAGGTCATATTTTATTGTGATTTTAATTTGCATATCCCTGATGATTAGTGATGTTGAGCATTTTCTCATGTGCCTATTGGCCATTTGTATGTCTTCTTTTGAGAAATGTCTATTCATATATTTTGCCCATTTTTATTGGATTATTTGTTTGTTTGTTTTGCTATTGAGTTGTTTGAGTTCCTTATATATTCTGGTTATTAATCCCTTGTTGGATGGTGAATGGTTTGACTGTGTCCCTACCCAAATGTCAACTTGGATTGTATCTCCAGAATTCTCACATGTTGTGGGAGGGACCCAGGAGGAGGTAATCATTACCTGGGGACAGGAGGTAATGATTACCTCCTCCTGGGTCCCATGCTATTCTTGTGATTGTGGATAAGTCTCACAAGATCTGATGGGTTTATAAGGGGTGTCTGCCTTTGCTT
The DNA here is from genome assembly GCF_000001405.40 of Homo sapiens. NCBI lineage: Eukaryota > Metazoa > Chordata > Mammalia > Primates > Hominidae > Homo > Homo sapiens. The sequence continues at coordinate 58,478,937 of NC_000003.12, forward strand.
CTTCCTCATTTTCTCTTGCTGCTGCCATGTAAGAAGAACTTTTCACCTCCTGCCATGATTCTGAGGCCTCCCCAGCCATGTGGAAGTGTAAGTCCAACTAAGTCTTTTTTGTTCCCAGTTTCGGGTATGTCTTTATCAGCAGCGTGAAAATGAACTAATACAGACAGTGTTTCAGTCTGTGTAGTGTTCCTATAAAGGAATACCTGAAGCTGGGTTGTTTATAAAGAAAAGAGGTTTCTTTGGCTCACGGTTCTGCAGGCTATACAAGAAGTGTGGCACCAGCATGTTTCTGGTGAGGTCTTCAGGCTGCTTCTACTCATGGCAGAAGGCAAAAGGGAGCTGGCATTGCCAGAGAGAGGAAGTAAGAGAGAAGGGAGGCAGGTGCCAGGCTCTTTCTAAACAATCAGCTCCCACAGGAGCTAATAGAGCGCACACTCCTTACTGTGAGGTCAACACCAAGCCATTCATCAGGGATCTGCCCCTATAACCCATTGGAAGTGGACCTTCCAATTAGGCTCCACCTGCAACACTGGGGTCAATTTCAACATGAGGCTTTTGAGGGTCAAATATCCAAATATTTTGCAAATATTTTCTCCCATTCTGAAGGTTGTCTCTTCACTTTGTTAATTTTTTGCTTTTGTTGCCTGTGCTTTTGAGGTCTTACTCAAAAAATCTTTGTTCAGACCACTGTCCTGTAGTGTTTCCCCAATGTTTCCTTCTAGTAGTTTCAGAGTTGTAGGCCTTACATTTAAGTCTTTAATCCATTTTGAGTTGATTTTTGTGTATGGTGAAAGATGGGGATCTAGTTTTATTTTTCTGCATACGGATGTCCAGTTTTCGCAGCACCATTTATTATAGACAGCCCTTTCCCCAATGTATGTTCTTGGTGCCTTTGTGGAAATCAATTGGCTGTAAATGCATGGATTTATTTCTGGGTTCTTGATTTTGTTCCATTGGTCTATGTGTCTGTTTTTATGCCAGTGGAATGCTGTTTTGGTTACTATAGCTTTGTAGTATAATTTGAAATCAAGTAGTGTGATGCTTCCAACTTTGTTCTTTTTGCTTATAATTGCTTTAGCTATGTGGGGTATTTTGTGGTTCCACATTCTTTTAGGATTCTTTTTTCTTTCTTTCTTTCTTTTTTTTTTTTTTTTTTTGAGATGGAGTTTTGTTCTTGTTGCCCTGGCTGAAGTGCAATGGCACGATCTCAGCTCACCACAACCTCTGCCTCCCAGGTTCAAGCAATTCTCCTGCCTCAGCCTTCTGAGTAGCTGGGATTACAGGCATGTGCCACCACACCTGGCTAATTTTGTATTTTTAGTAGAGACAGGGTTTTTCCATGTTGGTCAGGCTGGTCTTGAACTCCTGAACTCAAGTGATCCTCTCACCTCGGCCTCCCAAAGTGTTGGGATTATAGGCTTGAGCCACTGTGCCCAGCCAGGATTCTTTTTTCTAATTCTGTGAAGAATGTCGTTATTTTGATAGACATTGCATTGAATCTGTAGATCACTTTGGGTAGTATAGACATTTTAATAATATTAATTTTTCCAATCCATGAACATGGGATATCTTTCCATTGTTTGTGTCCTCTTAAATTGCTTTCATCACTGTTTTATAGTTTTCTTTGTACAGATCTTCCTTTTTCTTTTGAGACAGGGTTTCATTCCAGTGCCCAGGCTGGAGTGCAGTGGTGTGATCATGACTCACTGCAACCTCAACCTCCTGGGCACAGGTGATCCTCCTATCTCAGCCTCCCAAGTAGCTGGGACTTCAGGTGCATGCCACCATGCCTAGCTAATTTTTTGTACTTTTTGTAGAGATGGAGTTTCACCATGTTGCTCAGGCTGGTCTCAAACTCCTGAACACAAGCAATATGCCCACCTTGGCCTCCCAAAGTGCTGTGACTATAGGCATGAGCTGCCATGCCTGGCCCTGTTTCTTTGGTTAAATTTACCCCTAGGTATTTTATTTTTTTGTAGCTATTATAAATAAAATTGCTTTCTTGATTTCTTTTTAGATTGATCACTGTTAGCATATAGAAGCATTACTGATTTTTGCATGTTGATTTTGTATTCTGCAACTTTACTAAATTCATTGATCAGTTCTAAGGGTTTTTTTCATGGAGTCTTTAGGCTTTTGTAAATATAAGATCATGTTATTTGCAAACAAGGATTATCTGACTTTTTCCTTTTCAATTTGAATGTCCTTGACGTATTTCTCTACCTTCTAGTACTATGTTGAATAAAAGTGGCGAAAGTGGGCATCCTTGTCTTTTTCCAAATCTTAGTGGAAAGGCTTTTAATTTTTCCCTGTTCAGCTGTAGGCTTGTCATATATGCCCTTTATTGCGTTAAGGTATGTTCCTTCTATACCCAATTTGTTGAGGGTTTTTATCATGAAGGAATATTGACTTTTGTCTGTTTTTTTCAGCATCTATGGAAATGCTAATATGGTTTTTGTCCTTGATTCTGATGATGTATGTATCATGTTTATTGATTTGCATATGCTGAACCATCCTTGCATCCCTGGGGTGAATCCCCTTTGATTATGGTGAATAATCTTTTTAATGTGTTGTTGAATTCTGTTTGCTAGTATTTTGTTGAGGAACTAAAGTTGTTTCATGTGCCACCTTTGGAAAACTCTAATCTGGCAATGTTCATATTTATATGTTTTATGGTTAAAAAGCCAGTTATGGCTGAGGCAGGCAGATCACGAGGTCAGGAGTTCAAGACTAGCCTGGCCAATATGGTGAAACCCCGTCTCTACTAAAAATAGAAAAATTAGCCAGGCATGGTGGCATGCGCCTGTACTCCCAGCTACTCGGGAGGCTGATGCAGAAGAATCGCTTGAACCCCCGAGGTGGAAGTTGCAGTGAGCCGAGATTGTGCCACTGCACTCCAGCCTGGGTGACAGAGCGAAATTCCGTCTCAAAACAAAAACAAAAACCAGTTATAACACAAAAGACTATTATTGTCTCCTGTTGTATGCTTCCACTTATTTAAAAATTTTGGTAAAGGCAAAGCTCTAAACTCTAGGGACAGAAAGCAGATCAATGGTTGTGGGGGGCTGAGGATGGGAATAAGGATTGACCATCAAAAGGGACTGACTTTGAACAAGAGAAGTTTTTGGAGCAAAGGAAGAATTCTAAAACTGAATAGTGGTCAGTCATGTTGGCTCATGCCTGTCATCCCAGCACTTTAGGAGGCTGAGGCAGGTGGATAATCTGAGGTCATGAGTTCGAGACCAGCCTGGCCAACATGGTGAAGCCCTGTCTCTACTAAAAATACAAAAATTAGCCAGGCATGGTGGTGGGTACCTGTAATTCCAGCTACTCAGGAGGCTGAGGCAGGAGAATCCCTTGAACCCAGGAATCAGAGGTTACAGTGAGCCGAGAACATGACATTGCACTCCAGCCTGGGCAACAAGAGCGAAACTCCATCTCAAAAAACAAACAAACAAATAAGTGAATGGTGGTGATGTTTGCACAATTGCATAAATTTAGAAGAAATCATCAAACTATATTTACAATGAACACATTGTATGGCTTGCAAATTATATCTCAAAGAGGAAGAATGAGGAAGAGGAGAAAAGAAAACAAAATAAAGAAAGTAATGGAAAGATTAGCCAAGACAGGATATGAGGGGCTCCTGGAGTACTGGTGCTGTTCTTTGTCTTTATCTGCATGTTGGTTACAAGGGTATGTTTACTTTGTGAAAATTCATTGAGCTGTTTTTGCTCTGTGCATATTTCTATATAGACGTTATAACCCAGTAACAAAATTATACCGAAAAAAAAAATTCAGTCAAAATGGGGATGCTGTTTCTTCCTCGTTATTACTTAAGTATTTAATGATATTTAAAGTTATTACTTTCCTGTTTATTACTGTGTATAATTACATCACTCTGCCACTTTAGTTTTACAATGTTAGGAGTTTAGGTTTTGTGTGTCTTAATTCAGAAAGGATTATAAAAAGATATATTTAATTAATCACACAAGTGCTATAAGAACGTCAATGGAAGTCATTGTTCCTTAATTATTCATAGCAATTATCAAGGTGGACAATATCTCAACTTGCAACCAAAATAAATGGATGTTTTAAGAGGTCTTATTGGAACAATCAAATCATCAGTCTCAAAAAGTCCCCTATCTCTCAGCCCAGTTCTCCTGCTGCCTGCCAGGGTTTCACTTCTATATTTATCTCTTCAAATCAGCAGTACAGCAATTAGTTATTACAATAAGAGCTACCAATTTATTGTGTGCCGACTTCGTGCCAGGCACTGCATTATCAGAATTTTTCATACTTTAATTGTTTCATTTTAGTGTCGTAACAACCCTGCATAGGAGTTGTTTATTCCATTTTACAGTTGAGGAAACTGAGGCTGAGAGGCTTTTGAGTGGGTCCGAGCCCTGGTTGCTGGTAAGTGACAGAGCCAGAGAGCAAGCTGGGGTCCCACCCAGTCATCTTGGGACCTGACGTCAGTAACAGGAAATAAGTGACATGTGTAAGGCAATTCTGAATCCCAAAACATGGCTCTTCATGCAGTTGCTATAGTTACTGCTCGACATGATGCTCTGTCTATCTCTCTTCTTTTTTTTTTTTTTTTTTTTGCTGAGATGACAATGGATCCACTGTTAGCCATTGAGGTGTTGAGCCCTCCAAACCCTGTATCGCCCCAAAACCCTAGGGACATTTTACTAGGGTTAAAATAGTGTTCTTGCCTTGTAATCATACTTTACATTTCAGAAGCTCCTATAACATTCACAGATCCAGTATTATGGCAACTTTACAAATATTATTATTGCATGTTGTATAAAACATAGGAGCTCTATAAAGGTAACTATATGGAGGAAAAAATACCTTTTTCCTTCTGTAGCAAAAGACAGATTAACAAGAGAAAAACTTACACATTTATGTAATATAAGTTTTGTGTGATGTGGAGGACTTCATAAGGAACTAAATAAGGGCTTATGACTAGTGTCAGGGGAAAGTCAAAGAGTCCTTCCTGCATCTCAAATTCTTTCAGCTTAAAAATATCCAGTATACCAGGTTGCCATATTTTGGGGGAGCATGTCCTGATCCCTGTCATAACCATATTTCAGACAGTCATGCAGAACTCCTTGACAAGGCAATATATTTGAGGTGGGGCGGGGACAGTGGGTCGGTGCCCCCTCATTGGGTTGAAGTTGAGGGTTGGCATCCAGGTAGGAAAAAGTGGGGAAAGAGAGGCCCTAGGACCCAGAGAGACCCAGCCTGGGAGGGACTGGACAGAAAAGGAGAAGCAAGGCTTTGCAAGTGATTACACTCTTGCTAAACAACTAAACACATGCAGAGGAAATGGCTTGGATTAGGAACAGAGAGGGAGGACAAACCAAGGCCTGAAATGTGTTACAGACAAGTGTTTGGGGGCACGGAGTTGAAAGGGTGAGACTTCAGAATCTGGAGTTGTTTTACGAGCCTTTTTCACACCAGCTGGTGATGCTATGGCTAGGCGGTTTTATTCCCACTTGACATAAAAGGGGTCTCAAAGCCAGTTAACTTTTCAGAGGTGGCACGCTGAGACACTCCTGGGGCTGAAGACAGGAGCCAGAGCTTCTGATTCCTGGGCTAATTTAAGATCCGTTGTCTATAATTACAGAGTCATAATGGTGAAGAGGATGGTGACATCCAAGGACAACCACAGGGCCTCTCTCCTGACACTGGTGAGAACCAGATTCCTTTCCCTGGTTCTGTAGCTCCCAGCAGAGTTTTGGAAGCTGATTAAAGAGAATGTTGGAAATAACAGGCAATTAGAAACCTTATTAAAAAAAGGAAAAACACTCTCATCAAACTTGCCAAAGCGTCTTAATGGCTGGATGTGGAGGAGGCATTGGAAACTGCTGGCTGCAAGGGTCACTTGTGCCAGAGGGTGGCCTGGAAGCTGAGGAAAGTGTGGAGAGGGACTGGGGCCAGTTCCCAGGGACAGAGAGTGCAAGGGGACTGTTTAGGAAGTTATTTCCGAGTTGATGCGCCCAGTGAGTATAAAGTGAAAGAAGGCCATTTACAAGTCCTAAGAAAACCACAGCTGGTGAAACTGGTGGCAAAAGGACCAAAGGAAAAGAAAGGGACACACACACCCATACACACACCTATACACAGAAGAGACAGAGCCCACCACCAAGAGAGGCAGAGTGGAGTGCATTTCCCCACTGGCCAGTTCCTCGACTGCTCAGAATATGCCACAACGGGTAGTTGGAAGGAGATCAGCAGAGATGAGGGTTCAGATAATCGATGCAACTCACTGCTTTAGGGTTCCTCACCTCCTGCAGTCCCTAGGGACCACCCCCAGCATGGCAGAGCTTGTGGGAGGTAATTTGAATGGCCATGTGTGGGCTGAGTGCGGGTTTGGCCCTCAGGTGACCTGCTTGGACTCTGATAGCAGTTGAGCAGCCCCCCGCTTCAGGGGTGCCTCCCTGCCCAGTGCACCCTCACAGCTGTCCTCCATCCAGGGCTGAAGCATGAACTCCCACCTTGCTCCCTCACAGGGCCTCCCATTTTATTTTAATTAATGAATTGGTTAATTATTTTATTTTTTGAGATGGGGTCTTGCTCTGTTTCCCAGGCTGGAATGCACTGGCGCAATCGCAGCTCACTGCAGCATCAACCACCTCAAGCAATTCTCCCACCTCGTCCTCCTAAGTAGCTGGGACTATAGACGCACATCACCATGCCCTGCTAATTTTTGTATTTTTTTGTAGGGATGGCGGTGGGGGCGGGGGCGGTCTCATTATGTTGCTCAGGCTGGTCTCGAACTCATGGGCTTAAGTGATCCATCCTTCTGCTTTGGCCTCCCAAAGTACTGGGATTACAGGTGTGAGCCACTGCGCCTGCCTAGGGCCTCCCATTTTAAAGCTCAAGAGGTTGTTCTGGAAAACCTTCTAAAGGGACCCAGACTGGTTTCTTTTTGCATTCCTGCTCCAGAATAATCTGAAAGCTCCCTGAGGCTGGAACTGGGGGAAGAGGGGCTCTACTTGACAAAGGCAAGGCAAGGCATGGAAGGAGGTGGGAAGGGGAACTCCACATTGCACGCAATCAGTCAAGAGCTTCAGCCTGCTCTTGCTCCTTGGGCTGTGTTACATTTCGTAGTTCCTTTTCCTCTCTCGTTTACTTTTTTGTCTTCATTGCTTTTTCATTTCTCTTCTCTCTAAACCTGACTGACCATCTCCTGAGGGCCAAGATTGTCCCAGGTGAAGAGAGATTCTGAATGGAGTCTGAGACAAAGTTCTCTGTGTCAGGAGATCACAGTCCAGTTGGTACGGAATATTTCAAAACAGAGGGAGTGTTTATGTGCTCAGCAGGAGCCAGCAGGGGGCTGGTTTGGGACCTCGGCTTAGGGGGCGAGCAGACCTAAAGTAGAGGTGAAGGCCAGGGAGACCTCTCAAAGGAGAGGGGAGTGGTGCTGGTTCCTGATAGGGTGGCCAGGTAAAATACTGGATGCTTGTATCTACTGCAATATTTGGGACATACTTATATGAAAAAAATATTCGTTGTTTATCTGAAATTCAAATTTAACAGAGCATCCTGTATTTTCATTTGCTAAATCTGGCAAACCAAGTTGCTGATGAATAAACTGGAGTTAGCTGCATGAATTGGGGGAAGAAAGGGAAGGGCATGCCTGAGAGGGAACAGCATGAGTGAACATCTGGAGGTCAGAGATCCCGTAATTCATCTAAGGAAACGAACATTGTCCACATGCTGGAGTATGGAGTGCAAGAGGGCGGGAGGCAGTGCAGAGTATGCACCAAACCATCACATAGCTGTTGAGTACATGCTAAGTGCCGGGTACCAGGTGAAGTTCTAGGGTGCAGTTATGAGCTAATGGGACACAGCCTCTGCCCTCAGGAAGCTCACAGTCCAGCTGAGAAGCAGCAAGGTGGAGAGAGGGAAGGACAGGCACTGTGGAAGTTATAGCTGGGGGAACTCAGCCTCCCTGGGAGGTCAGGGAAGACCTCCCTGAGGAGGTGACAATATGCTGAAGGATGAGGAGACAGGTATGCTAAGGGGTGGGGAAAGAGAGATCTAGGTCAAGGGAACCGCATAACGGAAGGCCCTGAAGTGAGAAAATGAGCAGTGGGTCCCAGGACCTAAAATGTGGCCAGAGAGGCTGGGCCCAGAGAGAGAGGAGAGGGGAGGAGGAAGGACCAGTGGGCAGGGATCAGACCACACTGCAGGGAGTTTCAACTGGACCCTGAAGGCAATGGGTGCCACTGAAGGAGTATAAAGCAGGCAGGGTGACACACAGCTTCGTGCTCTTAGAGCTGACTCATGCTGGAGAGAGGACGACGGATGGGCAGTGTAGGGTCAGGGCGGAGGGAACGGGGAACACCAGGAGGGGGCTACTGCAGAGGTCCGAGATGGACACATTGCTGGCTTGGTGGTGGAGATGAAGAGGGAGAAGGAGAAATGGATCCAGGCTGCACTGAGGGGGAAGACTTGGCAGGGCTGGGTTCTCTGGCACTGGGAAGTGAGGGGGAGGGAGGAGCAGGCATGACTCAAAGCTTCTGGTCTGGGCAGATGGGAGGACGGAGGCGCCATTTGCCGAGCTGAGCTGGGGACTTGGGAGGTTTGGGGGTGGTGAGGAGAGTTCAGATTTGCACATGCTGAGGGTGAGGAGGCTGGCGGTAGACCCTGGTTCGATGGGCTGTGAGGAGGAGGAAACTGCAGGGAGCCGGCAGAACCATGTTCCAGTCTCTCCTGCCACACTTAGTCACGTGGCCTGGATCAATAACTTCACCTCTCTGTGCCTTTGCCTTCTCACGTATCCCGTGGGAGGTGGGGGTATTCTGCCCTCAGAGCTGTCGTGAGGGTGTGGTGGCAGCCTCCTGGTTCACGCCTTGTTGTGCCCTCCCACACTGTAGTAGGGTTGATCTGTGGGACCATAATCATATGTGTGTCGCTTTTGAGGCTGGGTTATAAAAGACATTGTGGCTTCTATCTTGCTCTCTCTTGGGTCACTTGCTCTGGGGGACGTCAGCTACCATGTTGTCAGGAGAGACTCTCATGACAAGGAATGAATGCCTTATGCTGAACGCCACATGAGTGAGTTTGGAAGGGAAGTCTCCAGGCTTCAGATGAGTGCAGCTCCTGCCGCCAATTAGACTGCAAGCTCCTGCGGGACCCTGAGCTGCTTCCAAGTTCCTGAGCCACAGAAACAGAGGGGAAAGCACTTGGAAGCCGTTTTAAGTCCCTACCTTTTGGGATTATTTGTTATGTGGCAAAAGGTAACTGATACAGTGGGTAAAAGCACCTAGCACAGTACCTTGTACAGAATTGGGGCTATAGAACAGACAAGATCTATAGCTCTGGATTCAGGATAGAGGGCTGGGCTGGAGACAGGGATTTGGAAGCCTTTGGCTCAGACACAGTAAAGGAATCCATGGAGGTGGCTGAACCATTCCATGGAGAGGGGTACATGGAGAGGAGGGGATTGTGTTGAACAGGAACTTGAGCTTAAGTGTCGGGGTAAAGCAAGAGGAGCATCTTTGTAAGTCTAAGAGGAGGAGCTATGGAAGAAGGAGGAGAACATGCATCCTAGAAGCCAAGGGAAGGGGCTGTCCCCTGGCAGACGTCACTGCAGAAGCCTTGCTGCGGAGAGGCCTGAGCCATGCAGGTCGGAGGAGGTTCTTTCAGATTTAGTATCAAGGAGGATTCTGGTGAGCCATTTAGATGGAGAGGTGGGCCCTGAGGCCAGATTGAATGTTACGGGTTGGGGTCTTAGGGGAAGTGGGGGGACACAGCAAAGGAAGAGAGGGAGGGGGACACTGTGTCGAAGGAGAAGTCTGAAAATTCTTGAGTCAGGGACAGAGACCTGAGGCTGTTTATCTGCTGATGGGCGTGGGAGATGGGGACTGGAGAGAGGGAGGGATGGAAGATCTGAGCCTGGAGAGGCTAAAGGGTGGGAGAAGGAATGGACTAGAGCCCAGGGAGGGGATCACCTGGACAGGAGGTGGAATCCCCCAGCCATCTCATGAGGGGAGGACAGTGCAATGCAGGTCATTCCAAAAGAGGGCAGAGGAGGGTTCTAGGGGGCTCCCACTGAAGGGGAAAGGTTTTCCTGACAAGTAGGAGGTGAGGTCGGCTAGGCAGTGAGAGTTGGGAGAAGGGAGAGAGGGAGGGGACTCAGATCTCCACACTTCATTGTCTTGTCAACTGCTGGTGCCCCTTTGCCCTCCCAGCACCGTGCTGGGCTTGGTTCCTTCCTGTAACAGGTGTAGCTGCAATAATAAACAGCCCCCTCCAGGTCAGCCTGGCCCCAGGGCAGACCAGGATCAGTATCTTTACCACAGGAGCCTGGATACTTGGTGGCCACCTGGAAAAGAAAGGTGCAGAGGGTCAGGGGCAGCTGTAAACCAGAAGCCAGCCTTCCCCAGCAGGCTTGCAACCCTGAGCTCTGTGGAGGCAAACAGCTTCCAATATAAACCCTTTCCACCCCCAACCCCCCAAACCAACAGATCCAGATGGTTTGCGGGAGAATCCTATAGAACATTCAAACTACAGAAAATCCCAGTCTAGTGAATAGACACTCATTCCTTAAGGTATGTTATGAGGCTCATGTAACTTTGATAGCAAAGCCAGACGAGGAGAGAATAAGCAAATAGTAGCATATCTCAGTCATCCACGTGGATACAAAAACCCTAAATGAAATATTAGCAAATGGAACCCTAAATGAAATATCAGCAAATGGAATCTAGCGGTATACTGAAAAAATAATACATCATGACGTGTGAAATTCCTTGAATAAAAATGCATTGACTTAAAAAAATACATTATCAAGGCGAGTTTATCCCGGGAATACATGGATGGTTTAATATAGTAAGATCCATGGTTGTAATTCATTACATTGCAATGGGGGGAATCTCACATTGATAAAATTCAGCACCCATTCATAGTAAAGAAGAATAGTGCTTCCTTACCCTGATAAAGAATATCTATCAAAAAATCCACAACAAACACTATAGTTAATGGTGATATGTTACAAGCAGTCAAGAACAGGATAAAAATGCCCATTACCATCACTGCTCTTCAACATTGTGTGAGAGAATTTAGTCAGCACAGTACAGCAAGAAAAAGGAAAAAAAGGACAGGAAGATACCACACTGTTATGACTTGCAGACTCTATGATTATTTGCACAGCGAATTCAAGAGAACCTACAAACTTATTAGAACTGAAAGAGTTCACTTTTGCTGAATATAAGATTATATAAAACCCAACTGCATTTCAATAGCCATCTATCAATTATAAAATACAAAAGTGAAAGTACAATTAGCACTAGTTATAAAAATTTTAAGATAGGAGGGACTAGGTCTGACAAAATCACCAACAAAATTAATCCATCAGTTTTTATATGGGGAAATAGAAGCCCTGAGAGGGGAAATGACTCTTTCAAGGATACCCAGTAAATCAGAGGCAATTCTGGGTTTTCAGTGGCACCAAATTCTGGAGATCTGAGTATTGGGTAATTTTGGTATTGTCCTTCTATTAAAAAACAACAAAACCCAGTGGGGTGGGGAGGAGTGGGGGGCAAAAAAAAAAAAAAAGAAAAACCAAACCAAAACTCATTGTATTTTTCTGATTATAAATTCAATATTTATGTGTTCTGATTATAAATTCAATATTCATGAAAATTCAGAAGAACGTTATGAAGTAATGCCATTAACATTCCCATACTGTTATCTTGAACACGATGGTCAATGGTTTGATGTATTTCCTTCAAAATTTTTGTCTGTATATATTTATGTTTTTAAAAATAAAATCAGGATATCATGTGTACTAGTTTGTGTATTGATCATTTTCACACACATTTCCCTGTATTCTCACCTAGTCTTTGTGAATTTGATAATGTAGCACTCAGTTATGTTGATGAAGCATATGTCATTTATTTAACCTATCAATTTGAGCTTTTGGAGACAAATCAAGTATCAGATATAACTGTGATGATCATGCTGATACAATTTCAACCCCAGAGCTAGCTCACACACATGCAGACGTGAAACCCAAGTGAGTTTCTAAGGCCAGTGGTTATTCTGGTGGAGAAGGTTAAACCCAGCATCAGGTAACTGGTCCCACCGGAAGGGGACAGTGGCCTGGCTAGCAGGAAGTGAATGGACTTGGAACGAGTGGACGGATGGAGACCAATTAGCCCTGAGGCGTTAGGTGCTGCCCATCCTCTGCAGCCTTGGCTTCCTTCCTGGTGAAGTGGGGACAATACCAGCGCCAGTCTCATCTAGGGTCGAGCTCCTCCAGGCCCCAGAGCCTTTGCATGGGTCGTTTTGTCTGCTGAAGGTAGCTCTGCCCTTCTCTCCACCTGGCTGCCCGTGTTGCTGAGCTTCTGGGCCCAGCAGCCCTTTGCTGTCTTGCCCGTCAGGCCGGACCAGACCGTCTTGCCCCGGTGGCCCCGGGGGCTTCTTCACAGGCCTCATCGCAGGGTTGTCTCCCCAATGCAGGGCAGGCAGGAGGAGCTCTGGCCGCAGGTCGGGGTCCAGGTCTTCCTCGGCCACTGCGTTTGGAGCAGGGGCTCCCTTCCCTTCTTCTCCATCTAAGTCCTCTAATCATGTCCCTCCCAACACTTACGGCCATAACTTGTCATTATTTTGTCTATTAGCTGTTTCCTTGAGTCTTGTCTGTCTTCTCCTTTGATTAGGACCCGCCTCCGTCTTGGTGGCCGCTGTATCTCCTAAACCCCCAGGCCTGAGATATAGTGGGGGGCCCATACAAGTTCGTGAAATGACTAAGGAGAAACAGCTGTGGAGGCACCACCCCTGAGGACGCAGTGGGCCTGGGGTTGGGCGGACCCCAGGCTGCGGGCGGAGGCGGGACGTAGGGGCGGGGTTTCGGGGCTTCGGAGCGGAGCCTAAGGGGCGGGACTGGGGCTTCGGGGCGGGGCTTCGGGGCTGCGGTCGTGTGGTCTTGACCGCGCGGCTCCGACTGCGCTGGCTGAGTTCCTCAGGCCGCCCGCTCTCTGGCTTCCAGCCCGCGCTGCCGTTAGGGGGCGCCCGCGCTCGTGGCGCCGCGGCTCTGCTGGGAAGGCGCCGCCCGCGCCGGGCAGCTGGAGCCGCAACTCCGGGCGCGGGCTCAGTCGTCCCCTCTGCCGCCGCCGCCGCCGCCGTCGCCGGGCGCGGGCTCGCTTGTCCCCGCGCTCGCGCTCTCCGGCCGCGGGCATCTCCCGGCCCGGCCGCAGCAGCCGCCGCCGCCGCGCAGTGAGTGGGGCTGGCGCGGGGCTTGCGGGGCCGGGGTTTGGGAGGGCCGGGTTTCAGGAGACGTCTGCGCCGAGCGGCCAGGGGAGCGGGGCTGAGGAGGATCTGGGCGGGGGCTCCTGGAACGGGGCGGCGGCGGGGCCGCGTTGAGGGGACCGCGCGTCCCGGGCTGGCACGAGCCAGCAGCGGAGGTGCCCGCGGCGGGGCCTGGGCGGGGGTTCCGGGGCCCGCCCGGCGGGGATGCGCGGTTTCTGCGGGCCCGGGTTCGGAGCCCCGCGGCGCGCCCCTCGTCCGGGCCCGGAGCATCGCCCGCCCTACCCCTGGCCGGGTCGGGTTGCGGGGGCTTCGCTGGCGGGGCAGCAGCGAAGGGCGGCCCGGACGGAGATATTTGGGGTGTGCTCGAAAATGATTGTTTTTGGGAGATGGCGCTTATTAGCCACCAATTGCCCTAGTTTAAAGCTTGAGGCAGGACTCAAAACCCTGCCTTTGGGATTTTCTGCCCTGAAGAGACTCTCAGATCGCAGCTGAGTTCTTTATGCCTAGATTTGTGTGTGTGTGGTGGCGTTTTTAATGCTTGATGTCAGAGGTGATAAATGGCCATGGTAATGGGGAGCCCTGGCAGCACCTGCTGGGCTGACAGTGGTGGAGGCTGTGTCTGGGGGTGGGACGGGGAAATGAAACGTGACAGAGATCCTGTTTGGATATTCTGCCGAAGTTACCATGTTTCTGTTCAAGTATACCAGTTCTAGAACAAGTTGATGGATCCAATTTTAGGACTTTGTGATAGAAGAGGTTTGGGTGGCAAAGTGACCTGGGATGACCCGGCTCGGCTAAGAATATTTGGGGTAGCCTAAGTATCTCTTCTATATCCCCCTGGCATGTTCTTTTTTTCGCTGTCACAAATGCCCTATTACTTGAATCATCCTGGGATAGGAGAGAAGCTTGGGGACAGCATGTAGCACAGTCCTGAGCCCAAGATTGAGATGTTTTCAAATGAACGAATATGTAGCTAGGAAAAGGAAAATGTGTTTGTCAGCAGGGTTGGTAGGTTGAGAGTATTTTCTCTTTGGCCGAAACCATCAGTCCATACTGATACTTGATTTTGTGCTATGCCTTAGATATGAACGATGGAGTGGTCAGGATAGCCATGGATGCCATTCCAAAGTTTTGTGATTTGAATTTTCATAAATCATATTTTAACCAAAGCATTACTACTTAAAGGAATCTTAGGGTGAACCCTATGAATCCTTCAGTGCGCTTGGATTTTGATATTTGGGGTCCATTTAAAATGGAGTACCTGTATGTATTTGGATTCAGCTTTAACTTGGAGATAATCCCGAGTCATGCTTTAAAGAAGTTCCTTCTGAGATCAGGAGCTCAGGTGTTTGGTGAACTCTGGGAAAACTAGACACTCCCCTTTACCTGTATATAGTTCTCCCTTCTGGAGCTCTGGGAAAAGGAGGACCTGGGGAGATTTGAAGCAAATTAAGAGGCTGCCTCCTCCATATTTGCCGTCTCCAGGCCAATGCTCTAAATTACTTGTGTTCACACTCAAGTTTCTCATGTTAACCTAGAAATTTTGTTTATGCTGCTGCCACTAATGTTTTCACATTTGTCTAATACTTGCTAGTTTACAGATGGTTTTATATTCATGATCTCCCTTATTTTCTCCATTTCCCCAAAGAAGAAGCTGGGCATAAAGAGTGATTTTCTCAGGGTCTCATAATCAGTAACGGAGCAGAATTCAACTACAGGACCTCCCTGGGAACCTGTTCTCTTTCCTTGTCCTGATGTGTTACTCTTATAGGCCAATTTTTGCCTTTGTGTTGTGCCTAAATGGTGTAATTACCCCGTTTTGGGAAGGTGGTATTATCCCGTTTTATCTTGCGGAAACTGAGGGTTAAGAGGAATGTTATGATTTTGTGACTATTTGTGACAGCTTTTTAATATTAGGTCACTTTTAAACCTATAGCTTCTCTCTTCTAGACCACATGGTTGAGAAAGGAGAAAGAGAAAATGATTACTTGTAGAGAAAAATCCATTTCTGCAGTGGTATGGTTAAGGATAATCTAACCATAATCACATTATCCTTGTATGCCTGGCTACTTATGCTGGCCTGTATGTGAATGTTAACCCCAAAGACTCCTTTAGATGTCGCTGAACTAGTTACTATAAAAAGTATTTCGCTTTCAAACTCCCACATTTCAAGAAGAGCAAAACTCAATACAAGGCAATTTTGAAGGTAAGTATAGAAAGAGGGAGTTTATTGAGTCTTTTCTGACTACCAGACACGAAGGTTTCAGTAAAAAAGCATTTTTAAAGGGCTGCCTGGAAACTCTGGGAAGTCAGTAGTTGGAGTTTTTTATTATTCGTTGGAGGTTTTTATTGCAACATATAGGTAGTTATATAGGATTAGGACTTTTGCCCCGGAGAATTCTTAATCTATAGCAGGAATGATAAACCCAGAATATTTTTGTTAAGTTAGTTCATCATAACCATTAGGCCTGTAATTGCAATTCTGCAGTGATAGGGAGAATGGCATTTAAGGGTTCTTAGGTTATTTTTTTAAGTTATTAACTTACTGAATTATGTATGCATTTCTTCAGATATGCTACTTTAGAAAATTAATACTTCCTTTTAAGGTTTCTATAAATTCTTCAGTATGTGTTTTCTTAAGCTTAA